>NC_000011.10:113233030-113536060 GCF_000001405.40 Homo sapiens
AGTGACAGGATTCCCAAGAGTGAGCAGAAATGACAGAGATGTGCCTTGTGACTGAGAGTTAATGGTCTTGGGCCAAACTGGGCTCACCTGAGTCTCCATATGTGTCTTCCCCACAGACACCCCCTCTTCACCATCCATCGACCAGGTGGAGCCATACTCCAGCACAGCCCAGGTGCAGTTTGATGAACCAGAGGCCACAGGTGGGGTGCCCATCCTCAAATACAAAGCTGAGTGGAGAGCAGTTGGTGAAGAAGTATGGCATTCCAAGTGGTATGATGCCAAGGAAGGTGAGTTGGGCGAGTTGGTGTTTCCATTGGGATCATGAGTGCCTCAGTACTCAGATGTCCCCACCTGCCATCCTGGGCATGTTCCTACAGAATCAGGAACTGCACCTCCAGAATTAGGTCAAAGTCATATCTGCCTGTAGAGTTGTTGCCCCTATTGCCACCCCAACCCATGCTCTGTGCTTCAGAGCCTGGTTCTCATGACCCTTCCAGTATGGATGAAGGCATCTGTACCACATTCCAGGCAGGAACCTTGTGTAGGTTCTGAGCGCAGCCAGATGAGTCCAGCCCATAGGTTCTGAGCATGGCCAGATGAGTCTAATCCATCCTACTCTGCACGTTTGAGTTACCTGTGCTGCAGGTTCTCTGCCGACACCCGGCCAGTCCTGCTTGGATATCTGTACTCAGGGACTGGCTGTCTTGTAATTGTGATAGTAACCAAATAAGCACAGCCAGCAGGACAAGTCTGCCCTTAAATCAGTCCTGTGCTAGCTTTCCAAGCTAAAGATTAAAAGACTGACCCTTGGATTACTGCAGTGTGAAGATTCTGAGCCCAGATCATCTGAGGATAATGTGTGCTTATGTTGGACTCCCCTTTTTGGGTTTAATTGGAATAACTCAGTGAAGTATGTTTTGTTTCTGTACAAATTTTTAATCCTGGTCTCGTATGTGGTAATTCGAGTGGAATTGGAAGTAGGCTGGGATATCAGTATCACAGCCATTCAGAGACATAGTCCAGTGCAGTTTCACTCAGAATTAGTTCTGCCAGAAAGTTTCCATCACTTCTTCAGCTTCTCGGGGGAGCCAGGGGGCCGAGAGGAGCTGCTGGGTAATCAGGATTGGAGCCAGAAGAAAGCAATCACTTTGCCTTCCTAACTTCCCTCTGAAATCTCATACCAATTTTGTGGCAGGTTGATCTCATGTCACTATCTGTCCACCCGACTTTTTTTTTTTTTTAAAGATCAATTCTAGTTATTTTTATTATAAAATATACATAACATACATTTTACGTTCCATCATTTTTAAGTGTAAAATTCAGTGGCATTAAGTTGTAACCATCACCACCATCCATCTCCAGAACTTTTTATCATCCCAAACTGAAACTCTGTACCCATTAAACACTAGCTCTTCATTCACTACCTCCTCCCAGCCCCTGGCAACCACCATGCTTTCTGTCTCTATGTAGTTGGCTATTCTAAGTACCTCACATAAGTGGACTCATATGGCATTTGTCCTTTTGTGGCTAGCTTATTTTATTTCACTTAGCATAATATCTTCAAGGTTCATCCATGTTGTAGCATGTGTCAGAATTTCCTTCCTGTTTAAGGTGGAATAACATTCCATTGTATGTCTATGCCACATTTCATGTATCCATTCATCAGTCAGTGGTCATTTGGGTTGCCTTTCGGCTATTGTGAATGATGCTGCTGTGAACATGGGTAGCCCAGGTATCTGTATCTGTTTGGTCTGCCATCTGTATCTGTCATTTGGGTCTGCCTTTCGGCTATTGTGAATGATACTGCTGTGAACATGGACAGCCAGGTATCTGTATCTGTTTGGTCCCGACTTTCAATTCTATGCATATGCCCAGAAATAGAATTGCTGGACCAAATGATAAATCTACAGTTAATTTTTTCAGGACCCTCCCTACTGTTTTTCAGAGCGGCTGCACCATTTTAACAATAGACTCTTTTGTCATCCTTCCCATATTATAACAGCCAGCATGGAGGGCATCGTCACCATCGTGGGCCTGAAGCCCGAAACAACGTACGCCGTAAGGCTGGCGGCGCTCAATGGCAAAGGGCTGGGTGAGATCAGCGCGGCCTCCGAGTTCAAGACGCAGCCAGTCCGTAAGTAAAGCCAGCTGCCCCCCTTTTCCCAGCCCACCTTCTTCTCCCTGGGGGCAGTGGGGAACCCTGAGCTGGCCCATGTCATTGTTCAGACCACAGCTTTTTGTCTTTCAGATCCCTCTGCTCCTGGAGGCCCCACCTCCTAGTTCTCTGGTTCTCAGTGACAGCTAACACACAGTCCCTTCATTCTCTCTTTCTCCAAGGGGTTGGGGACACTGTCCTAGTAGCCGGTCCAGCTTGTTAGAATAACAGTGAAGGGGAAGGCACCAACACATTATTAAAGGAAGTGGGGAGAAAACCAGGAGTGAGTTGTCAAAGGATCTGGGAAAGTTGCTTTTCGACAGGCCACAGAAGCCCTAAGCACCCTGTGACTTGCAGGAAGAGGGTAAAGATGGTGACAGTTCACATAATGCATTGCGGGATCTTTGATGCAGCAGAGATATTAAGTCAGAGACAAATGGAAACTGCTATAGAATATGTGAGCAGCAGCAGAAACCCAGCAAAGCCAAGGGGAAGAGGTAGCCCTGGCCTTGGCCTTTTCTGCTCCTCTCCCTCCCATAGCAAGAGCATTCCTCACGGCCTCTTTCAAGAGAATTGCTTCCCCCTGATTCCACTCAGGGATGTATCTCTAGGTTTTCCTCGGCCATTCCCTCTTTCTTTTAACTACGCCTATCCCACTTTGCCCTCCCTTCCCACCAGCAGCCAGGCTGTGGGCAAGCCCTGCTCCTGTCATACCCCTTTGCAGACAGAGATACTACCCTGGGAAGCTCCTGAGTCCACCCAGCTAAAGAAGATACCGTAGAACTAAATTTCTGAGTGTTCACAGAGTTCCCTGGGCTCTCTGACCCCTGGATTTAAAATGCACCTGGGAGAATCCTTTGCTTCCTTCTTTTTGAAGCCAGGGGCCTGCAAAGGGACCCACTGCCCTTACCTCTTCCCAGAAATAGGAAAGCCTGTCTCATCTTCCTTCTACAGGAGTGGCTTCTTTCTCTGGATTTGAAGTAATTTGATAATTTGAGTTTCCAGCTCCATGTGCTCTGCGGATTCTATTCATTTCTTTTACATCTTATTTTTTTTTTCTTGGGTCTGTCTCTTGTTTTTTCTTTTCGTCTGTGTTCCATCCATGGGAAATGCAGATAGCCCTCCTCCACGTAAGTGCCTCTTCATACCTCATTACCTGTTTCCATAGCGTTAACATCTGCTAGTTCTAGTTCGTAATTTAGTTCTGGTCCCTTTTTTGTCCCCTAGAGGCTGAAGTAGATGATATTGTCTGGGCCCTAACCACACTGACCTTAGTCTAGTTGTGCTGTTGTTAACGTCTGTAGGTTACTCCAAGAGGCTAACACTCTTCCTGTTTTAGAGCATGCAACTTCTGTGTCTTTGGAAATTGTGCTTATTTATTAATTTTTGTGTGTGATGATTACCCCACGGCAAAGATGGTGTTTGCTGAGCCAAGCATGGTGGAAGTCTGCAGATGGGCCCTGAATAACACGCTATAGCCCCGCCTCACCTTCAGCCAGGATGCCGGGAAAGTGACCACAGCCCCACCAGGCCACTATTCAAAACACCTTGAAAGGAAAAAGAACCTGAAAGGATTTTCATATTTGCTTTTAGGAGATAAAGGAATTGAGCTCAGTTGCTTCCTTGCTTCTTGTCTGTCAGCTTGGTAGCTGGAGGGGAATAGGAGGACTGGCCAGGGAGGCTCCTGCAGCAGCTGCCATAGTCAAAACGTAGCATGAACTTTGGTTCCGAGCCATGGGCATGTCCCACAGGTAGCTGTTGCAGAGTTAAATCTCTAGTTCCGGTCAGCTCTGTTCTTTAGCATGTAGTTACTTGCAGTGTGCATCTCCTCGTTTGGGGAAGACTAACCAGCTAATGTAGGAACTCTTCTGCCATGCATGCTAGGGAAGGGGAGATTCCCCACTGGAAGGACACCCTTCATCATGTAAGCTGTACATAGAGGACACAGGGAACAAGGGTAACAGAGAGATGAACTGTGGTTTGACCCCATTAGCCTGCAGAAATGCCCCTAAACTTCCCTTCTCCTGAGATTTGGTTCTTCCTAGGCTGAACCAGAATAGCGGAGGGAGGTGTTACCCAGGCAGACACAGAAAAAAAGGTATTCAGGAAGCTGTACAGTCTTTTCATAAAAAGGCTCCCAGCTCCTGAAAGGTACCCAAGGAAGCTTATCTTTTTAACATTATTCAGAAATATTGCAGCAACAGCAAAAACTAAGTAGCTACATGTAGGTATTCTGAGATTTTGAGCAAGTGCCAAATGTCCTACCTCAGCAGAGTTGGTGCCGGGATGAACCAGCTCTCGAAGGCATCAGAGTTGGGGGATGGAGCCTTCAGGCCGGACTGACAGGTACCTGCTCTGGGCCTGCAGCTATGCCCTAAGCAAGTTCGAGAGGAGCCACTCTGGGCATGAGGGAACCTTCCTTCTGGATCTTCCCCTGATCTTTAACTTGTGGTTCAACTGAGTCTCCAGGTTTCCTCTGGTCTGGATTTGATCAGTAAATGAATGCTGGCTTAGTTACATTAAAGAGAGGAAGGCTGGGATGAGGCCCCCCTCTGAGTTTCTAACCAGTAACTGGAGTTTGAGTACTGAATCAGAGTAACTGGGTCTTGGACTTCAAAGGCCGCAGTGGTTTTCATTCATTGCCAGCTCAGTTCTTGCAAAGGTGAGACCATATATATAGATATATAGATATATATAGATATATAGATATAGATATATAGATATATATAGATATATAGATATAGATATATAGATATATATATAGATATATAGATAGATAGATAGATATAGATATATATCTCAGAAGCTATATTTTTAAAGTCAATGTTAAAAATGAAATTTTTAATGAAATTTTAATTTTAAATTAAAATTTAGATTTTTAACTACAAAAAAGAGGTCTCCAGACCTTGTTGTTTATTGTCTGATAGTATCAAAATGGATAAGTAACCACGACTCCAAGAAGCCCTTTGGAAAAGGATGGTGTCATCTCTGCATTCCAAGTAGGTCATGAATGGTACAACAACAGGCATTGTTAGTGGTACAGAAAGTCAGTTTTTCTCAATCATTTAATAAAGTTAAGGTCTGAAGAATCAAAAGGCAAACTTCTTTTAGATAAGTAGAACCATGGCATATTCTTAGAGTTGAGCACGCCTTTTGCAAGAATTTTAGCAGGATGAGGCGGTGAACATATGGGAACATCATATTATCACCAAAGATAACTTATTATGGTCTTTCTTTGTGCCCTGATAACCTTCCCAGAGTTGCTGAAGTGAGGACTTAGCCCACGGAGTATCCTGCTGCCCCTAGACCCATCCTGAAAACAGATATCATTGGGAGGATGCTGCCAGCAGTTACAACTGCTATGACAAACCCACCCTTTTGCTGCTAGGAACTGAGGACGAGCCTTAGGAAGGACCTTCTCTGAATTCTTACTCTCATTTCTTGGAAGACACAAAGATTGTCTGAACTTAGGTAGACAGAACCAACCACCAGTTTAGCTGTGTGCTTGCACTGAGCCCAAGAACCAGTGGCATTGGTTTCTGATGCCAGCTTACGGCACCACTGACACTGCACCCCTGTCCTGTAATACTGTTGGGATGCAGATGCACAGCAGGATCTCCTACCACTGGAGTTGTGCTCTGGTTATACCCCAAGCCCCAAGGAAGAGAAGGCACAGAGTCAGCAGAGGCCAGTGTGCTGCACAGGCAGGTGTTGCTGCCGGACTCCTGGGCTGCCAGGTGTCAGGTGAGACCAGCGCATTTGGCACTGACTCATCGCTTGAAGTTCGTTGAGATGTCTCAATAATGGGGTTGCTTTCTTGGTTCTTTAATAGACCTTTCCATGTTTAGGGACATGGATATATCAGAGCAGGGATGAGCAGGGGGAGCTAGTAAAAGCCACAAACACTTAATGGACTCTTGTTTTCAAGCTGCCAGTTAGTAAGCATGGCTTACCTGTTTGGAGGTTCCTTTGTGTGTAGTTCATGAATGTGCATGAAGGTAATGAGGAAGCTGTGACCCCAGACCAACAAATAAAACTCTAACCTGTGAGAATGTGCCTATTTCATGTATTTTTTAAGCCAAATGTCTGCATGCCATCAAGACACTCAGGAGGAAAGCTCAAAACCTCTGTTTGCCTTGAGACGGGCTGCTTGTGTCAGACTCCTTACAACTAGCTAGGAATCTTCCCCTCCATGACTGAGCTACCCACCTTCATAATTTCATTGCCCAAACATTACCTCTTAATTTGCTTCTGTACCATGAAGCAAAATAGATTATTTCTTTTTGAATATAGAGATTATGAATGAGTCTCTACTTTTTTTTTTTTTTTTTTTTTTTTGAGACGGAGTCTCGCTCTGTCGCCCAGGCTGGAGTGCAGTGGCGGGATCTCGGCTCACTGCAAGCTCCGCCTCCCGGGTTCACGCCATACTCCTGAGTCTCTACTTTTTAAAAGAGGCATCTTGAGATTTTTGTTTTCATATGTTGTCCCCCAGGTGGCACATTGCAAGTATAACTATGCAAACAATTCAAGCTAAACAAAGAAAAGAGAGGGAAGGAGACCTGAATTAACCAGACCATCCAATAATGATGAGTTATGATTCTTTGTTGCTTTGATTCCAGTGACACTGTACTCATGGTTTAATGAGATGCCCTCATGTGGAAGGTAAAGGAAGACAAAACCATGAGTATTAGATATTAAGGCAGTGGCGGAGATACACTGAGGTTTTTCCAAATTTTCATCTAGCTCTCGAAGGAGACTTTGTTTTGTGACTGCTGATGGGACTACTTCCAAATATTTGCCAATGAAAAACCAAAGATCCATTCAGTGTCCCAGTATCTCAGATGCACAACTAACCATCCTCTACACAGAAGAATGGCTAGAATTTCAGTCCCAGTCTCTTCATCATTTCTATTCCCTGGAGGAGTGAGAATAATCCTGAACATTATTTGCATGGCTCTTACGTAGCAGCCTCCAAATAACCACATTCTGTAGGGGAGTTTTGGAAGGCAGCAGTGGTTGCAGCATCATCTGTATGATACAGGATCATGAACTTCATACACTAGTACACATTAGGTAGGAGAGCCATTTCTGTCTCATTCATTCAGATGTTGAAATGAGTGAGGCATATAGGTTTTGCTATAAATAAAGTCATATGTGGAAATATATACCTATATAGAAACACATATATAGATGTGTAACATGAAAAGCCAATGTCTATTTTCTCCTTCACTGGTTCACCTTAAACTGAGGTCCAGATTCCTTTTCCTCCTATACCTCTCGTCCTATGGAGACAGCTGGTCCTGCTGAACTGGATATTTGTTTTCAGTCAAGGTTTGAGGCTTGTGCAGCTGTTCCTGGCCCAGACTTTACCTGAACTGCAGGGTTTGGCAGGTGCACAGTCTCAAGGTTTGACGTTAGAGAGAGCCCTGCTCCTCGCTAGTGCCCTGGCCAGCTGTTCACACACGGTGTTGTTCTTCCCACTTTAACTCACTTCAGCTCCTCATACTGATGCCCCAGGGTTGTTGCTTCCATTTTTTTTTCATTCAGTATCTGTGTGCCTCAATGATCTTTTTTCCCCACCTTCATTTTTCTTTCTTCAGCGGCATCTGCTAGCTCGTCTACCCCTGTTCCATTGTCTCCACCAGATAGTGAGTATCATTTTCTTCATCCATCTCTCTGCAGGTCACTTTCCACCAGCCACAGTTTGTTTTGCCTAATGTTATCTCCTTCACCAGGTGATAATTCAACTCAGTTGGTGGAAAGCAGCGTCGGGTTTTAGAGGAGCAGTTGAGAAGAGAAACAGGCATAGGGCTTCTCAGATCCATGAGGGGCAGCCTTCCCTGAAGGAGAGGCGAGGGAAAAGCATTGTTCTGGATAGAAAACCCTGCAGGCAGGATCCCCAAGGCTGCCGCCCTGGGGCCAGCCCTGTCCTCAGGATTCTGAGTGGGCTGGATCAAAGCTCGTATTTGGAGAAGCCAAAGGAATTGACCAAGAAAAATGTCTCCTCTGCAGGGTCATAGAAAATGTGTTGGAGTGTTTTGTTTTTACCCTTCATTTTAATTGGCACAGTTGGATACAGACATTGAAATTAGATAGGGAGGCCTGTAGCTTTCGCTTTATCCATAAATGCATACTTTTCTTGTAAATATTTGTGGGAAAATAAACAGTGTCTGGCAGTGTCTGGCAGATGTGCCTGGCAGTAGGCGCTTAGGCAAATCGTTTAACCCTTCACAAGTGAGCCTTGTTTATCTCCTCTGTAAAATAGGATGAGTAGTCACCCACGTCCCGCCACCCTAAAGAAAATCACAAACATTTTCATGTTTATCATGCTCTGCTTTACCCACATGGGATCATTACCACCAAGCCAGCAGTAATGTCAGCTGGTCGCTCTCAGATTTCATCATCCTGGCTAAGCCTTGCTCATTTCTGATCTAATTAATGTTGCTATCCTGTCCTTTTGTGTGCCTGAATGTGCAGGAGTAGAAGGGGCTCCAGGCCTGCCACTGTTTGGAGTTTTGAACCTAGCTTTCCAGGGAGGAATAGCAAAGTAAGACCACAGCTCAGTAAGACACAGGATGTAATGCCAGCATCTGCCCAGAGTGGCAGACAGCAGCAAATGGGCAGGCAGGGTGGTGCCGCCTGGCTGGCTTTATTCTCCTTGATATATCAGAAGCCCCTGTGGTTTGGACTCAGACTCAGGAGGTGACTCAAGCCTCAAGCTCAGAAGCCCTCTGTCACCATCTGTTGACTCAGAAGCATGCCCACCATCCCATGCAGTGCTTTTCCAGGCACTGTCCTGTAGCAGACGGAGTTCAGGCTTTGGAAGTAGACAGACCTGGGTTCAAATCACAGCTCCGCTTCTTCCGCCTGAAGCTCCATAACCTAGGATAAGTCGCTAAGCCTCCCCAAGTCTCAGATTTCTTACCTCTAAGGTGAAGGATGGATTCCACTTACCTTTTCAGTGTTTGTGAAAATTAAAGATTAAATGTGAAGAACACAAAACATACTGCTCAGCATTTAGCAGCTGGAATTAATAGTAAGAATAAATGAGAGTTATGTTATCTCTTGCTGCATGAAAGTCATTTGTCAGCAAAATCTCTGATCATCTCTTTTAAATATGTATATTAAGAGTCTTTTAAATATGTATATTAAGGCCCAGCATGGTGGCTCAGGCCTGTAATCCCAGCACTTTGAGAGGGCCAGGCGGGTGGATTGCTTGAGGCCAGGAGTTCAAGACCGGTCTGGGCAACCTTGTCTCTACTAAAAATACAAAAATTAGCCAGGCGTGGTGGCATGTGCCTGTAATCCCAGTTACTTGGGAGGCTGAGGCAGGAGAATTGTTTGAACCCAGGAGATGGAGGTTGTAATGAGACAAGATCGCACCATTGCACTCTAGCCTGAGTGACAGAGCAAGACTCCATCTCAAAATAATAAATAATATGTATATTAATATTGATAGAGAAGAGAGAGAATACCTCCTTCACCATCTTTATAATGATGCCTACATATGTATAATATATACTCACCCATGTATGTATACATATATAGCTATGAGTTTAATTTATCTCCATTCTCTCCTTCACCTTTCTTTGCCTTTTCTGTCTGTCGTGTTTCCATAGCAACTTGGCCTCTTCCTGCCCTTGCAACCACAGAACCAGCTAGTGAGTACAGGGCTGAGTTGCTCTCGGCCAGACCTCTGATCGCTTGTTGTAGAGCCGACTTCTAGATTACAGCGCTGCCTGTTGTTTTCCCTTTTATTAAAAGCAACAGTTGTGAATGCATGAAGGCTCCTAGCCTGGTGTGGTTTCCTAAGCATGCCGTCTGCTTGGCCAAGAGAGCAAACCAAGCATCAGCAAAAGAACGGGGTTGATTATTGGAAGAATACTCCGTGCATGAGGAGGCTTTTCCAAATCGACTCTCTAGTTAAAAATAGCCAAGGATTAGGCAAACCCTGAGGACACAAAAGAACAGCATCTCCTTCCCGGCTTTCGCTTTGCTGTCCCTCCTTCTGAAATACACACGCTCATGCGCGTGTTAATTTAGCAGTAGCAAAAAGACTGAGAGCGAGGGAAGGAATAGGAGAAAATGGCTGCTTGAGGAAAGGGAGAGGGTGATGCCGAGAAGGAAGGAGCCGCTGCTTCCTGACAGCATGCCCGGCTTTGTCTCCGCGTACGCAGAGCACAGGGGAAGGAGAGAGCTCCTTCCTGCTGTCTCCTTTCAGGCTCCCGCCTCAGTGCTAGAAAAATGATGGGCAGAAAAAGCCTAATCCAGGCTCCCCTTGGGTTGAGAGTCCAGATGAAAGTGCTGGAATTTATCTCTTGACAATAGAGTCAAGAGCCAGATTGTATCCTCTTTTTTCATCGTAGAAAACATTGCACAGAATCACTGCTGTAACATGTTCCAAGCTGGTCTTCATAATGCTCTAATGAAGTAAGATGTGTGTGGAGGACCTGAATCTCCTGAAGAATCCATATGAGTATGCGTGCATGTTCATAGTGTTCAAGCATCAAAGCTGTGTGGGAGTTTTAGATTTTATAATATTTCTGCTTGCACAGAAAAAAAATGGCATACATCCCATCAAGCAGAACAAGAAGGCAGAAAGCAGGTATGCAAAGTATAACTCCAGCTCCCCGGGCCAAGCTTTCCAATACATAATTGAACAGAGAAGAAAAGAGTTTCCTGGTTCTGTGTGTTGCATGAAATGGTTCTTTTTTTTCTACTGCAGAACACAGCTAAGGGTCTGCTTTCTTGGTGTTCCCTCCGTGTGTGTGCTGCGATGAATTTTAATTCCTGATGCTTTTGAGGTTTCATTTTGTCAGCAGAGCAGAGCCGGTGACAACAGGCTGTGCTCGCATGGGTTTAATTCAGATTATGAGGGGTTTTTTTTTACATTTGGAAAAGGAATGCAGCTGACAGCCCCTTTTCTTATTCTACAGTGTCACTCCTGTCCTTTTTCAACCTGGTGCAATGTGTGTCCAGGCACAGTAGGAGAAAGCTACATAATGTATTTGTACAACTGTGTCATATTTCAGGTGGCTCACTGTAGGTTGGTCTTCTCTGTTAGTGAAACACAATCTTGGTTCCAGATTTTGCCTGAAGAAGGAATTAGGTGTCTCTCCCCTGACATGTCTTTAATTTTTAAACATCAGACATTTCTGCCCACAGACAAAATGCTTAGTTGTGACATCCAAAGGGAAGAAAGTTTGAGTCATTTTATTTTGAACCACTTGACTACTGACCCAAATTGTAGGTCCCAGTGGATACTGAGATAAAGGAAAGATGCTCACAATTGGGCAGCAGCCTGAGTTTAGCATGAACATATTTCTCACTAGTAAGATGAAATGTGGCACATGTGAATTGCAGTGGAACTAATAGCAGAGTAGCTATCAGCATGTGAATATCCATCGATCATCAATCCATCAGTGGGGTTGAAAATACATATCTCCCAGTTTTGCTTCTGTGTGTGTGCGTGTGTGTGTGTGTGTGTGTGTGTGTGTGTGTGGACCCATTTATAATTATGAGGGAATAAAGGTATTCTAAATAAAACCAAAGGAGCAATTGCTTAGTTGTATATAATCCCTGCAAGGCCCCTTTGGTAGGAAGGTGCCTGAATCTGTGTAATGCCAGACAATAAGAAAGAAGCACACATTCTGTCAGCTCACGGTGGCAAGGGAAGAGGTAGCCTGGTTAAAGCATTTCTCTCAGGTTATTTTTAACCAGCGGTGTTCTTTACACAGAAAGGTGTCTTCATCTCCCTTCTTTGCCCTTCTCCCTCAGCCTCAATTGGCAATGGCCAAAACTTTCCCTGGCCTCTTAAATTTAAGGTCAGAAACCCAAAATACCTTTTAACAAGTCGAGATCACTCAGTCACAACATAGGACCAAAAGGAATGCTTAAGAAAAGTGTTTTTTTTTTTTCATTGTAAATCTCAAATTTATGACTTATCAGTGCAACCACGATTCTAAAGATATAACTTTAACCACAACAGGTTGGGTGCCGTGGCTCAAGCCTATAATCCCAGCACTTTGGGAGGCTGAGGTGGAAGGATCACTTGAGCCCAGCGGGGCCAACAGGGCGAAACCCCCATCTCTACAAAAAATAGAAAAATTAGCTGGGTATAGTAGCAGACGCCTGCAGTCCCAGCCATTCAGGAGGCTGAGGCAGAAAGATTGCTTGAGCCCGGGAGGTCAAGGCTGGAGTGAGCTATCTTCATGCCACTGCACTGCAGCCTGGGTGATGAAACGAGACCGTTTCAAAACAAAAAACTTTAACCACAAATGGCCCAAACATTTGCTTAATGTCAAACTCTCAGCACGTTGGGCCAAAGGTACAGTTTCTGCTGTTTAGTGTCAACACAGCCATTGTCTCAACCATCAGAAGGAAACCCATTCCCTAGTCTGCACTGGCCTCTTCCTTTATATGGGTCTTGACTTCAGGGAGGCTCACCGAGGTCTCAGGAATAACATGGGTTTGTGGAGAAAGAAGTGAGATAAGATCCTCAAAGCCACCATCTCTGGCATGCATCCACCCAGCCTCATTCAGCCCATACTCCCCTCCTCCTTATGCCATAGGAAACATGAAATGACTCTTCTTAATTTAATACAATCTTTTGTTCTTCTAGGGCACACAGTCTTCACCTTAAGACTCTCGGGACTTTTCCTTGATGACCCATATTCTGTTTCATTGCCCTTGTTTCCCAAGGATGCTGAGACATTTCTGGAATCTGTGGATAATAACTTGCTTTTTTCTTTTCCTTTAACAGTCTCCTGGATTGACTTTGACATCTGGGTCCTGACAGCAACACCTCCCCATTTCAAAACAAGTTTACATGCTCCTGATGTGGTATTAATATGTAGTGTTGCAGCCGTAGCTAATGCTTATTGGTGTTGTTAACCAAATGCTCTTTATGATTTATTATTCTTCTATTTCTGGGCAGTTTCACTGCCCTCCCAATGTTTCCTATATATGCTGCTAATTTAATTTGATTTCTCCTTTTATTTAGTCTGTGATTTTGTTGTTGATTTTTCTCCCTGCCCATTGTTTACATCAGTTTTTAATTTTTTTGTATTTTCCATGTGACCTCCTCCACTTTCCTTTCAACCAATATCATGTGCGTGCGTATCATGTGACTTTGTCATGTGGCTTGCATGGTGCTGATGATGTCGTCCACGCTGGTGAACAGAAGGTAAAACTCTTTGTTCTGATTAGTGAAATAAATCTGGGACCACAGCCTGGCACATAGGGCACACTCATTTCTTCCTGTCTCAGATTTCCTAAGCAAAGCCATTTGAGAGATTTCCTCTTGTTCTCAATTCACATCCAGAATTCATCATTCCTTGCAAACTTGACATGACGATTTGGTATCATGACAACCTTTGGTTTGGTATTTTGCTTCAAGAAATTTGGTCACACAAACTGTTCTCTACAGTCAACCCACATTAGCCACAGCACAGTTTGCAAACTTGAATTTTTACCAGATGGTTCATAAAAATTATTTCCTAGAAAGGTGTTTGGCAAATTAGCTTGATAGCATTGTTATTTAACTTCATCCAGTAGTTCTAAACACCATAGTTGTTCTAAAATGAGTCACATTCCTGTGAAAATGTTTACAACCTTGAAATGCTACAGAGTGAAATATATCAATTGCAAAGGTTGTATTTGTTCAAAACCCAGTGAGAGTGCTTCATAAAATTCATGCACATTGAGGACTTTCTGAAATAAGAGATTTAAGAATTTGGATTAGAGCAGTTTGGCTGTGATTACTGAGGTGTCACTTTTTAAGAGTGGCCCTCCCCCAGGGAGGGGGAGAAAATCAAAGCAAAAGTCACTTGGCAATTACCATGAATGGAGATCTCCGTGTAATCAAGAAACACATGATTGACCCTTGCAGCAAAGGAAATAAAATTATAGCCTAATTAAGTGCATAGCGGTGACAAAATAATTAGTTAATATTGTGACTGTCACAACCTTGTTAAAACATTTCTCGCTTACCAGAAGGAGAGAAGGAAGCCTCTGCTCACAGCTTCCCTCACTCAAATCAAACACCTATTCAGAACCTGCCCTTTGAGTCATATGCATTCAGTTTTCTCCTAACTGGAATGTTTTGCTTCCAATCACAGCCTGAGACATTGGCTACATGGATCACGAAAGCAAAACTAACTCCAATAACCCCCTGGTGTGCCCGTGCATGCAAGGGGTCCCTGTTTGACCTCACTTCTCTGAGAACTGATTGGGCGACATCCACACAGACAAACCGTCAACAGCTGGTCTCGCATGTCCTTTGTTCCCGGTCTGCTCTTGTGTTTCGTTCTCCTCCTGTGTGTTAGCCCTGTGTACCTTCCCTCTCGTTCACCCTCCACATTTCCCATCTCTGAGCCCCTCAGCTTTATAGGGATGTCAGCTTGGCCCCAATGTAGTCCCATTTACAGCCAGACTCCTGGACTTGCCTATGAGCCATCTTCATTTCCAAAAAGGCGATATTGGGTATGTACATTGCATGAAATAAAGTGGGAATGTCCCAGAAGCAGAAGGACATCTGATGCAGTCCACGCCAATAAATTGGGCTTACCTTTAAAAATCATCTGAATATGCAGGTCTTAGGGCAGAGAATATAGACAGCTTAAGATTTTCTAAACTACAAGTCCCACCCAAAATACGGTATTTTCATGATTTCCCAAAGGTTGACCATCAGCAAGACTGGATATTTTTCAGACTTAAGATGACTGTTCAGTAGCTGATGTTCTGGAAAAAGATCTGGGCCTTCACCATGAAATCTTAAATGTGAGCAGTTACTGGATGTTGAATTTGAAACCTATTCATTTCTTTTTTTAAAACAAGCTTGGTCATTTCTGTGCAATGCTATAATTCGGAACGAAACAAAGCACAATGTTAATAAGGTAGACACTAATTCATTCCTCTGAAGAGAGATCTCTTCCAGACATTTTAAGCCAGGGCAAGAAATGTTTAAAGATGTTTTCTGCAGTTGCCGTAGAAACACTCCTTAGCAGTCATCTTGGCTGTTGGTAAAAAATGTGGCCGGTACCAAAAAAAAAAAAAAAAAATCGCTGACAGCCTTAGAGAATTACAAAGCTATGATTACGCCCTCCTGGAACCATGTCCTCATCCATGACAGACCCTCTCCTGCCATCTGCAAGGGGGCAAGCTGAAGACTTATTCAGGTGAGCCCCGCACGCAGCAGGAATTGTCCTTTAACAATAAAATTTAAGAGAATGAAGAGGTCAGGGCCAATAAAATCCATGGAGGAGAGCAACAAAGCTTAGTTAAGGACAGTTATCACCTCCTCTCCCTGGGTATTAGCAAAGATTTAAGCTGAATTGGGCCTCAATGAGAAAAGTGAGAGTAAGCTGGGGGGTGAGGGGGGAGCTTTCTGCTGTCAGTGGGTTGTACACCCAACAACTGGTGACATCTGATGTTCCCTGTCCACCTTGTACCCCCTCAAAAAAAGAAAACTGCCTGGGATATGCATAACCTAAGCTGGATGCTCCATCTACCCTGAGTTCAGTGGGACAGCGTTTACAGAATCCAGCAGCACTGCGTGAAGTGTGGCGACTCAGAAGGAGAAGGGAGGTTATAACAGGGATTGAGCCCTATCCTTTATGGTTACTTGGCTCCTGAGCCTACAGGGCTTGGCCTGTAGAGGATTGTGACAGATAAGCTTAGACACCTGTCCCAGAAAAGAAGAAGTGAGGATGCAAACTTTGATTCTAAGGTCATGGCATCATGTCACTGCAGGGCTTCCTCCAATGACTCCACGGAGCCGTGGCTTTGTCCACCAGCTACTGAGGACTCTGTGTAAATGGGACTCCCCACCAGCAGCATGTGTGAGATGAGAAGCCCCCTGCACCCCTCTGTCCATGTGCTGCATGTCTGAGCATGGCGCCCTCCCCAGCCATTCATAATGATATTTTTTTTCTTTAGCTACTGACACTGACTCGTACTAGGAAACGCTGATTCTGATGAGCTAAGCTCTTTAACACCCACTCTTCCTTCTTAGATTGAAAACATCACTAACCACCCCTTCCACTCCCTCCTTTATTTTTTCACAGCTGTGTGTCTGGATTGCCACGATCTCTGGCAGGTCGACACAGACTTTTCACCAGGGTTTCTGCTCTAATTGCCTTTATCTCTAAGGATTCCCTGCACTGGAGGTTCCTAGGGTAGAGAGTCAGTGGGAAGGGGCTGAAGAAAAAGGCAGTGAGGTGTGTCAGCCCGAATCCTGTGGGCAGGGACTGTGGGCAGGGACTGTGGGCTGCTGCTGGCCTTGGAAACTGCCAGTTCCCTTAGGGTCACCAGTATGGGGGCTGAAACTCCCCAGGAGCCACATTCTTCTTCATAACCAATCTAATGTCCATGAAATAGAGTTGAAGATGGGCACGAGCCCCCTTGTGGCCTTGGAGGCAGGAGCCGAGTTAACTGTTGATGATAGCAGTTATTTCTGTCATAACTTCCTCAGCCTGGATCAGCCCCATAACCACAAGCCATACCTTCCTGGTCATATTTTCTTTTTAGGATGATGAAACAAAGATAATTGATCAATTAATCTGTTGGTGTTTTCATGACACCTGCGAGAAGGGAACTGGTATTTTTGTGGTTCAGTCTGTCAGAGCTCGTTGGTTGCTGTTTAATTTGTACCTTGTGCTGCCATTTGCCACCGTACCCCAACACATACTCTCACATTCATAAATTCCTCAGGAAACTGGTGCTGGAAAGGATTTACAGACCAGATGCCTTAGTGAGTGTGGCTGCGGGGAGCTCAGCATCCTTGCTCTGCAAGCTGGGAACCGGCCGTGCCCACACTCACTCATTGTGTATCCCGAGGCTCCCTGGAGCTAGGAACTAGGATGGCAAAGATTCTGGTCACTCAGGCACAAGCAAGGCCTTAAAGCTGAAGAGAAAAGGGTTCAGGGAAAAACAAACAAAACTTTACCCCAAAAGCTTGATCCAGCAGGAACAATGCCTAAGACAAATTAATACCCACTCTTACACTGCCCGGCTGTTCTTCGGGACTGTCCGAAAGTCACTCGGCATCCCTAGAATAGCCAGGTAGGTTACCAAAAGAGGCGCCAGGGAGAGACATGAGGATCCAAGAATGTATGCAACATAGATCACATCCGATTCTTTTGTTTGTCGTCGAGGGCTAAGCGCTTTGTTTCAGGAAAGAGAATCAGTGGTCTAATAACGCTAAATCCTGATTCCCTCAGATAATTTGCTGATCCCCTAAGGACCAGCCACATTTCTAACCTCTGGATGTAATTGTAATGTTTCTGACTTGGAAAAAGTAAATAGGCTTCATATTTGAATAGCTAAATCATACATTTTGGACTTTTCAAAAACTAAGTGTAAAAAGGTATATATAACACAAGTTTCAAATTGCTTGGAAGAAATAATCAACCAAAGGAGACAGGAGTTATGATAAACAAAATGAACAGTATTTTTAAAACTAGACAGTCTTATTTGATAGGAAAAGTAAAAGATTGTAATGCAAGCCCCACATTTATCACAGGTTTACGCTCAGACACCTGAAACTTTGTGCAGATCTCTATGAGGGAGAAAACAAAGTAGATGAATAGAGAACACAGATGGAGGGCTTTTTGTTTTGTTTTGTTTCTTTTGAGGCTGAGTCTCGCTGTCACCCAGGCTGGAGTGCAGTGGTGCGATCTCTGCTCACTGCAACCTCCACCTCCCATGCTCAAGCAATTCTCCTGCCTCAGCCTCCTGCGTAGCTGGGATTACAGACGCATGCCACCATGCCCAGATAATTTTTTTTATTTTTTTAGTAGAGATGGGGTTTCACCATGTAGGCCAGGCTGGTCTTGAACTCCTGACCTCAGGTGATCCACCCACCTCAGCCTCCCAAAGTGCTGGGATTACAGGCGTGAGCCATTGTGCCCAGCCCCAGATAGAGGCTTTCTTGAGGATGCCTGTTTGGCACCCCAGCCTTTCATTCAGAAGACACAGCTAACTCTTGGTGCTCGGGCTCCTTTGAGTGAGAAATAGAATATTGTTTTCCTGCTAAAATTCACCAATGCTGTCCAAGTACCCTGGATTTGCTATAATTTTTGTTGTGGAATTCAGATATCCAGTGGAGTTTTCTAACTCCTGGGGCTTCTGCTGATGAGAGGAAGGGCATGAAGCTGATTCAGATTTAAGGGTACAGTAGCAGAGTAATTACAAACAGAGAACCTGCAATCGGCATGGCCAGAAATATACATTTCAATTATGGTTTCTAAGGGAGAATTTCATAGGACCTGCCTATGATATATCTGACTATATGTGGCCTCTATGGTACGTTCTTTCTTTCTTGGGTTCATGATTCACATCCTGCTAGAAAATACCAGAACTGCACAATACTTTATATTTGTTATTGGCAAAGTTTCTTTTTAATGTTCCGTTGGTGTAGTCTTTACATAATACATTTTGGGGGGAACATTTGACTCATGGCTAAAGCGAAACTCCAAGGGTATAATTAACCCCAGGGGTCTTCTGGGAGCAACCTGCCGATTGCTGCTGAATCGCAAACCAACATTTACAAATAATTACAATAATGGTTTTACTGAACTTACTCATAATGATTTCAATCAGGGCAGCCATCTCAGAACACAGTGCACATCAGGACTCTCTCAGGCATTTCTTCTGCTAATGTGCTCGATAAAGCAGTCAGCCTCCTGAATGGCAAGGTCCCTTTTCTCCCACCACAGCCCCTCCCTCATCAGGCTTTGTGTAGAAAGCCTAAGAAAGTTTCTCTAACCCCATTTCTAATCTTTAAGAGAATTTGCTGACAGTGAACACTGGAAGATAAGACACTTGATGAAACAATTGCTCTTTCCATATTTTCATGTACTCACAGCAAGTTACAGAGCCACCAAGTCGGTCAAAATCTCTGTGATATTAGTTGAATATGAGCTTCCTGTAGAAATACTGTCATAGGCTGGGTGCAGGGGCTCACACCTGTAATCCCAGTACTTTGGGAGGCCAAGGTGAGAGGATAGCTTGAGCCTAGAAGTTCAAGACCAGCCTCAGTAACACAGTGAGACCCCATCTCTACAAAAAATTAGCCGAGTGTGGTGGCATGTGCCTGTGGTCCTAGCTACTCCGGAGGCTGTGGTGAGTGAATCGCTTGAGTCATGGAGATTAAGACTGCAGTGAGCTATGATTGTGCCACTGCACTTCAGCTTGGGTGACAGAGCAAGACCCTGTCTCAAAAAAAAAAAAAAAAAAAGTCATAGGAAGCATTATGTATCCGTCCAAGAACCTCATCATCTTTTAAAAGAATTAATCATAACTTAGTTTTTTCATTTGGCAAACAAAATGGTGTCTTATTTACCTTTGAGACTTCAGTGCCTAATAGACTACCTGGGACCTAGTAGATACTCAGTACACATCTGTTGAATAAATCGTAGGTAAAGCACTCTAAATAATAAACCTAAATATTATTTCATTTTATTTTTGAGACAAGGTCTCACTCTGTCACCCAGGCTGGAGTGCAGTGGCATGATCTTGGCTCACTGCAACCTCTGCCTCCGGGGTTCAAGTGGTTCTCGTGCCTCAGCCTCTTCAGTAGCTGGGATTACAGGCACATGCCACTATGCCCAGCTTTTTTTTTTTTTTTTTTTTTTTTTTTTTTTGGTAGAGACAGAGTTTCACTATGTTGGCCAGGCTGGTCACAAAATCCTAACCACAAGTGATCCACCTGCCTCAGCCTCCCGAAGTCCTAGGGTTACAGGTGTGAGCCACTGTGACCAGCCAATATTATTAT
The DNA here is from genome assembly GCF_000001405.40 of Homo sapiens. Taxonomy (NCBI): domain Eukaryota; kingdom Metazoa; phylum Chordata; class Mammalia; order Primates; family Hominidae; genus Homo; species Homo sapiens. The sequence continues at coordinate 113,252,962 of NC_000011.10, forward strand.
TTAATATAAAATGCTCTAAATTCTAAGAGAAAATAATACACACATATCAGAGTACTGTGATAGACTCAGATAAAATGATACAAATTATAGTGTTCTAACTATGTCAAATGTGTTCTAACTATGGTATAGATTTTGATGGCTTTTCTCCGATTCAAATTACATTTTTTCTGAAACAAATCTAAAGATAAGAGAGTACTTTCATCAGGGAAGTTGGTTTCTGCAGGATTCCCTAGAGAGATTTTTATTCTTAGGTCTTTGAAGAGACTTGGGGGTCTCTTTTCAAAGACAAAACTTTTGAGATAACTTTTTCAACATTTTAAAGCAAAAAGTTGACAACTTTCTGCCTTAGAGATGTGAAATTGTTGACCTTGGAGTGCATCTCCCTAAAATTGGCTGAAAGTCGTGAATTTTGTGTTCTGTTTCCCACAATGTCATGAGAAACAGCCCAGGTGTAGTTGGTAGTCCGTGCTAGTGCAGTGGCTGTCACTGTTTCACATGACAACAGAGCTGGAAGGAGCCCTAAATAGCATCCAATTCAGGGCCCATATTTTGTAAATGTGGAATGAAACTTGATCGAGGCAACAGACCCCCCATGATGCGGAGTTCAGAGACAGTGTTTTGCAGGATTGATTCAGCCTTGAAAACTCACACAGCTCAATTTCAAGAGGAACTAATTAGGAACGTGCAGCCAGGGAGGCCCCAGTGGACTGATCCCTAAAAGGGGGCCTTGGGAGAAGGACACAGTCCTCGACTAGTGGGCATGTTGGAAGGGCCACTGATGCTGCCTATAAAAATCCCCTCCAGGCTAGGGCAGGTAGACCATTCAGCACAGAGTCAGTGTCATGATTCTAAGTGAACAAAGTTAAAATAATTTGTTCATTTGCAGTAGGTCTAGGGTCATCAACCATTCCAGTTTGCCTGGGACTGAAGGGTTTCCCAGGATGTTGAACTTGCAGTGCTAAAACCTGGAATCTTCCAGACTAACCGGGATGAGTTGGTCACCCCAATTTAATCAGAGAATACAATTTGTAAAGTTCTCCTGTGTCTCCTTCTATTTGTTCAGCATTTCTGAATCTACACAGAGCTCCTGCCTTGATCTAAAATCTATGCCACTTTGAGTCACTTTTTAGCACTGGATATCTATAATGACATAGCCATAACTGATGTATTATCTAGGACTTGGGACAGTCCGAAGGAATTTGGAAAGCCTAAATACCTTGACGTGTCTAAACCAAATTTCTACCTATTTTCCACTGAATAGTTGTGGCCTGGGGCTAGATAGTGGCTTTAAAACAGGACAGGTCTTTGCCTGAAGTCCATTCATCTTTTTATTCCTGTTTTTATTTGTCCTTAATTATTGATCTAAGAAAACAAATAATAAGCACAACTTTTCCTAAATATCCTCCAGACATTGTGCATCCTCCTTGTTGCAGCTTTTAATCTATGCCTGTTACTGCTACTTCTCTAACCTAAATGTGCACAGAGATCACTGGAAGGATCTTGTTACAGGTCTAAAAAGCGCCCAGGTGATCAGCATGCTGCTGGCCCTATGATGATAAGTAGTGGGCTCTTCCTTAGCCTTCTCTCTGGTTCCTCCTCGTATCAAAGGAAGGTGGTTCCCAGAGTAGCTGAATGAGAAGTGAGGCGTGACTCTCGCTGTGCCTGCAGCCGTCTCATAAATGGCCAATGGTGTAGTTTTAGGTGCTTAGATCCAATCCCTGGTGACAAGCCATTTTGTGGCTCTTCTGTCACACGTCTGTGATTCTGTTTTCCAGAGAGCAAGCCAGAGTGACCCACCCAGAAGGTAACTGTTTTGTAGCCTCTCCAAGTTTTCTCTCTGAGGTTATGAAATAGATGCAGAGATAGCTCCTCACAGAAGTGCAGGATTCCCCAGTGTGTTAAATCTTAATTTTAACTTTGTATATGAGACGTCCTCTCACCTTATTACTTTCAGCATATATTAATGCAATTGTTTCTTTTAAAGTAAATGAGTGCCTTACTCACTGGAGAACCATCCTAGCCCTAGCAGTTTGTCACATGCAAGTTCATCTTCCTTCTCGACCTTGGATTCACAGTGCTACAAGCTGAGTGTATACTGCAAATCAAGAAACAACTGTTTTTCTGTTGAGAAATGCTAAAGACATTTTTCTCTCTCTCCTCTCACAAAGAAAAAGACTGCACTGATTGTTACTTTAACACATTAAAGTCTTGAGAATTAGCACTCACTCATTTGAACCATTAGTGGATACTTACAGGAAACTTGCATAAGAGCCATAAGGATACTTACAAAAAACTTGCCTGGGGCAAGTTGTGATTTATTTAATCACAACCGGAAACTTCTTATTTTTTAAACGAATCTAAGTAATAAAATGTCGTTCATGAAAAGCCAGTCCCAAGAATGCAGCATTATTTACTCCCACTAGAGATCAGGCCTCCCAGTCCCAGGGGTGAGTGATGTGTCCCGGCAAGAAACTGGGCTGTTTTACAAAATAATTTTATAGGTGGGAGTTTCCTACTCAAACACTTCTATTTTCTCCTATTTCAGGCTGTTCCTCAAGATGTGTCAGGCTTATAAAAATTAAATCTTCAGTTGTAAGACCAGCTAAAAGGAAACATAAGTACCAGTGAGACAGGGGAAAAAAAAAAAAAAAAAAAAGCCTATTCCTAAAATGGTGAAAGGACCCTGCTCACAGGAAGGCTATTTACCAGAACATTCCCAAGAGGCACTCTCAGTTTGGGCTCAGTCTGAGGCATCTACCTGGAATTCAGTTTTATATTTATTGCTTTTTAACCATTTGAATTTCTGAGAAAGCAAGAAAAGTGTCCAGCCCCACCCTGTCACTCCATCCCATTCAGATGGGTTGGATTTTCATTCTGTGGATGAGAATTTCATGTGAATTAACTGGCTGTTTCAGGGGAACCCAGTGCACCTAAGCTCGAAGGGCAGATGGGAGAGGATGGAAACTCTATTAAAGTGAACCTGATCAAGCAGGATGACGGCGGCTCCCCCATCAGACACTATCTGGTCAGGTACCGAGCGGTGAGTGGCCTCCTTCTCAGACTTCACCAGAACCCTGCAACCCTGGCACCCAGCTTGCTAGGGAAACAACAGGGGCAGCCCACGGGGCAGGGGTGGGATGGGGTCTTATTCTGTGTCTGGCAGGTGGCCCATGGGCCCTGGCCATGGCTTAAAATCCCAAGACAGCCCTACAGCTATTAGGTCATGTTCACACTGGGTCCATTTGGAAACCTCATAGATGACTGTGGTGGTGACAAACCCATACCATGGTTGATTTTTCTGTGTCTTGAACTTTTCTACAAAGTTATTTTGCCATTATCTAGTACTTCTTGTAAATGCCATACTAATATATAAGAATCCCTACCTTGGATAACATGTGTATTGTAGGCCAGGCACCTGCACCTCACTGTGATCACATGCATTTTCTCTGCACAAGAACCCTGTACAGTAGGTCTTACCATTATCCCCTCTTTACAGATGAAGTAAGTGGGTGTACAGCAGTCAATAACTGCTGGATCTCACGCAGCTGGGTGAGGCAGTTTGAATCCAAGCCTGACTGAGAGGCTGGGCTCTCCCCACTGCCCAAGGCTGCCTAAGGTCCTCAAACAATGCCAGTTCCCTCACCAGCCCTTCACTTGGCCACCTGAGCTGTCCTAATCCTGCTAACAGCAAGTTGGCTCTAAGCCACCTTCTCCTGGTTTGCTCACCACCCACTTAAGATTCCCCTCATTCCACCTTTTATCACAACCCCCACACTGAAAATCACCCTTTCCATTTTGGTTTTAGAATGACACTTGGTCATCTTCAACTATAACCAATGGCTGAGAGATTTAGAGGCCACATCTGAGCACTGAGAATAACCTCTTGCTGGGGTTTCGTAGTAGAGAAAAGAATGAACCAGGGAGCAGTTTCCTTTCTTCACATAGCCCCAAGGAAGACTTTTTCTGGGAAGCTGAGTTACTTCCTCTCTGCCTTGTGATCAGCTCCTGTGGAAGTGATAGGTCTTTAACTAGCTAGTCTTCTGGCAAGTCAGTTCAGCACAGAGCCCCGCAGGCATACTTCTCAGCTGCAGAGGCCTTGTTCCCACTTAATTTGTAAGCAGATGTGAGCTGAAATAGTAGGAAAGGCCTGTCACTGCCCTGAGGCCCAGTCCAGAGATCCCAGTGAATGAGAGGTCCCCATGGCTTCCTCACTGCCAAGTAGGGTGCAAGGATTGGGCAGGTGGCCCCCAATATACCCCTGGAAGCAGAGATGTGGTAGGCTGGGATGCCTTTCCAATGGTTATCCTGATGTGGCCCCATGGACAGAACATAGGTTTTAGAGCCAGACAGACATGGCATCCAATTCTAGCTTTACTACTTATTCTGGAAGAATAGGTCACCTAATCTTTCAGAACTTCAATTTCTCCATCTGTAAAATGGGGATAAAATAGCTTATTGAGTTGTTATAAAGATGCATTATAATATATGCAAAGAACCTGAAATGCACCTGACACTTGGAAACCTTTATAAATGGTCACTATGGTTACTGCTAAGAGGCAGGCTCAGGCTGGAACCATCTCCCGTATGACATCTCCAACCATGTCGGATGTCAGTTTGTCTGAGGAGCCACTGTGGCTGCAGCAGGCAGCTCTGCATTAGAAAGACACAGCTGGGCACAACGCTGAAATATGTTAGATTTCAACAACCGTAACCACCCTCTCTCACTTCAAAACCTCATTCATGTTTGCTAAATATTATAATTTTATATTATGAATAAGTATAATATAACATTTTCTCTAGATTCTGGTTGTCTCTTGTATAATGATGTTTGCCAAGGAAGACAGAGAAATGAAGAGGAAAGATACCGGAATTGCTTTCTTTTAAATGAAAGTGGGGCCACATAGTGATATATACACATCCTAGCTTACAGCATAGCCAGACTGGTTAGACTCTAAGGAAACTAGAATTCCCCTTCCAGCACCACTGGCATTTGCCCATGCAGCATGAGCACTGTCACATTCCTAAAGGCATCTCTTTGGCTAGTGCAAACCCTTTTGCCTGGGAGGACTGCTTTGCTGTAAGATAACTCCTCATCCAGCCTTAGCCATGGGCCTACAACAGTTACTAGACCACTGTCCAGGTGACAGTGCTATTGTGTTCTGCCCTTCCAAGGAGCAGCCTGTCATGCAATAAACATCTATCAAGACTTCTTGTGTGCCCAGCAGATATCCCAGGGCACCTGCCTTGTGAAAAGGCCAAAGATTGCAAAGAGATGGGCTGTGCAATGGTGAAACCATCTGAAGACTTCTCAGGCCTTCTTCCACAAACTGTTTGGTGAGGGAGGTGGTTACCTAATTATTGTTCTTTGTGGGCCCTTTGAGCAGCCCACTGTTGGACTTGACAGCAGAACTTAGTCCCGAGGTACCTCCATCTATTTGCTGCCGTTGTAGAGACCAGGTCACACTGCATGGAATAGAAAAACCTTATTCAGTCCAACAGATGTTTGCTGAGCTCCCTACTATAGAAGGGAAAGATCATGAGAGGAGGAGAAGACAAAGAGAGATTGATTGATGGAAACAAATACAGTTTGATAGGAGAAATACGGCCAAGTGTTTGATAGATCAGTAGGGTGACTGTAGTTCACAATTACCTATTGTATATTTCAAACTAGCTAGAAGAAAATAACTCAAATGTTTCTAGCCCAGAGAAAAATATTTAAGGTGATGGATATTTCAATTATACTGACTTGATCTTTACAAATTAAGTGAATGTATTAAATTATCACATGTACCCTGAAAATCTGTATAGCTATTTTGTATCAATTAAAACTGTTATTTTCAAGAACACAATTAAGAAAAACAAAAAAAAGGAAAGATCATAGTTTTGGGCCCAAACGAACTTAGCTCCAGCCTTGACTGCAGGTGTGATTTTACGTTAGTCACCTTACTTCTCTCTCACTTCCCCATCACTGGGTTTAGTAAGAGCCTGACAAAACCCCACAGGCATGTTGTAGGAATACAACAAGAAAATGTGTGTAAAGCTTTTGTAGTGCCTAGCTCTTAGTAAGGGCTCAACAAAAATAGTTTTCATTTTTTTTTTTTTTTTTTTGAGACGGAGTCTCGCTCTGTCGCCCAGGCTGGAGTGCAGTGGCGGGATCTCGGCTCGCTGCAAGCTCTGCCTCCCGGGTTCACGCCATTCTCCTGCCTCAGCCTCCCAAGTAGCTGGGACTACAGGCGCCCGCCACTACGCCCGGCTAATTTTTTGTATTTTTAGTAGAGACGGGGTTTCACCGTTTTAGCCGGGATGGTCTCGATCTCCTGACCTCGTGATCCGCCCGCCTCGGCCTCCCAAAGTGCTGGGATTACAGGCGTGAGCCACCGCGCCCGGCCATAGTTTTCATTTTTAACGAAACTGGAATCTACACAGTATTCACACATCAGGAAGGTGAGTCAGCCACTTTAACTTAAGCAGCATCCTGAAATATGACAAGAAATGTACTTGTTTTATTACTCTTCTAGGACATCCTTATGCATATGTCCCCAGCACCAGAGTGTAGCCTGGGAGACAGGAGTGGTGCTTGAGTCTCTGCATGCCCTGAAGGTGATGGGACCTTGACGGTGTTGGCCCAATGCCACACTGGCATCTGCTGTTGCTTGTGTTTGCCAGCATGCAAAGTTGACCTCCTGACCTGTGCAATTTTTCAGGCTGGTAAAGAATAAAGACCATGTCCCATCATTGCTTTTTTTTTTTTTTTTTTTTGGAGACAGAGTCTTGCTCTGTCACCCAGGCTGGAGTGCAGTGGCATTATCTCGGCTCACTGCAACCTCCACCTCCTGGGTTCAAGCCATTCTCTTGCCTCAGCCTCCAGAGTAGCTGGGACTACAGGTGTGTGGCACCACGCCCAGCTAATTTTTGTATTTTTAGTACAGACGGGTTTTCACTATGGTGGCCAGGCTGGTCTTGAACTCCTGACCTCAAGTGATCCACCCGCCTCGGCCTCCCAAGGTGGCTAGGATTATAGGCATGAGCCACCGCGCCCACCCCCATCATTGCTTCTTATTTTCATGATTTCATGCCAAAAGTTATTGAGTCCCGTAAGTTTTGCCTATTGTCTGGTCTTACCAGTACTTTTATCTAAAGCTTTTTTGGTCTCTTGTATCCTTCTTGCCGGTTTCTCCCAGAAGCTCTCCTCCGAGTGGAAACCAGAGATCAGGCTCCCGTCTGGCAGTGACCACGTCATGCTGAAGTCCCTGGACTGGAATGCTGAGTATGAGGTCTACGTGGTGGCTGAGAACCAGCAAGGAAAATCCAAGGCGGCTCATTTTGTGTTCAGGACCTCGGCCCAGCCCACAGCCATCCCAGGTATGGCTGCCTCTGCTTTCTGTTTGTTTCCGCTTTGAATTAATGCACAAGTGCTGCACCTCCTAATGCGCCTGAACAACCCTGACAACTTGCTTGCTTACAGCCATCCTCATGATTGGTTGCCCATGCAAAGCTTAGTTTTGCCTTGTACCTATCTGTGCAGTGGGGTGAGATGTACTGGACCCCCAGGAAGGCTTGGCCAAGCATCCTGGAGAAAAGGTCCTGTCCCATTTGGCCTTGAAGGACTGATGCCAATCAGTCCATTGGACCCCTCAGATGGGAAATGCCCCAGCTCCAGCCTAGCCTTGGAAGTTGGTTGAGTAAGGATCCTTTTTTGAGACCTTATCTGCCATCTGCCACATCATACTTGGACCACATAACTGTTTCTAAGCACTTCCTATCTGATGCTTGCTTTATGAGCACAGCCATGGTCCAAATCTCTTCTCTGTGGTGACCCTAAGAGAAGGAAGAGATGATGCCCATTTACTTACAAACCCTATCTACCAAAGGCCTCTCAATGGAAACAGATTAAATTGAACCACTTGTAATAGAACAAGTGGAGAAAATAGATGCTGGAAAGCACCATCAATGAAAGCAATCCGGTCTGCTAGAGACTGTGATGGCAGCAGTTCTCCTAGGAGATACAGATCTGTCTCCAGGGATCCAAGACCTAACCTTGCTGGTCTCCTTTTTGGCCAAATCCCTCAGAGAAGAAGGAGCTCTTCAACTGATCACTCTGCTTTTCCAGACCAGCCAAATGCCAACCCCAGGCAGGAGAGGTGGGCATAGAACATACAGCTGCAGCCTGTTGGGGGGCCCCATAGACCCTGCCATGTTCAAGTGTGGTGGGAAGACGGCCTTGGGCAGCCCCCCTCATGCCTGCCCTGTCTTCAGTGCTTGCCCGGCTCTTGGCTCGGTGGTCATGATTCCTCCTCCCAGGAGGAGACAGGCCAGAGGGCTGTGGCCTGCCTATGATGCAGGGATGTATGTGCAAAAATGGGCTAGGAGAGCAGCAACAAAACGGGATCAGTGTGTGGTTCCCAGTGGTTGTTTGTACATGGATGTGTGTGTCTGGGAGACGTGTGCTGGACCTCCAGTGAGTTGGCAGGTGAGTTTTACACTGTAGGTCAGAAGCATCAATTGGTCCACCCTGCATTGACAGGAAGGCTCCCCAGTGCTTGCTGGGGTGGGTGTTTCTCCACAGTCGCTGGTCAGATGGTCGGTGCAGAAGGCAAGGCACGTGGGCAAGGCTGCAGGAAATGTCCTCATTATACCTTAACAGGATGTTCAAATGGAGGTTCTCCTTGCTTTTCCTCTGCCCCTTCTTTCTCTCCATTCTTTGGTCCATTCCTTTACAATCGACAGCTTGGAGTGAATGTCCAGATCTGTCTGGCCTTCATGGGACACTTAGGAGGTGAGATCAGGTGAGGCTTGAGTAAGCCCTTTGCAGCAAGACAGATTCCTTATGGCAATTGCTCCCTGGGGTGAGACTCACTGGGTAGGCTGTTTGGACCTGCTGTGTTCACATGCTGGGTACTCCTAGCAGCACTGGCTTCTGTGGTTTTTGTGTCAGAGACCGAAATTCTGGGTAGACCTTGTCCTCCAGAGTTGTGCCTGCTGGAGATATCAGAATCCTTCTTGTGAATCGCCCAGGTGCCCACTTAAGCCAGAGAGGGCTGGGGGATTGCTCACCTCACCGGTGACGGCTCTGTGGCTCTCCTGCACAGATCTGAGAAGGTGGTGGCTGTGTTCTCGGTTAGACTTTCCTGGCCATTGAATTGGGATCCGAGAATAAAACCTCTCTGAATTACAAGTTGGACATTTGTGGTTGAATTCTGTGGTCAGCAAGCAGGGTAGAAGGTGAAGCGGGGTACAGAATGAGACTTCCTTTAACAGCACTGTGGTGTGGGACTTGTGCCATAGGAAGAAAAGCCTGCTTCATCTCTGACAAGGCCATCCCCAATCCCTAAGCACAGTGTGCTGACTCATAGTGCAGCGATCCAATGCATCTCCACCACTATGGGTAAAACACGCTAGACACTAGAAGACAATACACTTGCTGGCTGTATCTAAGAGGCTTCACCTTAGTGAAAGGTAACACTCTCCTAATCAAACTCTTGTATTTTAGCGTGGAGGCTTCTGTTCTCTCACTTTAATTTCATTTGCTCGCTGATCCCTAGCCCCCAAATTAACCCTGCTGTGCTGCTTCTGGCATTGCTGAGCTTCTGAACTGGCCTTATGGTATTGATACTGCACTGAACCCTCTCTAACCTTTGTCAATTTAATTTACTAAGTTGAATTAACCTTTGATTCTGTGTTTTCTATAGTTGACCTAATTTTTTTTCTTTTTATCTATTTTTTTCTCTGTTTCTGTCTCTACCTTCCCTTTCCTTCTGTCCCCCTCCCCTTCCTGTGTCTGTCGTCACACTTGTCACCTTGGACGTCACTGGGACATCCCCACTGCCACATTTGTTTTTAAACAACCACATTATCTCTGGGGACCCATTGCTTGACACCTGCAGCAACCTTGGGAGGCAATTCTGCATCCTACACCTTTGTCTCATTGCTTTTCTCTGCAGTGACTCTTCTTTTGCTCTGTTAGGAACTTGAACACAAAAATTAAATTTGCTTAAAAGCCCAGTTCCTATGAAAAAGATCAGTGCCCCCTTTGGAAGAACCTGGCAGGACCACCATGGCCACAGCTGCTGAGCAACCATTCTGTGTGGAAGAGAAGGTTTTGTGATTGGAAAAAGCTTTACCTCCAGACATGTCACCACTCACAGATACTTTTGTGCCACTTCATAAGGAGTTTGCCCCCTTTTTAATGGCAGTAAAAAGAATTTGAGAGCTCTTTCTTTAAATGCTATTTTTAAAAACCATCATGCTAGATTTACAGAGAAGTTTCTGCATATCTGCTACTTGTTGCATTTTGGGTTCAAACCTAAATATGATGTAGCAGAGGAAGAATTCTAAGTACCTTCTAAAGCTTGTGTCAGATTGTTAAAATCACCACACATTCCCCTCATTCTAACTCTGTGCTCCTTGTCCTCCCTTCAATAATAATTGGCTTTGCTTGCAATTAAGCATTTAAGTGCCCATGTTAAAAGAGCCAGACCGCACTGATTCACATGAGCGTTTTGCTGACATGATGGGCAACTGAAGTCACCCCTGTTGCCCATGCACTGGAAAAAAAGTTGAATTTGTTGGATATTTTCTGGGGCTGATGAACGTTCTGGGATGTGCTTTCAGTCCTCGTATTACGGCCAGCACCTTACACTGTCTCTGTGAACGGGGCCAAGCCATGATGTGCCAACAAGTGTCAGCTTTGAAAGGTGTTTGTCTCCCAATCGGGGTGACTCCCCTGCTGCCTGGCAGCATGTCGCAGATCAGCACAGAGTGGGGCCGTGGTTCAGCAGTGACCCACAGAATGGCTTTGAGCATCAGTCTACAGGACAGGTTGGAAGCATCCACTGTGAACCAGGCATTAGTCCCCTACCTGGCCTGTGTGTGCTCAGTAGAGAAGGAGAGGGACAGGCCACTCCCAGACTGCCCAGCCCAGGAGGGTTAATAAATTGGGGCCGAGCCAACCTGTCAGTGCTTCCTGAATGCCCCAGCCTCTGTATTGGTGCGTTGGTTCAGTGACATTTTCTAAACTCTCCTGAAAATCCAGCTGCTCCTCCCTGCTGCTTGGGAGTTCACCCAGGAGAGGAAATGGGTGTGTTTTGTTAAGGTCCCTTGTGGAGACTCAGGGCTGAATCCTGCTTGGTAATATCAGTGTGTGTGCTTGGGGATGGACCTTCTACTGAATAAAAACTCCCTCCCTCCCCCCATTGTGGTCACATATCATTCTACATATCTCATCTCTGAGCATCTCCATGGAAGCTTGATTTTTGTTCTTTTTGGTTTCTTTATGTATTTTTTTCTGTTGTTATTATTTTTTAATGTTCAAAGACTAGCCTTTCCCTTTGGGATTCCAAATGATCCCATGCTGTGGTCTGAGGGGCAAAGCCACCTATGTTGGCGCTCGCCATTAATCCCCAGCGCTCAGTTTAGAGGCTCACGTGCAGACATCAGAGGCTCCATGCTGCACAGTAGCTCAGGCAGGGTAGTGCCTCTCAACCCAGCCACAAAACTCTCCCCGCTGGAGTCCCAGATGGCGCTTCACACCAGGGCAGTGGAGGCAGGCATGGTTTTTGGGCACAGGGCAGAGCATAAGGATCCCAGGTCAGTGTGGGAGAGCTACTGGCTCTTAGGATCACCTTGGGCAGAAGTCACACGGCTTCATCCTAGGAGGGCCCAGCTTGGGAGTCTGCCTCCCCCTGATCCCAGGACCACCCACAGGAGAGGGGCAGTGTCCATCTTTCTGAAGGGACCCTTTGGAGATCTCGTCCTAAGTGTGGAGAGGACTGACGTGGCCCTGTCATCTCAACACATCCCAGGGTCAGGCAGGCCTCAGCTGAAACAATGTCAGGGTCCTCAAGGGTCCCATTTAGACAGACCCACGGCTTGTAACAGTGCGCTCCTCAGGAGGCAGCACTAGCGCATACCCACTCCCCACGGACACTGAGTTCCTGGTGACAGCTGCAGCCCCAGCCCCGCCAGGAGTCCTGGAGACAGCAGCCCTCAGAGACCCTGCAGGAGTGAGTGCACCCCACCTTGCTCAGCCACACCCCACTCCCCTGTGCCCTGTAGTTGTGCTGCCCATGCTCCACACACCATGGGGCCCCTTTGCTCATTTTTGGACTATTTATACAGCAGGTTTGGATCATGTTTTTCTACTAATAAGAATGCTAACATTGTTGTGTAGATAATCAGTGAGGGCTTTATGAAGTTTACACCTTTGCATTATTAAAGGAAATAACAGTTCATGTGAACTCACCAGCGTGGCTTGATTTTATTCAATAGTTGTGTCTGACAAAGCAGCAAAGACCCTTTCCCTCCGCCTCTCATGTACCTGGATAGACTATTACCTAGAGAAATAGTAGCCTGGTGAATGAAATACTTTTTCTTCCTAACGGGGAGCAATCTCTTTTTCCCAGGCATCCTAAGAGCTGTTAAGAGGCATTGCTGCCTTGGAGTCCCCAGCAGGCAGTGGGAGGGGAAAATGCCTTTGCAGAACTGGGGAGGTGGTCACTATGGGGATGGGGCCACACTCTGAGCCAACAGATGCACAACTCTGTGGCAAGGTCACCTGATGACACAGCAGCCTTTATACTATCCCTAACAGAGGCTGCACAGAGTGAGCTTGTGGAGAGGGAATCTGAGAGAAGATTCTCTTTGCAAACTGTATTCTATTCATAATCACACTTAACTCAGACGCATCCTGCAAGCCCCTGAGACCAGCCATCTGTTTAGCTGATTCGAAGGAGCAAGCAGACATGTAAAGGGCTTATGAGTGAACCAGAACCCCAGCTCAACAGTTCCAAGAGTCTGACCATCTTCTGGGAGTCTTGGGGGTGAAAAGGGCATTTCTGCTGCACCAGGGTCTCATGGCACAAGGACTCAGGCCCATCTGGATATTTATAAAATGTGAGACCCATGTTCCTATATTAAGGCATACAAAAATAGGCATCTGTGGGTCTCATTCTTGGAGCAAGCCAGTTCCCTCTTTAGTGCCAACCCCTCCCAAGCCAGGAATCACAGAAGATGGACAGCTCCACCTTCATAATCTCCCTGTCCTGGGCAGCTCTGACCTCGAGGTTATGGGGAAACTCTTCCCCAGAAGCCTTCTTTGCATCCAAGGTGCACAGGTGAGTTAGTCAAGGGAGGGCTGAGGGAAGACCATAGCAAAGACAGACCCATGGAGGTTTATATTTTTCCTTTTATGAAATATTACACAAGAGGCAGGAGATGGCCTTTGTTCTTCTAGTTATCTTGGACTAAACAATTCTGTGATAGCCACTGAGAGGGAATGGGTGTTGGCTTTCGCCTTCAATACCCTGCTGCCCATTTCACAGCCTGTCCCTTCTTCACAGCCTCTTTTTTGTAAAAGCCACAAACATTCTCTTCCTAGCTTAAAGAGCATCTCACCTGCTTGAGGAGTTTAGACTCAGTGTTGGCATACAGTATGGTCGCTTTTCCTTTGGGGCATACTCTTTGTTTTCTCTTGATCCACTCAATACCTTAGGTCAAGTTTGTTTTCAGGGTCACTGGGTGAGACAGCACAGTGCACCCTGGGGTGGCAAATCATGGGATCACGTGCTCCTCTTTGTAATGCAGGGGAGGGAAGACCTAGGAGCGTGGTCCTCATAAGAATCACCTGGGCTGCTTGTTCAACTCCTGTTTCCTGAGCCTCATACCCAGTGATTCAGATCCCATAAAAGTGGGGAGCCCCAGATTCTGAATTGTTAACAAACACCCTAGGAATTTGCTACAGGTGGAGATATATTGAGTTTAAAGGTATTTGTCATGCAAAAATAAAATCACAAGGATCAGTGATTAAATATGGGACCTACCGAGCATTTTGGTCTTCCAGGAAAAAGTCTTTCTCAGTCCACACTCTGGAGACTGGCATTAGGGAACCTGTACCGTGTGCCAGGCAGTGTAGAATGTATGACTTGGAATGACAGGCTCTTGTGGTTGAAGAGACACTCTCCACCCATGCTCCTGCCCAGTGTGGGAGCCTCATCCACAGCCTTACAGCGTCCCTGCCAAGGGGTCTTCTGGCCTCTGCTCGAGTGCCTTCAGCATCAAGGAACTCACCTCTCAGAGCAGCCCACACTATGTTGGATTCGCCCTGTTTATTAGTCCTTTCTCAGATGGAGCTAAAATCTGCCACCACCATAATTTCCACACATTGGTGCCATATACAGTAAGACTACTTCTTCCTTCTGGTTATAACACCTTTAAATATTTGGAAATAGTATTCTCGTCTCCAGACTAAACACTCATCCATTTGTGCAACAAGTATTCTTTGAACATTTTCTGTGAATCAGGATTGTCCTAGATGCTGGGGAGATACAAGAGAGACAGGCAGGGTACCTGCTGGGATGTCCTAGGGGGGATGGCTAGATCATAAGCATGTAAATGAACAGAAAGTGGCAGATAGTAGTTAGAAGAGAATAAAACAGGCTAGCAGCATGGTAGGTATTGGCTGGAGGTGCCACACTAGATAAGAGATCAGATAAGGCTTCTCTGAGAAGGTGACACTGGGACTGAGGCCTGCAGGACAACAGAGAGCCACCCTGGAGGGAGTGTTCCAGGCACAGAATCATCAAGGCCCTAAAGCGGGTTGAGCTGGATGTGTTCAGCAGGCAGAAGGGAGGCTGCCGGTTCACGCCATGAGGCCCAACAGAGGAGTGGGCAGAGTCTGCAGCAGATGGTGGGCCTTTTAGGCCGGGAGAAAGACTTTGAATTTTATATTCAAATGAAAGGGGAGGCCGCTGCCCTACTTGTTTATGCCACAGTTCAGAAGCCTTTTCCCTGCCTGGCCCTCCCCTGGATGTGCGCAGTGCCAGTGCCGCCCTCCAGCTGGGTCTGATGAGCACAGAGCAGTTGTCCCAGCTGCTGTCCTCTCAAGCACATAGAGCAGCTTTGCAGGAGTTTATTTTTCCTCTTTAGAGATATGATTAGTTTCACAAAATCATATTTACACATAAACCTCAGAAGATATAATTAGTGCCATTGAGTCCAAAAATCCAGACATATTCCCCACTGTCATCAAAAAAATACTTTCAGATCTTTCTTCAGGGAGTAGGCACTTTACACCTATCGGGTACTGATGTCCGGAAGCTGCAGTGGCCTGGAGCCCTGTGTCATGGAATGGAGAGAAAACCCAAGGCTAAAGTTTCTTCCCTGTTCAGGGAAACAGCTATGGGATCCTGAAGACCAAGAAGGCCTGTGTCTCCTTTGCTTTTTGGGTGGAATGTGTGAGGACTCTGGGGAAGTGGATGGTTTTGTTCTTATGAGACTAACCAGAAATACCTCTGCATTCATGGCTGCTAAGAAAATGACCCATTCTAGCTGACGGCTAAGGCCAGTGGCCAGCTTCCTGCTGCCAAAGCCCAGAGACAGGTGTCCAGAGCTGGGTTCTCCAAGCAGAGTTCTTCGCCATCTCAAGCCTTCCTGGGGGAATGCGCTAGGATCTTCAGTGCGAGGTCAGCAGGGACCAGCCAGAGAGCCTGAGGAGGAAGGGCTGGGAGGCAAGCCAAGGTCCCAAAGGGACTAAAAACATGTACGAGCTGCACCCAGGGGTCTCAGGAGTCATTTGTGAGGGATCCTCTCTGGCATGCTAGGCTGATGGCCCATTCCCCAAACTGAAGTTTGAAATATGGACCAGTGGAGAGGGACAGCCACCAGAGAAGCACTAGAGTGCCTGGACAGAGACCCCTGGGGCACACAGAGCCATCAATACCACCACCCTCCCGCAAATACAGGCTGCATGAAAAACAAAAAATGTGTGGCCCAGCTCTGGTGCTGGTTACTCAGTTACATGTTCCCTCCACTATCTATCTGGCATGTTACATGGCTCGCAAGCTGCTGAGCCTGGCCTGGTGCTTGGCAAAGCCTAGCGAGCTGGGTTGGGAGTGGGGTGGCTGGTGGGGTGAGCCCCAGGTAGTGCTGGCTACAGTTCCCATCTTCAGTCTGCAGTCCTGGGTGGCTTCAGTTGGCCCTGAGAGCACAGGAAGCTTTAGACATAGTCTACTGGTGGGGCAGGGCTGCCAGTTATGGAAGCAGGTTGTTCTGGAGGAAAGATGAATTAGAAGTGCCCATATTTCAGTCGAGGGTGATTGTTCCCACATCGACTTAATGGCAGAGCTCCACATGGGTCCTTGCTTCCTGCATCATGACCACTGTCTCCCAGACACTGATGGGAACCACCAAGAGGTCAATTGGTCCATCCCAGGCAACTAGTGTCAATCGTAACCATGGGTTGATCTCCCAGGGGCCCCAGAGAGCTGAGTCCAGGTCTCTCTGTGAAACCATCAATAGCCAAAGACCCTGGGGGGATTGCAGATGGGCACCAGGGAAGTAAGACACAGGCTGAGTCTTTCACAGTGAGTCCAGCCAGAACCAGGGTGCCAGGTGCTAGAATGTGAGAGTGCATGCCTGTCTGCATGGGCATTTATCCTGCGTGTGAGTGTGCCTGTGTGTGTGTGCACCTCTGAGTGAGTCTGCACTCACTTCAGGTTTTCCTGAAGTCTGGTCCAAGCAGGCCTGAGCTCCTAGATGGTGAGTATTCCCAGACCTTTCACCTTGCCCATGGCCTGGGGAGGCCTCCATGTCTCTGGAGTCACCCAGGCTTCACTTGTCTTCCTGGGGTGCAGTGAGGAGGGTAAACTATGAACCCAGTGTGCTCTAATGCAGGGCTCCTTTGGGGTCATTCCTAAAGAGGGAAAGAGGAAGTGGAGAAGTATAATGGGGATGCTATTGTGATGGACAACCCAACAAGCCCCAAGAAAGCCCCAGGAACCCTCCACCACCCCATTTTGGGCCCCTATCCCTGAGCACTTGAGGAGCCACAGCCCCGCCTGAAATCAGTGATCACTGCCTGCCTGTGCTGCAAAGCCTTTTGCCCTGGTCCAGGGGAAACACAGCAGCGCCCTCCAACTGCCTCATTATCCGGTGTTCTCAGACAGGCGGGGCTCAGTCTGCTCCCAGGACTCACGGGAGGCCAGCTGACCAGGCTCACCCCTGTTCCCCAATCTGTGAGATGATGTTGTCATCCCTCCCTCTGGAAGGTATAGAAAGACCCTGTTTTCTCAATTCTGGGGCATAGAAGGTCCCCAGGAAGGTGTCACTCTGGGCATGAATGCCATGACTCTGTCCTCTGGGCCCTCCCCACCCGCAGGGGCTTTTGCTGGCAGGGTCTGGAGGTCTCGCATCTCAGTCTGTTAACCACCAGCCATCTCTCTCCCACTCAAGCCAACGGCAGCCCCACCTCAGGCCTGAGCACCGGGGCCATCGTGGGCATCCTCATCGTCATCTTCGTCCTGCTCCTGGTGGTTGTGGACATCACCTGCTACTTCCTGAACAAGTGTGGCCTGTTCATGTGCATTGCGGTCAACCTGTGTGGAAAAGCCGGGCCCGGGGCCAAGGGCAAGGACATGGAGGAGGGCAAGGCCGCCTTCTCGTGAGTGCAGACCTGTCCACCTTGCTGAGGTTTGGGCTCTGCTCCAGCCCAGGGACCCAGCAGCTGCACCACCCTGCGCCATCAGCTGGTGCCTTTCCTTTCATTGCACGTTCTCCATTTGGAACCCTGATGGGGGAAAAACATTAGAGAAAAGTTTCTCAAAGCATGGTCTTTGGGGGTTACCTGTTTGAAATGTAGACTCTTGAGCCCAATCCCAGATCTCTTGTATTAGAATCTCCCCAGAGTGTGAAAATCCCTGTGTAGGTCAAAATGAGGGAAATTGTCAGAACTAAACCTGGGGAGGAGCTGCCATGGGGTAGGGCAGCATTAGAGGGACACACTTACCTTGCTTTCGTACATTGTTTATTCATTCATTCATCCATCACTCAACAAATATTTATCAAGCAGCTGCTGCAGGCAAGGCACTGTTCCCAGGCACATAGGTACAACAGGGAACAAACAGATAGAAATTCTTGTCCTTATGGAGCTGATGATCCAGATACTGTCCCTCCAACAGCATCTTGGAGAAACAGATCCTAAGCCAGTTAGCAAGAGCCTTCGAAGACTGTCACTGGGTGGAGCAGAGCTGGAGCAAGCCAGAAAGGGACTGAGCAAGGAAATAAGTTGTTTAGCACCACCACATGCCAGGCACTGTATATGCATATACATGTATGTGCATGTACTTAGAAATGTATGTATAGGGGTGACTCACGCCTGTAATCCCAGCACTTTGGGAGGCCGAGATGGATGGATCATTTGAGGTCAGGAGTTGGAGACCAGCCTGGCTAACATGGCGAAGCCCCGCCTCTACTAAAAATACAAAAATTAGCCAGGCGTGGTGGCATGCTCCTGTAATCCCAGCTATTCAGGAGGCTGAGGCTGGAGAATCGCTTGAACCCAGGAGGCGGAGGTTGCAACGAACCAAGATCACGCCACTGCACTCCAGCCTGGGCGACATAGAGAGACTCTGTCTCAAAAAAAAAAAAAAAAAAAAAAAAAAAGAAAAGGAAAGGAAAAGAAATGTATGTATACCTGTGTACAGAGACAGATGTATGTATTTGAGCAATGATCTGTGTCAGGCACTGTGTTTAGCACTTCCCATGCATCCTTTCATTGAATTCTCATAACTAGGCAAAGTAACAGTGTTTTTGCCTCATTTTACAGATGAAGGGACTGAGGCAGGGTGATTAAATCTGAAGCTCAAGGTCACACAGCTAGCAAGGGTTGGGCTGAGACTTATACATTTGAATCTGTTGGCTCTGGATGCCCACCGTGCCAGCCTTGGGTTGAGTCATAGCTGCTCTTCCGTGGGAGCCCCTCCCTGCAGCTGCCCTAGGGTCTAACCAGCAGTACTGTCTCCACAGGAAAGATGAGTCCAAGGAGCCCATCGTGGAGGTTCGAACGGAGGAGGAGAGGACCCCAAACCATGATGGAGGGAAACACACAGAGCCCAACGAGACCACGCCACTGACGGAGCCCGAGTACGTGGGCTGGGAGGGGCTGGCACCTGCTCCGTAGAGACCCCCACACCCACCTCCCCACCCTACCCCCACCTCCCGTGCCCCTACCCACAGCTCCCGGCCAAACAGTTCAGGCCAGGATTCCAAACCCTTGGCCACAAGACCTGCTTGGCTGAGAAATGCCTGACCTCAGGCATTTCTGGTTCTATTTCGGTGGCTGTGGGTACCCTTAGAAGGCTCCTGTATAAGTAGGGATCCCTGGATCCCTAGCCCCTGTTCTCAAGTTATACACATATTCTGGAAATGGCTTAAGGTGGCAAAATCTCACTGAAAGGCTTAGCAGAGTCTGCTTAGGATTTCTTGAAATTCTAGGGTTTTGTGTTTTCCCCCTGAAAGGATAAGGGAAGCTGGGGACCTGGTAAAGTTCTCTGCCCCTCCTCTGTTCAGAAACCTCGGGGACCCACGGAGCCCCAGACCAGTTGTGGTTGTAATGCCTGCCTAGCTGTCAAGGATCTTATGGGCTTAAAGGGAATGGAGTTTCAGGGAACCACAAAATCTGTGACTGGAAGAACCCACAGCTCCTATGAGCCATTCTGAGTACTCGTGATCTGCCTTATTCGTGACTTTTCCCATCGGTGCCCTGGGGAGCCCTGCAGGACAGCTGGGCCCAGTTCCTCTGGGACCTGGGAAGCCTAGAGCAGGTGGATGCTGAACAGAAGCCTGCCCCTCCTTGAATGGAGATCCAGGGCAGGGATCAGGAAGCCCTAGGCAGGTCTGCAAGGACTTCAGGGAAAGGGAGCTCTATGCAGAGAGCTGGAGAGACATCAGCAGGGAAGGGCTAGCAGGTCCCTTTTGAGACCGCCACGTTCTCTGTCGTCTCCTGTGTCCTCTTCTGCCCACCTGGGCGTGTGCTTCCTCTCAGCATCCTTCTCTCTCTGTGGGCCTGTGTCCGTGCCTGTGCCTAACTGCATGCCCCCACCCCCATGGTCCCTGTCCTGGGCTTCAGCCCTCCTCCTCGCTTCTCTGTCACGTCTCAGCTTCATTGTCTATTCTCTTCTACTTCCTGTCCTCCCACAGGCTGCCTGCCGACACTACGGCCACTGTCGAGGACATGCTGCCTTCTGTCACCACCGTCACCACTAACTCTGACACTATCACCGAAACCTTTGCCACTGCTCAGAACAGCCCCACCAGTGAGACCACCACCCTGACCTCCAGTATTGCCCCGCCGGCCACGGCCACGCCTGACTCAAACTCTGTACCGGCTGGCCAGGCCACCCCTTCCAAGGGGCCCAGCGCCTCTGCCCCCTCCCCGGCCCCAGCTTCAGCCCCCAAGGTCGCCCCCCTCGTTGACCTGAGCGACACCCCGACCTCAACCCCTGCCGCTAGCAATTTGTCTTCTAGTGTCCTGGCTAACCAAGGGGCTGTCCTCAGCCCAAGCGCCCCTGCTGGTGTCGGGGAGGCCTCTAAGGCTCCTCCGGCCAGCAAGCCCACCCCTGCACCAGTCCCCACCCCGACTGGGGCAGCCAGTCCTCTAGCAGCAGCGGCTGCCCCTGCCACAGAAGCCCCTCAGGCCAAGCAGGAGGCTCCCAGCACCAAAGGCCCGGACCCGGAGCCCACCCAGCCCGGAGCCGCGAAGAGCCCGGCCGAGGCAGCCACAGCCCTTGCTAGCCCGAAGAGCGAGGCTGCCTCCGTCAGCACCACAAACCCTTCCCAGGGCGAGGACTTTAAAATGGACGAAGGGAACTTCAAGACCCCAGATATTGACCTTGCAAAGGATGTTTTTGCAGCCCTGGGCTCTCCTGCTCCCGCCGCTGGGGCCAGTGGACAAGCCCCTGAGCTTGCTCCTTCCACTGCAGACAGCTCTGTTTCGCCTGCGCCAGCAAAGACCGAGTACGGCCTCTCTTTGTCTGCTGTCATCGGGTTGTGTCCTGTGGTGGTGTGCATTTGTGCTGTGCTGTGTCCTCCTTGTTAGATGTGTCTTCAGCCTCATCCAGGGCTTCTCTGAGGCGACCGTCAACCAAGGGGCTGGGATAAGGCAGAGAGAGCAGGACAGGCAGCTGGGCCCCAGGAGCAGCCGCCTGCTGGCTAATTAGGCCATGTTAATTATGTTTTATCCTTATCATCCTAGCAGCGGCTTCTGTTTTCCCTGGGGGAGCCCTTGCAGTCAGGCCACTGATGAGAATAGCTTGGGAAGCAGGCTAAGAAGGCCAAGGTGCCCTTATCAGCCACCCTGGGGCCCCCAGTCGGTGTGTTATTCAGTGCCAGGCTGAGTCCCTACCAGAAAGGCACTGATGTGCAGGAAGAAAAGAGGTAGGCCCCAGGCCCGTGGCAGGGGAGGGTGCAGTTCAGAGGTCCCCTCACACTGTGGCTCAGATGCTCACCCTCCCCTCCCAACCCCGGCCCCCAGCCCACTCTTGCTTCTCCTGCTCTTAGAGTGGCTGGGAAGACTCGGGGCTCCCCAGCATCAAATGGCTGCTGGGTCTCAAAGTTCAAGAGAAAGGCCTTAACCTTTCAGGTTTGTAAGTGTCTTGCCAAAATTCAGTGGCACCAGCTGAGGCTGGGGTCTGTGCCTGTCCCCATGCATCCTCAGACCCGACTCCCTTTCCTGGAACTGATGGAGGCAGAGTCAGACCTAGATTTTTATAGAGGCTCCTATGGCTGCTCCCCAGATAAGCTGCCATGCTGCCACCATGGGCTGCAAGGGGCTCTCGCCAGGAGCCCTGAATCTCAGCATCGGGAGGGAAAAGGACTCTGATAGCCCTGCCCACTCAGCTGCCCTCAACTCTCGCATAGCCACCAGGCCCACTCTAGTACCCCACCAGGCTGCCATGAAAAGCTGCCTCCATCAGTGTTTTCTCACCCTACCCAGGCAGGCCCTAGAGGCATCATCCTGCAACAGCACAGGGTGGGGTGGGGAAGGGACAGGCAAGAGTGGGTTGCAAAGGGGCCCCTGAAATCAGTGCTGGGAGCCCAGCCCAGCCCAGCAGGCTGCATTTACATCCAGCTGAGCTGTTGCCACTGCAGCTGGTCAGGGTGAGGAGGAGCTGCCTCTGCTGCCCCCTTCCACCACCCCAGGTAAAAACACAGCCTCTGGCATCAACTTAGGGCTGGAAGAGGAAAGGACTCGTTCTTCTGACTCAGTGCTTCTCAACTATGGCTGCACATTAGAGTCACTTGGGTGCTTTTAAAAGTCACTGTGTCCGGACCAATTAAATCAGGATTTCCGCGAACACAGCTCGGGCTTGGGTGATTTTTAGTGCTCCCAGGTGATTTGACGGGCAGAGGTTGGAGCCGGGTGCTGTCACTGGAGAACCCCTCCTCCTCCCTGCTGTCCCCAAGGCCTGGATGCAGGGGCGAGATGTCTGCAGACCGTGGTCTCAGTGGTTCTGTTTTCCTGATTCTCTGCAGGAAGGGCCCCGTAGAAGCAAAGCCAGAGTGCCAGGAGACAGAAACGAAGCCAGCGCCAGCCGAAGTCAAGACGGTCCCCAATGACGCCACACAGACAAAGGAGAACGAGAGCAAAGCATGATGGGTGAAGAGAACCGAGCAAAGATCAAAATAAAAAGTGACACAGCAGCTTCACCAGAGCATTTCCAACACCACAGACACACACACGCACGCACACACACAAACACACATGCACACACACACATCTCATTTCTCTAGTGTCTTTTGCCTTTAAAAAAAACTAAACAGATAAAACATGGGAATCTCCTTTTTGTAGGTTTATAGAAAGGGTCCCTTTGTTGCACACTCACTTGTAAGAAAATGAGACAAAAAGGTTAAACCCACAGCCAAACTAGGACACTCCGTTCCCTGAAACCGTTAAAAAATCAAACAAAAGGACCCCAAATTAAGAATCTAGGAAGCTCAGAAACGAAATCTAGGTTCAGGAAGACCACACTTGGTGTTACCCGATTGGCACAGACCAGTTTCAGAGAAATACTTTCAGGCACTAAGACTAATCGAATGAACAAAGTCCACAGTTTATTTTTATACTTTCAGTCAAGTTTGAACTCTGTAAAACCTCATAAATAAGTTATAATTTCTGTTCACTTTGTATTTGTTCAGTATGCAAAGTGTGTCACCCTTTCTAGCTGAATTCAATTCCCACGTAGACTCTTATTTTATAGGACGAATGCCAAATTGCAGCTTCTGGGGGTAGATCTCAATTTGCAGTATTCAGACTTCTTTTTCTTTCTTTTACATTCTTTTTTCTTTCTTTCTTTCTGCCAACTTTGTTTTCCAGTGTTTACAAGGTGACAAATGTTTGACTTTGGTTGTGTTTAAATGTCCGTGTAAAATAGCTGCCTTTTATTTTTTAAGGTAACAAATACCACCTAGAGGTAGGTAGGATCATCCCACGCTTGCTTTAGCACAGGACAACTTTACAAAACATGATTGTTTACAGCTGCTCTTCCCCTCTTTTCTGATCTGCAGTTTTTGCCTGGGTCCCACTCAGGTGAAAATCCATCTCATTCTGGAATGGTTTTGCTTTTGAATTTTTGGTTATTTTTGTGTTTCTTTGGGGGTTAGACCACTTTCTGATTAGCCGCCACCTGCCTGCATCTGTGAAAAGGGATCTGCTCCCAGGCGTTCTCACCCTTCTTTTGAAGGACTCCTTAGGCTTTGTTGAATGAAGCAGAGAAGATTGTATAGTTGGGGCTGGTCTTGGTGAACACACATTATTACCCCACACATCCCCTTTGTGTAGAAAGCCAAATAAAATCTATACATACCATTTCCTTTTGAGCCCAGAATCTAGATTTGAGCGGAAGAGCATGTGTGCTTCAGGGAATTAGTGTCTTTTTTTGGAAATCTGTTGAAGTAAAGTAACATCGGCCTTCTGTTCACTTAGGCAGCATTTATAGAAACAAAAGAAGAAAGAAACAACCTACTGTCTGGAGTCATAACACAACTTTCCTGGATTGGAAACCAAGTGGGGGAAAAAATACAGAAACTTTAAGGGGGATGGGAGGGGGGGGAGAAGGGAAAAGCCAGCCCTTTGTATAGAAATTTTGCTTTTTTTTCCCTCATTCTACTTTAGAACTGCAAGCTTGTGCACTGTGGATGCGTGAATATTTTAGTGTGAAACGTGTTTTTGTCATAGTATTGAAATAAAACTTCAACATAGTTTGGTTGTGGAAGGTATAGCAGATAGTTCAGAAAAAATATTCAGGAAACAAAAATCACTCAAACGGAATCGAAGCCTTTTAACAAAGAAAATGAAATACAGATGATGATGATGATGATGAAGATGATGCTAAGTAAACAGAAATCAGTACTCCGCATGCGCTCCTCTCCTAAGGTACAAAGCAGCAAGAGGTTAGGGTGGCAAGGCTGCCTCTGGGTCCATTCTGTGGGCCACTCTCCCCAACGTTCTGACACTTCTGCAGTCTGATCAGTGGCGATGCTAGATTATAATTTCAAACTGTGAAGAATAATGGTCTTGTCATTTGCTCAATGTGGGGTTATGTTGCATTTTCTCAGCTCCTGGGGATGGAAATGGAGGATCCCAGAACACACAGCCCTGGCCCCTTTGATTCTAGGGCCTGCACAGATCTCTGGTTCAAATGCACAGGCCCTCAGAATAGAGGAACATGAAGAGAGATCTTAGAGCACACAGTAGAATGTGAGAGCCTGGGTGTCTGAGACCGGGAGGGCCCAGCAGTGAGGGGCAGGCTCTTCTGGTCACCAGGCTGTTCAGTGGACTCAGTTCTTCATCTTGTAATGTCGATGGCTTTGCCACACCAGGCCAAGCCCATGCCATACCTTGTCAAGACTGTCAAAGTGGTTGTGGTTAGGTCAAACTGGTTTTGGTTCTGATGGTTAGGAAGAAACAGGTCAGCCCTCAGATCACCTGGCCCGGGACAGCTGACCCCCTAGAACCCTGGCTCTGCCATTAGCTAGGACCTAAGACTCTGCCCACATTTTGGTCTGTTCTCTCCCATTACACATAGGTTTGTCTCAGCATGCAAGAGTTTTTCCTTTAAAAAAAAAAAAAAAAAAAAAAAAAAAGCAATGCTTTCTCTAAAATCAAAGAGGGAGTCATTTTATTCCAAGATGTTTTATCTTTTATGTTAAGAGATCAAAGCTTATAATTTTCTTTTTTAATTTTTGAAGGAGGGATCAACTCCAGTTTCCAATGTCTATGTGTCTATGTGTGTATGTGCCATACATATGTATTCACATGAAGACCGGCATGGCCAAGTTCTGCTGGAGGAGCACTCAAGTGTGACGAGCAGGGCCACTGGACCCTGCAGGGCTGTGGTGTATATAGTGCAGCTTTGGAGGTGGAACTCTATTTTCACACTTTTCTATGGAGCCTTCCGAGTCCCAGGTTTTCACTTGAGGCTGTCTGTCTGGATGGCGGTTTTCAGACCTCCATTAACATCCCTACCCAGCATTCTGTACTTCGGGGGCCTTCTCTCTTGTTATAAAACTTTTTACCAAGTGAAACATCGATACCACCTTTGTTTCCATTCTCACTGGTGTAAATACTGAGTACTAACTGAGAATTTTGACTTTGCATTCTGTCGGAATACTTGTGTTCAATAAAAATTGAAAGAAAAAAGCTATTATGATCATACTGGGGTTTATTTCAATGCGGTGAGAGTCTGTTATGTGCATCAAATGTGGACATGCGTGTGGTAGTTCCTTTAGGACCTTGTGTGCGAGGAAGGTTAGCGAAGTCTCAGTGTCTTGAGTTCATGTGTTGCCTGAATGATGCTTTCTGTATTTTTTCTCACAGGCTGATAGATGAGAGTCCTAATTTAGAAGGGGCAGACGTCAGATTCAGAAAGGTTTCCTTCGAACTCTGGTTCTGCCGCTCCCCGGTTGACCTTGAAAGAGTTGCTTAATCTCCCCAAGATTCAGTTTCCTTTTCTGACATACAGGAAATACCAAGAAAAGAGAGTTAGTTAGGGTGCTGGTTGATGAATGAAACAATGTACATGAAGGCCTAGTGTCTTCTTTCTTGGCACACAGTGGGAACTCAATCAGCGGGAGTTGGCGCTGTTGGCATCCTGGGTGTGCGATACCATCAGACCTAATCGTAGTAATAGTCAACACCTGAGCTTCAAGATTTCAGCAATAAGGTAATGACATGGCGCTTATTCTAAAATAAGTAATGCCTCCTTCTTACTGCTTTGGCCTATCTCTCAGCATTTAGAGCCGTCATTCAGCCCCTGGAGTTTATTATGTCTCTAAGCTAGACAGAGTGAATAAAACTTTGCCTCAGCTAAGCATTCTCTTGTATATGCTGCTCTCTGGCTGTGTCTGAAAGAAGCAGCTGCTAGAGTTGGAGATGTCCATTAGGCTGTGGAATTGGGAGTTCCTGGAAGAGACCTGCTGTAGAATCAAGGCTAAGGTAAAGCAAGGGAGAATCCCAGGGCACAAAATGTAAGGAGGTGCCCACTCTCGGGGCTGACCCTGCACTTACATGAATCTGAGAGTGATACGCCCTTCAAGTTTGCATCCTTCAATTTTACCTCGCTTGCCTGTAATAATAACACAGAGCCACATGCATCTATGTGATTTTATTTGCCCCAGATTTCAGCTGCATATGACAGGCTAAGACTAAAACACATTGTTTACAAGATTTGGAGAAAACATAAAATGATGACACTCACTCTCCGTTGGTCCATGAGGGCTTGCTTCCAGAGCCTTCCCCCTTCGGGCTAGTTTCCTCTCAGATTCATTCAGTATTCATAGAGCATCTCCAAGGTTCTTGGGATACTGGGATACGGCAGTGAGCAAGGCAACTCTTTCTCATGTAGGTTACATTCAAGCCTGGGAGTGGGGCAGACAATAGACATGTAAACATCCAGTGTGCTGTGGCGGTTCTCCCTTCCTTCCTTCCAGACACATTGTGGGATTCCCCTCATTTAAAGGTAGCGTGGCCAGATGACTTGCTTCAGTAAATGGAATATGAACAGAAGTAGCATGTGTCACCTCCAGGCAGAGCCTTTGTCATGCCCCTTTCCCCCACACCCCCTGCAGCAATCAGCAATGCTTCAGGTGGTGGAAGTGCCATCACCTGGGCTCAGAGTAAGGGATGTGAACAGGTGCTCCATGATGGACATGGAGTGTGTGAGAGGGATGAGCCAATAGTTGTTAGTAAATGTTTAATGGCCAACTCTCCAAAGGAGAAGGGCAACATGTGTGTGTGCACACATGTATGTGTTTCACTTATAAAGGATGCCATTGACAAATAATAAAATACACAGTATTCTACATTGAAATTGCATCTATCCAACTGATACCCACAGAATGCTTTGGTTCATTTTTTGCTGAAGTATTGTATCCATAATCAGTTTATGGTTCCCATTTACAAAGGACTGTAATTCCAACCTGCATGTTGGCTGATATGTTCATTTATGTTAACAAATAAGATAAAACAATAAAGACATATGTTAGAACTTCACTCATCCATCTATGGTGTGAGTGACTTCTTTGTTGAATTGGGGATAAGTTTTTGAATACTAGAGAAATACTGCCTCAATTTTTTGTGCCATTCGTTCACAGTGTAACAGCTGCAGACATGGCACACTTGTAAGTTTAATCTGCATCATAAAATATTTCCCCATTACTTTCATAAATCTAGACAAGCACTAAAAAAAATAAATCAAACCTTGATTTGTAGCATTTACTGACTTCAGCAGTGTGTAAATACTCTCAGTATGGCTGATTTCAATATGGCATCACCAGACGAGGAGTTAGGTAGAGATGCATAGTAGCATGTCATTATATAATACTGTATTTCCACCAGGCAGCTACAAGAGAAATAACATCAAGTGCATAGGTAATAGTAGTATGTAGTAATAATAAAATTTTTAACATATTAATAACAGTAGTAAAATAAGTAGTAATATAATTAAGAAGGGATGCATTTTGAGTATTTATTGCCTTTGGTTTTAATATAATTTAGTTAATTATAACTTTATGTAATTTAACTTTTTATAAATTATATATGTTTGCATAACACCTGGCTCACAAATTTCCTGAAAAGTTAGCAATTGGCTCTCTGGAGCCAGTACAAGCTGGTTCTAGCATATCACTGGAAAACCCTTTATATTACAAACCATTTAAATTTGGGATTTGTAACCTTACCATTATGTAGCCTATCATGGCTAACTCAGGGAATGGTAAGTGCAGAGCGGAACAATGCATCTAGGTAAAGGGGTTATGGAGTATTATTTTATACAGGGCAGTCAGAGTAGTACTCTCTGAAAAGGTGACATTTGAGCAGTGACCTGAAAGAAGTAAGGAACTGAACTGTGCAAATATCTGAAGGAAGATATTTCAGGCAGAGAGAACAACATGTGCAAAGGTCCTGAGGTAGGGACTTGGCTAGCATCTTTGAAGAAGAGCAAGAGGCCAGTGTGGCTGGAACAGAAAGCAAATGATGGGGTGGGGCAGAGAGTAAAGAGATAGGAAATGACTCAGAAGTATCTATGAGCTAGATTGCACAGGATCTGTAGACTGTTGTTAGAATTTTGCCTTTTCTTCAAGTGGGATGGAAAGCCAAGGGATGTTTTTGCCAGAAGCCTGACATGACTTGAGTATTAAAATGAGCACTCTGGCTGCTGGGTGGATAACAGATCACAGGAGGGCAAGAGCAAATGTAAGGATACCAGTGAGGAGGCGATGATCCAGAGGGGACAGGATGATGTGCTTGCAGCAAGCTGCGGCTGGTGGAAGGCTGAGCAGTGGCCAGCTCTGGACATGTACTAAAGGTAAAGCCAGCAAGATTGGATAATAGATTGGATGTGTGGTTTGAGAGAGGAATCACTGATGACTTTCAGATTTTGAATCTACACATTTGAAAGGATGGAGTTGCCATTTACTTTGGAAAAGGAGTGCAGGAGAAGCAGATTATTTGGACGATGGAACATTAGTCTCAGGATACTTGAAGTCTGGGATGCCTGTGAACACCTGAGCAGAGATTTTGCGTAGGCTAAAGTTTGAGAGGTCCAGACTGGAGATTCACGTAGGAGCTGTCCACATAGTGCTTGTACTTCAAACTCTGGGACTTGGTGATCACCATGTGATATCTCCAAGTATATATATTAAAGAGAGAAAAGAACTAAGCAGGGGACCTGGGAAGGAAAATGCACAGGCAGCTCCGTCTCAAGGAGAATTGTCAGAAATTCCTACTACACCATTTGCAGCCTCACCTTGGAGGACAAGGTCAGGAGAGGCAGTGACTTGGTATCTCCTTTCCAGGGTGGCCTCCTCTTCCCAATCCCTTAAGAGAACTTGTGTCTACCTGTCCTGTTGCCTGGAAGGCATGGGTATACTCTGGAGTCTAGAAAATAAATTTGTCTTGTAGCTAGAAAAAGATTTCCTGGGATCCTTGTTGCCCTGGGTGTTTCCATGATCACCGCGACTCTGTCGAGTGTCCCCCATTGCTTTCCAGACCCTCATACCCCCTTCATCTGATTTAACCCTGGTGCTACTGGGGCAGACAGAGTAGGGTGCCTCTGAGTGTTGGGGTGGAGAGTCACGCTAACATTACCAGTGAAAGCAAGACACCTACGCATCCCTCCAGGTGAAGGTCTCATATAAGCTGAGCTTGGATGGTAGAAGCTAGATGAAGGGAGGCTGCATTAGATTGTACCTGATGGCCTCCAATCCACTGCCCTCACTCTGGACAGAATGACCTGTGCAGAATGGGCATCTCATCCCATCTCTGGCTGCCCCCATTAAGATCTTCAATGGCTTCTAAAGACCCTCAGGAGAGAATGCAAGCTTTTTATCAAGACTAACACAACCCATCTTGGTCAGGTCTTGCTTACTCCTCCAGCCCCAGTTCTAGCACTCCTAAAACTTCTACATATGCTCCAGCCCTGCTGAACTACTTGTGGGTACTAAAATGATCCACATTCTCTCCCACCTCCCTGAGCTCACGCGAATTATGTTTCATTTTGCTTCCATGCCTGGAATTGTTAAACATGTTTGGCTATATTTTAAAGATGAACACCATTTACAGTAGCTTTAATGGCATTCTCTAAGCAGAGCTCAGTTGCCTGGGTCCAGGCTAGATCATGGTAAATGAAGCACAGGCATTTCCTCTGACCAGAGACCCAGGGAGGGATGGGGCCTCTCATGTTCCTGACACATTTTCGTGGAGCTATATGTGCTGTCATCTCAGAGGGTAAGTCAGGGGTTGCTGGCTGAGCACTGGAACTCTTGGGAATGGGGTCACATGGTCTTGAGAGGAGCAGGATGATGGTCGTGGGATGTGGGACCAGTAGTGGTGGCAGCAGAGATTCTTAGGGAGACAAGGCTAGAGCTTGGCATGCTATTCAGGAAAATGTTCTCCCAGGCAGGGCAACACATGTCCAGTACTTTGCATGATGCTGTTGATTCACTGAATATTCCTGGAAGCTTGTAGAAGCTCCGTGGAGTGTGGCAGCATGCACCTCTGTGCTAGGCAATCACCATGGAGTAGCTTCTATGCAGAACTAAGCATTAGGGTTTATTTATTTTTGCCATCTCCCTACCAATATGACTTGTTCTCAAATAATGCTAAGGAAAGAAAGGTAGGGTGAGAACATGGCTGCTTTCCCTATTAGATGTGGTCATGTAATAAAAGATTCTGAGGGATGGAAAACTGGTAGAGGTACATCCAGGCAGAGAAAGCTCAGTTCCATTCCTCTCCTCCCTCCTAAATTATTCTGCCAGGTTCTGGGATTCCCATAAGACGATCAACAAACTTCTCTATGCTTTCACCTTCCCTGTCAATGTGTTTGCATCACCTTTCCTTACTTGGTTCTCCTCTTCTCCAGACACTGATTCCTGGACACTGCTACTTATTCTGCACCCTGAGTGCCCTAGGATCTGGGCACAGGGGCTGTGTCTTACTTGCCCCTTATTGTCACCTCCAGACTATCATTCCCTCACTTTGTTGTCAGGCCGATGTTCCACCAAGGATCATGCCATTGAGTCCCCTAGGCTGCCAATGCCAAGTGCAGAATCCTGAATATGCACTTACTCGTGAAGACTTTAATCTTTAGCCCATGATCCTCCTCTCTCCTGAAGGTCCACCATCATCCTCAGTGACTTCAGTACATTATATGGGCAATTCCTCCAACACAAAGGCCCCTCAGTTTGACCTCCTCATCTCCAATGACCTTCCTCTTCACTCCACGTAAGCCACTTTTGCTCTTGGTCAAACTCTGGGCTGATCATGCCATTCACCTAAGTCAGAGTCCAGAGTCCAGATTCCCCACTCTCCAACACTCCCTTGGATCCATCTAGCTCACTCACCCAACTAGTTTCATACATCAGTTCTTTGTCATTGCCTAGTTATTGACTCCTAGATTTTCCTCTATTTGCCACATCCTCCCTTCACCTCCGTCCATATCCAGCCTCAATTCCCAGGTCTAGCATGGCAGCCACACAGTCAATGATATCAGAAACTTCCTTGCCTTGATGCTCTCACATTGCCTCTGTCTTGTAGAACTCTAGCCCTGGAAAATCTCCTGGCTGCCACCTCTTTAGTTACACCTGGTCAGCTGGATGCTATTTGAGAAAAACCACATGACCAGGCTCATTATTAGCAATATTGAAGGTCACTCTCAACAAGGTCCTCAGCACTGCCTGGCAGTCCTACTGACATTTGTCAGCAACTCATTCAGTTCTCCTCTACAAAAATGTCTTCACTTTTCCAAACCAATTCATTCCTCCACCACCTCTTTCATCTCAGCTACCAGTCTTGCTTCCTTCCTGTAAAAGAAAAGAGGAGCCATCAGAAAGGAACGACCTCCATTCCCAACACCAAATCTACACACCTACCTGCGTTCAGGTCGCCCCTTCCTCCTCTGCCCCTGTTATAACAGAAGCAGTATCTCTCCCTTTCTACAGCAATCCCTTTCCCTGGGCCCTGGCCTTTGTGTTCTACTTCAATGGGGTCTTTCTCATCCATTCAATATCCCTTCCAATGTTTATTGAGCACCTGCCAAGGCCAAAGCTGTTCTAGGTGCTGAGGAAAGAAAGATCACCCTCATAGATCCTACGTTCTAAATAACTATATACAATAAGCCAATGATGACAAGTGCTGCAAAGAGACAGGCACATATGAGGCAAAGAGGTAACTCATGAGGAGGAGCTGCCATTTTACATGGGACAATTAGGGAAGACTTCTCTGAGGAGGTGGCATTTAAGCCAAGACCTAAGATCATGAGGGAGCTTGTGTTCCAAGTACTTAAAGACCTTCTCTGCTGGCTACTTCTCTTCAAACGTGTGGTAGGTAAGACTCTCAATAAATATGAAGTGCATGCTTTTTCTACTATTGAACTTAACTTCTCCTTCAATCTGTCATTCTATGCAGTGGTAGAAATTTAATCTCCATCAAATTAGGGTCTATCTCATCCTCAACCCTCTTAATGTTGCCGATGAGATGCCTTAATGACCTCTCCAAGCCCATCTCACACTATTCTCTCTTCACATGCTACATGCCATATATAGTGAAATGATGGTATTTTCTTGGCTATGCCATGTGCTTTCTCATCTCTGTGTTTCCACAGGTGCAAACACTTCTTGTTTTCTCTGGAAGTCTCTCTAGCACCCGCCAATGCCTGCAACGAATCCTTGACTTTTACTCCATCGTTAGGTCTTAGTTCAGATATCTGAGTTCAAAGGCTCAGGTATGCCTTTCCTGACACCTGATCCAGCTTGCATTCTGCTGTTTTATGTTCTGTTGAGGGCCAATTATACAGCTGGCCCGTGCTGGTTTGGTCATATCAGGTTATTAAAATATTGCAATGCTTCTTTGCTGTTAAAAGTAGCTGCTGTCACCCCAGCCCCTCACAAAGGAATTTGTAGGTGGCTCTACCTGGCCCAGAGAGGATCTCCAGGGCTTTGCTCCAACACTATGGCTGGTGTTCACAGAATAGAGTCTGTAAATATTTTTAACATATCCTAAGACCTCATGCTTTGTTTAGTCTCTGATTTGTTTCTCTTTCTCACTGATCTCTGAACTCCTCCAGGGCAAGTTCTGTGTCTGTCTTCATTACTACTTTATCCCGGCACCACATACAGCACCTGCTACAAAGCCAGAACTTGATATTTGTCAGTCTCATGAATGACAGAGTGAATGAGTGCATGAGTGAAATGATTACACGTGCATACCAGCCATGGTTACCTGCCCATGTTCATCTGTGTGTGCGCAAACAGGGCCTACAGCTGGCCAAGAAGATGCCTTTGACAGCCACACAGCAGTGCCCACTGTCCAGTACCCTGGAGGAAGTCCACACCTCTACCCACAAGGCTCACATGTGCCTAGAGAGGTTCTCTGCTCTGCCTGCCCAGCCCCTGGTCATGGGTCACCACCTCCTCCTTCCTCCAGGCTGGTGGCAATGTCCAGTCAGTGAGCAGCACCTTCACGATGGGGAAGAGCTGGGAAGACTTGAGTTAGAGGACCTTGAAAGGCAGGATTATTGTTATTGGGTCTACCTGCGTGTCCCAAAGCTGTGGTTATCTGAGGCCCAAGGCTGACCATGCAAAGCCTTGGAGCCTCCTTGCTTGGAGTCTCCTCCCTAAGGGGGAAAACCTCTGGGTTGAGAGACTGAGAAAGAGCAAAGAGGAGGCCAAGTGTGATCTGGGAAGGGTCTACTGGTCCCCAGGTCTAGGTGTCAGTGACCAGGGAGAGCATTGTGCTGTTTCTCCTTCCTGAAACTGAGCTTCCAACCCCAGCTCAAAACATGATAACCCACAGGGGTCTGTTTAGAGTGCTTCCCATGGGGATGGTCATACACAGGCTGTTGGAAAGGTGGCTGTGAGCATGAGGAAGTAGGCTTGGAAGATCGCTCACACCAACAGGTGTTGGATCTTCCCTAGGGAGCCTCAGTTTGGAGCGCAGGAATCTAGCCCACAAGCCCTGCTGTAGTCCATGTCCTGATGCTGAAGGAGGAAAGAAAGCCCGTCCTCTGAGACATGGAGAGGGTCTGTCATGGGCAGACCCAGGCTGGGATGCAGCAGCAACTCTCCTCCCCACCACACTTGGCCAAGCTCCTCCATCATCCCCTACATCACCCTTCTGAGTCTCCCGAGGCACTGTTTAAACTGCACATTCATGGACTCCAGCCCCAGAGATCCATACCTTGGCTATGGCATGGGACCTGGAAGCCATACCACAAGTGTGATGACTTGGGTCTGGGGCAGGAAGATTCCATTGCATGTGGTCCTTAGACCGCACATAGAGAAACTGGCAGGTGTGCGGCTGGGGAACATCTCCACCATGAAACGCCTGGCCTGAGGTCCTAGCACCATCCAACTGAGGCTGGGGAAACTCTTTCAGGAGTTTCTGCGGTTCCATGTAGACAGACAGGAAATGCTGTAGACACAGCCATGTGTCTGGATGTTGGCAAGACAATTCCCAAAACCCAGCACACTTCACCACACATGCTGGACGGCAGTTAGCACCCCAAAGGAGCTCAGCTCAGCTGTGTGGGGAAACAGCAGCTGAGATGATGTAATGCCACAGGGACAGATGGAAACTCCTGCACACTCTCAAAAAATCCAACCACGAAAAGTGCACGCTGAAGACAATGGGGCTCAGCAACAGAGAATATTTGAAATAGAAAAATAAAAGACTGGGGTCTAAATGGACTATAAACTCAATATGAGAGATGATGCATTGCAGATGGTCAAAAATACTTGTGATACTGAAACTGACAGTTTGATTTATTTATGTGTAACACTTCTATAACACTACGTCTGGCCATGCTTTAAGCACTCCACAAATATTTATTCATTTAGCACTTAGAACAATTCTGAGTAGATACTATTATTAACCCCATCTTACAGATGAAGAAACCGTGGCAAGAGAGGTTCGATCATTTGCTGAGAGTCACACAGCTAGGAAGAGGCAGAGACAGGATTAGAACCCAGTCATGAAGTCTCCATAGGGAGCAATGTATAAGCCAGCATTGGTGTGGTGTAGCCCTGCTGTGGTGCTCTGCCCTGCTGTGGTGTAGCCTCCAGGTCCCATGCTATACCCAAGGAGAAGTGATGGCCAGGGGGCCCGTCCAGGGCAGAAGCACTGGAGGCTGAAGGAACTCATAGCCATGTCTGATGAGGAGCATGTAGAGGAGTTGAGTATGTTGAGCTTGGGGAAGAAACCGTGAAAGCAGATGGGAGGGTGGGAGGAAAAACATACACTTTGAACAGCTGTCTTCATGTATACAAAGACTGTTGTTTAGAAAAGAGGGTGGACTTAATATTTAATACTCCTGAGGGCTCAAGTAGAACAAACATTGTAGGGAAGTCTGTTTTATACACACGAAAAACAGACCATTCTGTTTCTTGGAGTGGCTCTAAAAGTGGACAGTCAGTGCCCTTAAGCAGAGGCCAGGCAGCCGCTCTTCAGGCCTGGGGAGAGGAGACTGAGGCATCAATGCACAGACGACCCTGTTCAGATTCTAGATGGCTTTGATAGCAACAGCCCTGATCTCCCACCGAGACCTGGACCACTGAAGGCAGAGGAAGCAAACAGCCAACACAATCACAGCCATTGTTCCAGGTCACCTTCCAAGTACGGGCAGTGAGCTGAGCTGGCAAAGGTCAGAATGCACAGAAGTGCTGGAGCGTGCAGGACATGGTGTACCAAGGAGCAGGGGGGCCTCAAGAGGGAGGGGAGACTTTCAAGTGGCAAAGCCTACCTGCCCTTTACCCCCATCTTGCCCCCAGGGAAGACCCAAGTCCAAACACACTCCAAGATAAGAGATTGTGGCATTTTTAGTTACTCATTAGTTCAGTATTTACTGAGGTGAAATGTTTACTGAGCACCTACTATGTCGGCACATATGCGCTGAGTAATGGAGGTGCAGTGATGAATACGATAGACAACATCCCTGTCCTGATGGAACTCAAGGTCCAGCACATTGGAAAGATCATAGGCTCCAAAAAGCAACATATCTTGCTTTGGAATCTAAGCTCTGGTGCTTCCAAGTTGTGTGACCATAGGCAAAGTACTTAAAGTCTCTGAGTATACTTGCTTCATCTCTAAAATGAGACCTCACAGAAGTGTTTGAATTTTAAAGAGGCCCTATCCTTGGCATGTGAAACATCAGCATTAGTATTCATATTAGCCAGGGTTCTTAGCTGCAAGCACCCCAAGCAATTCTGGCTGATTAAACAAAACAAGGAGTACATTGAAAGGATATTGAGTGATTCACACCATTGTGGGAGGCCGGGAGAACAAGCGTTAAGACCAAGCTTTCAAAAGTCATGTCCGTTACAATGCTGAGCAATCAGTCTTATTGGAACACCACTGCCATCCATGTCCCCCTTCAATATCACCTCTGGATTGAGAGCTTGACCTTTCAACTGCTACAACCAACTTCCCCTCCCCACCCCTACCCCACTAGAGAAAGCCAGATGCCTCCGCAACCATCTTTGCCAGCAAAATGGGTACAGGAAAGAACCTCTCTCCTCCTTCAGTCTCACCTCTGGACTGAAGACTCACATCAGTGAGTCTGTTGCGTTGCCTGGGTCTCACCGATGCCGGTGATGTAAAGAAGCCTGGGGAATGGAGGTCTCAGCATCAACTATGGGGAGGTGGGACTCCGAAAGCCAGAACATCCTCCAGTACAGCAACGATACTGGACAAGCGCTACGCAACATGACAAATGTTCACTGGAGTCCCTGGCCCCACCTGCTCACCAGTCCTGCAAACGCTTGGTGGAGATGCCCAGACTGGCCAAAAGCCTCTCTTCCCCCTCCTTGTGACCCTGGCACAGCACTGAAATCCTTTATATGCATCTACCCACGTGTGAGTGCCCCCATACCTAGCGTAAGGGACAGAGCTGTGGTATGCAGAGGGGTAGAGTCCCTGAGGCTCTCAGGGGAAACCCAGATGAGCAGCTGGGCCTGGCTGGGAAGGGCACAGTGGGCTAAGACTGCCACCAAGTGGCCGTGCCAAGAACCACAGGAAACCAGGCTTTTCCCCCAACCTGGCCACCCAAATGGAAAGCTGCTGCCTGCCCCTTGGGCCTGAAAATGGAGGCTTCTCCTCCCCTCTGCTCCTGAATTGAGCTGTCCACATCTGCTGAACTCCAAAGGAGATAATGAAATCTAGCATTGATTTGCTATCCTACAGCTTATAAAATGATTCATACAGTAAGAATAATTACATGATAATATTAAGTATTGTTGCAGCAACTTGCATTAATTGAGGGCTTGCTACATGCCAGAAACTTTAAAATATCATCTCTTAATCCTTACAACAAATCTGTAGCAAACAAATGCATTTATCCAGCGGACATCCATTTTCCTTCCTTCTCTTAACAGTACTTCGATTTTTCTCTGGGAATGTTCCTTCCACTCCTAGGACTTTGTGGAAATGACTAGCAAGAAAGAAGCTCTGTTGGAACTCATAGGAAGAGAAGTCTTGAGCTTCCAGGTGCCACCCCAAGGGAAAGCCTGCCTGAGATTGAAACCAACACACAGGAAGCAGAACAGATCTCAGAGGCATTGGAGTCCCATGGACCAGACGTGCCTGAAAAATGCCTGGGTTTTTCAATTCCCTGAACCAATATATTCCCTTTACTGAAGTCAATTTGTGTGGGATTTTTTTTTAACTTAAAATAAAAAAGTACTAATAATTGCTATGTAATTTAAAAAATTAGCATGTGGAAGTAAGCTGTTGTAAGTAGCAGATCCAAAAATAGAGAATCATATGTCAAGGTGAGTGGGGGGGGGGGCATTTATTCATTACCATGTGCCACTCCCTGTTTGCTATAAACTGAATGTTGTTATTTACAGTTCATTTGTCGAACTCCTAACCCCCAATCCTAACCCCTAAGGGATTTTGGGAGGTGACTAGATCATGAGGGTGGATCCCTTGTTTAATGCCCTGATGAAAGAGACCCCAGAGAGCTCCCTCACCCATTCCACCATGTGAGGACACAGTGAGAAGAAGGTCTATGACCCAGGAAGTGGGACCTCACCAGACACCATTTACTAGTGCCTTGATCTTGGACTTCCAGCCTTCCCAACTGTAAGAAATACATTTCCGTTGTTAATAAGCCACCCAGTCTGTGGATTTTAGCCTGAATGGACTAAGGCACTGCTCTAGTGCTAGAGATTCAGTAGGCACCAAAATGGATGTGATCCATGCTCCCGAGTTAACTTCCTGGCGGAGAATGCCACCGTAAACCACTGAGAATGCAGCAGCTCTGCAGAGGCCTGAGCAGAATGATGGGATAGAGTGAGGTCACATGGCTTCTTGAGGTTGCATGGGCAGGGGCCGATGCAATGGGAATGCGCTCATCGACATGTTTGCTAGCAGTCACATTTCCTAGACCCCCTTGTTTGTATGGTTCCAGTTAGAATTAGACAAAGGAAGAACTCATGTGTGATTTGAAGGCAGAAGGACGTGGTGTCCATCATGCTCTTAAGGACTTATAGTCTCCTGCAGTGACAGAGAAATGTGGAGGTGCTCATGAGTCCTGCACACCTTTGCTCTCCTCCACGCAAGTTCAGCTGACCGTCAGCATCCTTCTGACCAAGCTCAACCTCAGGTCTACTGCCAGACATGTGGCCACGGGACACAGAGAGATCATAGCCTCCTATGGACCTGTTTATGAAATTCCCCTTCACACGCACATGGGGTGGCTCATGTGAGGGAGGAAGCAGCAGCCATGGAAAGAGAACAAGTTCAAGATCTGTGTTGGAAGTAGGCTTGGCAGGACTTGCTGGTAGGTTGGATGGAAGATGTGGCTTAAAAGGGGGTCAGGATGTCTCCTAGGCTTTGTCTTAAGCAAGAAAGCAAATGTTTCAGGCCATTTATTGAGATAAGGAGCCTATCTAGGATTGGAAATAAGAGTTCTTCTTTGGCCATTGTGGTAGGTTGAAAAAAAGGACAATATTGTGGTAGATTAGGGAAAAACTGGTCACACACACACATACACAAATGTCTTCAGCAACTCCCAATCATAATCATAAACTTACATTAAAAATGCAAATGCAATGCAAAGATGTTTCTTTTTCTTGAACACTTGAAAGTAAATTTCTGGCCAGATGCTCCAGCACCTGTGAATATTGTACTATTTCTTATAAGCAAGGACCTTCTCTCCCCTACATAATCAAGATCAAAATCAATGTCAAGAAATTAGCATGGGGCCAGGTGCAGTGGCTCACCTCTGTAATCCCAGCACTTTGGGAGGCCGAGGCAGTCAGATCACGAGGTCAGGAGATCGAGACCATCCTGGCTAACATGGTGAAACCCCGTCTCTACTAAAAATACAAAAAAAATTAGCCAGGCATGGTGGCAGGCGCCTGTAGTCCCAGCTACTCGGGAGGCTGAGGCAGGAGAATGGCGTGAACCCGGGAGGCGGAGCTTGCAGTGAGGCAAGATCGCACCACCACTGCACTCCAGCCTGGGCCACAGACAGACTCCGTCTCAAAAAAAATTAACATGGATACAATACTATTTTTTAACCTGCAGTCCTTATTCAAATTTCTCCAGTTGTTCCTCTGATGATCCTTAAACAAAAGAAAAATAATCTTTGTGTGTTCAACATTCACTCCAGGAACACACCATTTTTTTTAGTTTCATGCCTCTCTAGTCTCCATCAATCTGGAAGATGAGTTCTGTTTTGTTTGTCACGATCTTGACATTTTCGAAGAGTTCAGGCCATTGGTTTTGTAGAATGACCCTCAATTTTAGCTTGTCCAACATTTTCTCACAACGAAATTCAGGTGCTGCTCTTTCACAGGAATGCCATGGAGCTGGTCCTCTCACTCTGGCTTCATCTTACCAAGTGGCACGTGATCTCCATCCTCCTGTGTCTGACGATGCCCACTTGGATCACTTGATTAAGGTGGTGTCTGCCAGGCTTTTTTGCTGTGAAGTCACTCTTTTCCCCTCTTTGTAGTTAAAAAGCATTTGTTCATTGTGGTAGTATTAACATTAATTGAGGGCATGCTATGTGTAGAGGGACTTTAAAACTTTGTAAATATCCCGTGCCCCATCAAACTTTCAATTGATTGTTTATCTATCAGATAAACACTATCAGAAAACCACTAGACTAGACTAGTGATTGTCTAGTTTTCAGTGAATTCTGTTAGCTTCATTATTTATTTTGATGTGCAGATTGTCCCTGATCCGGTCACTCAGTGGGAGCCCATTCCATCTGGTTTCTGGTTTTTACATGACCTAATCATTCTTTGAGCACTTCATTACTTCCTGACACAACAGGATGTTACATTCTCATCTCGTCCTTTCTCTTCTTCAGTCCTGGAAGCAGCCATTTCTTCAGGAAACCTAAGTTTCAAGAGATGCTGGTGTAGTGTACTCATTGCTCCCAGGACTTCTCAGTGGACACATTGGTTTTCTCTGGAGAGCCTTGATACAAATGGGACATGGCAGAACTAGAACCTGAATCAAGACTTATTTTACTCTATGCTCAGAGCTCTTTATTTTTCTCAGTGAAAACTGGCTTAAGAGGAAGAGACACATATGTGTATGGATACATACATGTACCCTATTGTCACAGGATACTAGAAATATGTGGATAACCTCACATCTTTATCCTCTTCCTAAATGGTTCTTCCAAAGTCTGGATGGACAACTGTTTCCCCAGCACAATGAATTCAACCCACCAAAGCTTCTCATTATCCCTTTCTTCATCCCTCCTCCTCCAACTCCTCCCCTCCCCCGCCTTCCTCTGTTGCCTATCACAGAGAAGGGCAGAGCCATCCATTCGCTTCTGTAAGCTGAATAGCTGGCATTGTCATCAGAATCCTTCCTTTCTCTCTCCCCATTTCCAATTTGTCAATGTTTTCTATTGATTTTCTCTACTGAACATCTCTTGTATTCATCTCCTCCTCTCCAACCCGGCAACTGCTGACTTGGTCTCTCAACGCCTCCCATCTGTGCTTTGCAATTGTATGCACTTCCTTGCCCATAGGCAAAGTCCTGGTGGCTGAGCACCAGCCACAACACTAAGAAGTCAGCAAGTGAGAGGTGAGTAAAGGACATACATGTATAGTCTGTGGAGCTGTCTCAACAAGGAATGGCACAATCCAAGGCTACATCGATGCTCTAAGGCAGGGAGGCAGAGAAAAAGGATGGGGGTGTTCAGGCAGTGAGGACCAGTCCAGGGAGACGTAATAGAGGAAGGACTCAAAGCAGAAGGCAAGGCACAGAGCCTGGGGTCATTCCTCTGTCCGTAGCCGGAGAGCCTCCACCTTGTCCGGTTTCTTATCTTTCTGTAGTGCAAATCTGTGACTCACTTGCTTAGAACACATCAGTTGTTTACCTTCACCTGCAGGACAAAATCTCAATCCTTGGAATATCCCCCCTGTCTCCCTCTGTGCCTCACTGAGTGCAACTTCCCCTTGTATTACTCACTCCTATAAGATGGAATTACTGATAGTTTCCTGATGACACTGTGTTCTCTCACCTGTGTGCCTGCACACCTGCTCGTCACTGTGCCCACAGTGCCTTGCTCACCTGGCAAAGTCCTACTTCTCTTCCTTCTCCTATGCTTGTGTCACACACTGCACAATTCTCCACTGAAGCATTCATGCCATCGCATCATAACTGTCTGCAGGTCTTGCAGATTTGCAGGAAAGACCATAAGCTCCTTGAGGCCACTGTCTTCACATTGTCTTGTCATTGTCTTCATGCCCCTGCTCCATCCCCATGCCACTAAGTTGTTGCTCAGTACATTTGTTGAATGGATAAACAAATGAATTCATGAACTAGAAGTTGGGAGGAGAGAGTGGTTTAGGACAAGAAGTTGTAGGGGATTTTCTTTAAACTTTTAATGTGGAAAAATATTAGATTTACAGAAGAGTTGCAAAGATAGTATGAGGAGTTCCTGCATACACTTAACCCAGGTTCTTCTAATGTTACTCCCCTTTGGTTATATCTGATATAGCCAGAGAAGTCTTACCAACTAAAGAATTAGCATTAGTAGAGTGATACTACCTAAACTAAAAATTTTATTTAGATTTCACCAGTTCTCTGCCAATGTCCTTTTTCTGTGCCAGGATCTCATCCAGGGAACCACGTTGTACCTAGTTCTCAGGAGCCTAGGTTTCTGCTTAGTCTTCTCCTTAATATTCTCCAGACTGCAGTACTTTCCTTGTCTGTCATGACCTTGACACTTTTGAAGAGTACTGGTCAGGTATTTCACAGAATGTCCCTCCATTTGGGTTTGTAATGATTTCCCTCACGATTAGAATAGGGTTATAGATTCTGGGGGAAGAATGTCAGAGGTGAGGTCCTTTTCTCATTGCATGACTTCAGGGATTATGACATCAACGTAAAAGGTTACTACTTTCCCCTTCCATACTCTGTTCTTTAGAAGTGAATCACTAAATCCAATGAACACTCAAGGGGAAAGGAACTGAGCTCCACCCCTTAGAAATGGGAGTACCTACAATTATTACCTGGAATTCTTCTGTTGGGGATATTTATTTTTGCTATAATCCAGGTAGTCAAGTGAAGCCTATGGACCTAGTCTCAGAATATTTTAAATTTTAATGTATTGATTTTTTGAAATGAAATACATGGGATTATAAAGGAAAACAGTTGCATTGATATACGATTATTAAACTATTTTTTAAAAAAATTTGTGGCATAGGAATTAAGAAGAAATTACTAAGGCAGATAGTGAAGGTACAGGAGTTCTCAGTAAGATTTTCCTTTTTAATGAAAAGCAGCCCCCAAATCATTTTCTAACAAAGAGCAGCCTGTAAAATCCAGATGCAGACATAGACAAACAAGCTAGAGGCTTGCACCAGTGAATGCCAGCAGGAAAAAGCTACCTGAGACTAGACATGTTCAAAATGGCGGCTCCATCTTCCCTTCTCTTTAACAGCCAAGTGTACAGTAAGGGCTTTCTGGTCAAGTGAAAAGCCCATTTGCATAATAAGATTAGAGTGGGGTGGCCAGCCTTCCCCACATACTATGTAAACGTCACACCTGATCGAACCAATCTGTGGGCTCTACATAAATCAGACACCACTTCCTCAAGTCTGCCTATAAAATCCAGAAAACTCCACCGCCAGCTCGTCCTTCCTTTTGGAAGCCCCTCTCTCTCACTAGAGAGAGAGAGAGCTGTTCTCCTTTCTCTTCCTTTTGCCTATGAAACCTCTGCTCCTAAACTCCTTGTGTGTGCCTGTGTCCTAACTTTTCTTGGCATGAGATGACGAACCCCGAGTATTTACCCCAGACAAT
Source organism: Homo sapiens (assembly GCF_000001405.40). Classification (NCBI taxonomy): domain Eukaryota; kingdom Metazoa; phylum Chordata; class Mammalia; order Primates; family Hominidae; genus Homo; species Homo sapiens. The sequence goes on from NC_000011.10 coordinate 113,296,058, forward strand.
GACACCGCATCAGTAATACATGTGCTTATTTATCAGTTCTTCAAAACACAAGGTCTGGTAGCATGTGTAAGATGCTTCAGTTGGAAGCTTCGACTGTGATTTCAAAGTGTTGCTCAGCATAAGTGACATCACAGCTGATGCTAATACCACAGTGGGTTGTTGCCTATATTAACAGTGAAACTAGAAAGTGAAGCAAAAATATTCACAGATCTTTTGAAAGAAGCGGCATTGCCACTGCAAATTCTGTGAGACAGGCAAAAAACGGTGAGTTCCCAAAGTGTGAGAGGGGGAAAACTGGCCTCCGAACACACATCCTCACTGGGGAACCTGAAAATCCAGATTACAGAAGGATTTAACCTTACCTAGAGCTGAAATGGACTTAGTGCGAAATATAAAAGTAGAAGCAGCAACAGGAAGAGGCTTGCAGGCACTCTTCCTCTCCAGCTCAATCCCAGGGAGGCCATCCCTGACTATATCTCATAGGAGCCCTTGGGGAAGGCAGCCAGCAGAATTTGGGAGGGGTCACAGGGTGAAAGAAGTTTCCAACTGAACTTTGTAATAATTTCAACTGTGCACAAACTCTCTTGAGCAGAATCCAGGGGTGAATGACAGTGTGGGCAGATGGGGAGGGGTGTGGCTTCAAAGTCTTGCTGGTTTTCTCAGCAGGGAAGCTTATAGCCTGGGGCAAGATCTGGGTTCTGCCTGCAGGCTGCCTGAAGATAAACTCAGTGCTACTAGTGGAGTACAGCAGGAGAGAGACCGGCCTCACCAGGCAACTGCCTGGGAGCTGGGTGAGCCCTATCCCTACTGGCTTTCCCCCACTTCCCTAGTGACAGAGGCAGCCATAATCCCTTCTGGAACATAACCCCATTGACCTAAGAACCACTCCACCACCATTTCTCACAGTAGCCTGGGCAAGCCCTGCACAAGGAGAGTCTGAGCTCAGATAGGCCTAACCCTGCCCCCACCTGTTGGTATTTCTCTACCACCCCGGTAGCCAATCACAAAAGACATAAACTCTTGGAAGCTTTATGGCCCTGCCCATCACCTGAGAAACCCAAATACTTACCCTGGCTAAGGTAGGGCAAGCTTATATCCCCCTTCTACTATCTCAGCTGGTGCTCTCTTAAAAGCACCACCTCCTGGCTGGAGGTCAACCAACTCAGGACATCACAGCAACTCATGACAGAATAACCCAGCTCCAAGGAAAGAGAAAACAACAGCTAATTCCACTGCCTGCAACATGCTGACTAACCAGTGGTCCTGAGTTTGTCCCTGTGGCAACTTCACTGCTAGCGTCAGCAGCATTTGAGAAAGCCAACACACTAAACACATCTACAACCACGGACTCTCACAGAGTCTATTTCACTCCCCTACCACCTCCACCAGAGCAGGTCCTGGTATCCCCAGCTGGGAGACCTGAAGATGGATCACATTGCAGGGCTCTTTGCAGACATTCCCCAGCACCAGCCCAGAGCCTGGTAGCCCTGCTGGGTGGCTGGACCAAGAAGAGTAATAACAATTGCTGCAGTCCATCTCCCAGGAAGCCCCACCCCTAGCGAAAGGGGGAGCACGCCACATCAAGGCATCACCCCATGGGACAAAACAATCTGAACAACAGCCCTTGAGTTCCAGATTTTTCCACTGAAATAGTCTATCCGAATGAGAAGGAATCAGAAAAGTCATTCTGGAAATATGACAAAACAAGGTTCTATAACACCCCAAAAAGACCACAATAGCTTTCCAGCAATGGATCCAAATCAAGAAGAATTCTCTGAATTGCCAGAAAAAGAATTCAGAAGGTTGATTGTTAAGCTACTCCAGGAGATGCCAGAGAAAGGTGAAAAACAACTTAAAGAAATTTTTTTTGTAATGCAGGATATGGATGAGAAATTCTCCAGAGAAATAGATATCATAAAGAAAACACAATCACAACTTCTGGAAATAAAAGACACACTTAGAGAAATACAAAAGGCACTGGAAAGTGTCAACAATAGACTAGAACAAGTAGAATAAAGAACTTCAGAGCTTGAAGACAAGGCTTTTGAATTAACTCAATCAGACAAAGACAAAGAAAAAATATTTAGTCAGGGCATGGTGGCTCATGCCTGTAATCCCAGCACTTTGGGAGGCCAAGACGGGTGGATCATCTGAGGTCAGGAGTTCAAGACCAGCCTGGACAACATGGTGAAACCCCATCTACACTAAAAATACAAAAATTACCTGGGCATGATGGTGCAAGCCTGTAATCCCAGCTATTTAGGAGGCTGAGGCAGGAGAATTGCTTGAACTCCGGAGGTGGAGATTGCAGTGAGCTAAGATCACACCACTGACCTCCAGCCTGGGTGACAGAGCAAGACTCTGTCTCAAAAAAAAAAAAAAAAATTAAAAAATGAACAAAGCCTCCAAGAAATTTGGGATTATGTTAAATGGCCAAACCTAAGAATAATTGGTGTTCCTAAGGAAGAAGAGAAATCTAAAAGTTTGGAAAACTTATTTGAGGGAATAATCGAGGAAAACTTCCCCGGTCTTGCTAGAGATCTAGACATCCAAACATAAGAAGCTCAAAGAACACCTGGGAAATTCATTGCAAAAAGATAATCACCTAAGCACTTAGTCACCAGGTTATCTAAAGTCAAGACTAAGGAAAGAATCTCAAGAGCTGTGAGTCAAAAACATTAGGTAACCTATAAAGGATAACCTATCAGATTAACAGCAGACTTCTCAGCAGAAACCCTACAAGCCAGAAGAGATTCGGGTCCTATCTTTAGCCACCTGAAACAAAATAATTGCCAGCCAAGAATTTTGTTTCCAGCAAAACTAAGTTTCATAAATGAAGGAGAGATAAAGTCTTTTTCAGAGAAACAATGCTAAGAGAATTAGCCACTACCAGGTGAGAGCTACAAGAAATGCTAAAAGGAGTTCTAAATCTTGAAACAAAACTTCAAATTATGCCAAAATAGGACTTCCTTTAAGCATAAATCTCACAGGATCTAAAAAACAATAATGCAACAGGGAAAAAAACGGTATTCAGGGAACAACTAACATGATGAATAAAACAGTACCTCACATCTCAATACTAACATTGAATGTGAGTGGTTTAAATGCTCCACTTAAAAGCTAAGGAATGGCAGAATGCATAAAAACCTACCAACCACATATCTGCTGTCTTCAAAAGACTCACCTAATGCTGGACTCCCATAAACTTTAGGTAAAGGGGTGGAAAAGATATTACATGCAAATGGAAACCAAACGCAAGCAGGAGTAGCTATTCTTGTATCATACCAAAGAGACTTCAAAGCAACAACAGTTAAAAAAAAAACAACAAAGAGGGATATTAAATAATGATTAAAGGATGAGTCCAACAAACAAAATATCACAGTCCTAAATATGCATGCACCTAACACTGGAGCTCCCAAATTTATAAGACAATTATTACTAGACCTAAGAAATGAGATAGATGACAACACAATACTAGAAAGGGACTTCAATACTCCACTGACAGCACTAGACAAGTCATTGAGACAGAAACTCAACAAAGAAACAAGGGACTTAAGCTATACCCTAGAACAAATGGACTTAACAGATATTTACAGAACATTCTACTCAACAACTGCAGAATATACATTATTTGCAACAGCATATGGAACATTCTCCAAGACAGACCATATGATAGGCCACAAAAAAAAGTCTCAATAAACTTAAGAAAATCAAAAATATATCAACTATCTCTCAGACCACAGAGGAATAAAACTAGACATTAACTCCAAAAGAAACCCTCAAAACTATACAAATACAGGGAAATTTAAAAATCTGCTCCTGAACGATCCTTGGGTCAACAATGAAATCAAGATAGAAATTAAAAAATGTTTTGAACTGAAAGATAATAGTAACACAATATATAAGAACTTCTGGAATACAGCAAAAGCAGTGCTAAGATGAAAGTTCATAGCATTAAATTCCTACATCCAAAAGTCTGAAAGAGCACAAATAGACAATCTAAGCTCATGCCTCAAGGAATTAGAGAAACAAGAACAAACCAAACCCAAACTTAGCAGAAGAAAAGAAATAACCAAGATCAAAGCAGGATTAAATGAAATTGAAACCAAAAATCCAAAAGATAAATGAAATAAAAAGCTGATTCTTCGAAAAGATAAACGAAATTGATAGACCATTAGTGAGATTAAGCAAGAAAATAAGAGAGAAAATCTAAATAAGCTCAATTAGAAATGAAATGGGAGATCTTAAAACCAATACCAGAGAAACACAAAGATCATTCAAGGCTACTATGAACACCTTTACACACAGAAACTAGAAAATCTAGAGGAGATGGATAAATTCCTGGAAATATACGACCCTCCTAGATTAAATCAGAAAGAAGTAGAAACTCTGAAGAGACCAATAACAAGTAGCAAGATTTAAACAGTAACTTAAAGATTGCCAACAAAAAAAGTCCAGGATCAGATGGATTCACAGCTGATTCTATAAGGCATTCAAAGAAGAATTGATACAAATCTTACTGAAACTATTCCAAAAGATAAAGAGGGAATCCTCCCTAAATCATTCTAGGAAGGCAGCATCACCCTAATACCAAAGCCAGGAAAGGACATAACAAAAAAAGAAAACTACAGATCAGTATCCCTGATAAACGTAGATGCAAAAATCCTCAACAAAATACTATTAATAGCTAACTGACTCAAACAACATATCAGAAAGATAATCCACCATGATCAAGTGGGGGGGATTTCATACCAGGGATGCAGGGATGGTTTAACATATACAAGTCAATAAATGTGATGCATCATAGAAATAGAATTAAAAACAAAAATCATATGATCATGTCAATAGATGCAGAAAAAGCACTGACAAAATCCAGCATCCCTTTATGATTAAAACTCTCAGCAAAATTGGCACAGAAGGGACTTACCTCAAGGTAATAAAAGCCATCTATGACAAACACACAGCCTATATACCAAACAGGAAAAAGTTGAACACATTCTGCCTGAGAACTGGAACAAAACAATGACACCCACTTTCACCACTTCTATTCAACATTGTACTGGAAGTCCTAGCCGAAGCAGTCAGACAAGAGAAAGAAATAAAGGGCAACCAAATCGATAAAGAGGAAGTCAAACTTGCTGTTCACCAATTATATGATCATATACCTAGAAAACCCTAAAGACTCATTCCAAAAGCTCCTAGATCTGATCAATGAATTCAGTAAAGTTTTAGAATACAAAATGAATGTATACAAATTAGTAGCACTGCTATACACCAACAATGACCAAGATGATAATCAAATCAAGAACTCAACCCCTTTTATAATAGCTGCAAAACAACAACAACAAAAAACTTAAAATAATTAGGAATATATTTAACCAAGGAGGTGAAAGATCTCTACAAAGAAAACTATAAAACACTGAAAGAAGTCATAGATGGCACAAATGGAATCACATCCTATGCCCGTGGGTGGATAGAATCCATATTGTGAAAATGACCATACTGCCAAAAGCAATCTGTAGATTCAATGCAATCTCCGTCGAAATACCATCAACATTCTTCACATAACTAGAAAAAACAATCCTACAATTCATATGAAATCCAAAAAGAGCACACATACCCAAAGCAAGACTAATTAACAAGAACAAATCTGGAGGCATCGTATTACCCGATTTCAACCTATAAGGTCATAGTCACCAAAACAGCATGGTACTGGTATAAAAATAGGCATGCAGACCAATGGAACAGAATATAGAACTCAGAAATAAAGCCAAATAGTTGTAGCCAACCGATCTTTGACAAAGCAAACAAAAACATGAAGTGGGAAAAGGACACCCTATGCAAGAAATGGTGCTTCGATAATTGGCTAGCCACATGTGAAAGAATGAAGCTGGATCCTCCTCTCTCCCCTTATACAAAAATCAACTCGGCCGGGCAGGGTGGCTCATGCCTGTAATCCCAGGACTTTGGGAGGCCGAGGTGAATGGATCACAAGGTCAGGAAATTGAGACCATCCTGGCCAACATGGTGAAAACCTGTCTCTACTAAAAATACAAAAATTAACTGGGTGTGGTGGCATGCACCTGTAGTCCCAGCTACTTGGGAGGCTGAGGCAGGAGACTCACTTGAACCAAGGAGGCGGAGGTTGCAGTGAGCCGAGATTGCGCCACTGCACTCCAACCTGGTGACAGAGCAAGACTCCATCTAAAAAAAAAAAAAAAAAAAAAAATCAACTCAAGATGGATCAAAGACTTAAATCTAAGATCTGAAACCATAAAAATTATAGAAGATATCACTGAAAAAACTATTCTACACATTGGCTTAGGCAAAGAGTTCATGAGCAAGAACCCAAAGCAAATGCAACAAAAACAAAGATAGATAGATGGGACTTAATAAACTAAAAAGCTTCTGCACAGCAAAATAAATAACCCACACAGTGGGAAAAAATATTCACAAACTATGCATCTGACAAAGAACTAAGATCCAGAACCTACAAGGAACTCAAATAAATCAGCAAAAAAACACAAATAATCTCATTGAAAAGTGGGCAAAGAACATGAATACACAATTCTCAAAAGAAGATATACAAATGGCCAACAAACATAAGAAAATATACTCAGCATCACTACCTTTATCAGGGAAGTGCAAAAAAAAAAAAAAAAAAAACCACAATGAGATACCACCTTACTCCTGCAAGAATGACCATAATTAAACAATAAAAAAAAAAATAGATGTTGGCATGGATGTGGTAAAAAGTGAACACATTTACACTGCTGGTGGGAATCTAAACTAGTACAACCATTATGGAAAAAAGTATGGAGATTCCTTTAAAAACTAAAAGCATAACTAACATTTGATCCAGTAACTCCACTACTGGGTATCTACCTAGAGGAAAAGAAGTAATTATATGAAAAAGATACTTGCAGATGCATGTTTACAGCACCATAATTCGCAATTGCAAAAATATGGAATCAGCCTAAATGCACATTAACCAATGAGTGAATAAAAGCTATATATATATATATATATATGCCATAGAATACTATTCAGCCACAAAAAAGGAATAAACTAATGGCATTTGCAGCAACCCGAATGGGGTTAGAGACCATTATTCTAAGTGAAGTAACTCAGGAATGGAAAACCAAATATTGTATGTTCTCACTTATAAGTGCCAGCTAAGCTATGAGGACGCAAAGGCATAAGAATGATATAATGGGCCAGACATGGCGGCTCACGCCTGTAGTCCCAGCACTTTGGAAGGCCGAGGAGGGAGAATCACTTGAGGTCAGGAGTTTGAGACCACCCTGGCCAATATGGTGAAACCCTGTTTCTACTAAAAAATAACAAAAATTAGCCAGGCATGGTGGCAGGTGCCTGAAGTTGCAGCTACTCAGGAGGCTGAGGCAGGAGAATTGCTTGAACTTGGGATGCAGAGGTTGCAGTGAGCCAAGATTGTGCCACTGCATCCAGACTGGGTGACAGAACGAGACTCCGTCTCAAAAAAAAAGAGAATGATATAATGGGCTTTGGTGACTTGTGAGGGAAGGTTGGGAGGGGCGTGAGGGATAAAAACTACACATTGGGTACAGTGTATGCTGCTCAGGTGACATATGCACCAAAATCTCAGAAATCACCACTAAAGAACTTTTCCATGCAACCAAACACTACCTGTTCTCCAAAAATTATTGAAATTTAAAAAAGGTTTTTTAATAAAATAAAAAGCTGGAAAAAAAAAACAATGAAACCAATGCTAAATTCCAGTGACAGATTGGTAACAATAAAAATACAATTTTGTTCCCAATCAAGTTCAGAGACACCCTGAATTCTATCCATGGACCCTTGGGAGGGGGTCCCTGGACCCTAAGTTAAGAACTCTTAGTTTAAAGGATACAAGATGGCAGAGACATTCTAGGGCTGTCCAAAAGGATATGCAATTTGAGGAAGGAAAAGCCAGGTGAGATAACATAGACTGTTCTTCACTGTGGTTCTGGAAGCTGGAAAGCACCAGTGTAAGTGATGAAAAGTGAAAGGGGTTCCAGGCTCTCCAATAATAAAATACACAAAAACAGTCCATTTATCACTGATTCATTTGTCAGATTATTTCTCATCTTTTAGATCAGAAAAAAATTAAGCGTGCTGATGAGGATACTGTGAAACTAGCACTCTCAAGCATTGCTGGTCATAGTTGGCAAATGGTACAAATTTGTACAAATCCATTGAGAATCTATTTGGGAATATTAACAACCATAAAAGTTTGAAATCTTGATTGAGAAACCCATTTATGAGAAGCTACCCAGAGAAAATAATCTGAGATACATAAGAAGTTTTACTTAGAGATGTTTGTTGCAGCAATATTTACATGAGCAAAACATATTAGAAACAACTAAAGCTCTAAAATGATAGCAAGTAGTCAAGTGAAGTAGAGAAATGAATAAATGGAATGCAATGTGAATATTAAATATCAGTAATGAAAACAATGCAATTACCTGGTATAGACTTTAACTAGAGACAAGACAAATATGTATCCTCTCTGAGCCTTGATTGCCTTGTCTACTAAAAGGAAGATAATAACACTATCTCCTAAGGTTGTAACTTGGTTTCATGGGATAATGTTTAAAGCTCCTATAAAGAGCCTGAGACATCAAGGGTGCTCAGAATGTGTCAGCTATTATGATTATGATGACATTATGCTATGCCAATAAAGTAAAACAAAATCGTATGTAATCCTGGTTACATCATTGCAAAAATATGTAGAAGAAAGACTGAAAGGAAATACATCAAAATGTTAATAGTACTGTTGGGGTAAGAGGTCATGAAAATTTTCTGTCTTTCTCTATATTCTAAGTTTTAATTATATACTTTAAATATGCTCTTAAACTGTTGATATAAAAGAAGCAAAGATGTGTTCTAGAAATACATATCTCAACCTTTTATAGCAATTGAGATGGGATCTATATCAGGACAGCAAGTAACTCTGGACTCCTTTAATTCTCTGTGTGCCTTCTTGTCCCCAAAACCTTGGAGGCAAAAAAAACCTCACTGCACAAAGCTGTGCATCACACAATTGTTTCCTTTCCTTTCCTTTCCTTTCCTATCCTTTCCTTTCCCTTCCTTCCCCTTCCTTCCCCTTCCCTTCCTTTCCCTTCCCTTCCTTTCCTTTCCCTCTTCTTCTCTTCTGTTTTCCTCCCTCCCTCCCTCCCTCCCTTCCTCCCTCCCTCCCTCCCTTCCTTCCTTCCTTCCTCCCTCCCTTCCTTCCTTCCTTCCTTCCGAGATGGGGTCTCAATCTGTCGTCCAGGCAGGAGTGCAGTAGCATGATCTTGGCTCACTGCAGCCTCAAACTCCTGGGCACAAGTGATCCTCTTGATTAGCTGAAACTACAGGCACATGTCACCATGCCTGACTAATTTTTTTTTTTCACTCTTTTCAGAGATGGAATCTTGCTTTGTTGCCCAGGCTGGTCTAGACCTCCTAGCTTCAAGTGATCCTCCTGCCTCAGCCTCCCAAAGTTCTGGGATTACAAGCATGACCCACTGTGCCTGGCTCTGTCTTTATAATTTCTGAGTGGTATGAATCACCCCTAAATGAATGACCAAGTACCCTAAATAAATGATGAATAAGTGTTAAACATTCTCTGGAGCCTAAATTGTTGACATCATTTAATTCACTATCCAGAGAAGTGATCACAGCAGCAGTAGCAGTCAGAGGCAGCTAGCCAGGTACGAGACACATAGTAGGTGCTCAGCAAACATTAAATAAATGCATGAATGGCTGACTGCTCGTGGGTCCCAGCCTTTCTCTGCCACAGTGGTTGTCCAGGTGCAGCCAGTCTGCCACACGGTGGCAGTGCTGTTCCACACTAGGCAGGCTTGGTGGCACCGGTTCCACCTGGCACTGAATGCCCAGTGCTTTTCTTTTTCAGGCAGAGAAGTCCTACGATCCCCAGAAAGGATCCAAAGATGACATTGATGGAGACACGCTGCCTTTCTTAATGGAGTGGGGGGCATGCCCCTCTGGCTATAGTTAAGATGTATCTTTCACCTTTGCAGGGGTGGGCCAGCCTGTGAAGTGGAGGGAGCAGTCTGTAAGGAGGCTTCTACGTTCACGAGGCGCAGCGAGGCCCAGCGAGGCCCAGAGGCTCCTGGAGTGGTCACTGATGGCAGGAGTTTAAAACAGGGCTCTCTCAAGAAAGTACATCTGAGGCAGTGTGGTGCGGTGGGGTAGCCTGAGCTCTGGTGGGACACAGACCAGGGCTCACATCTTGGCTCAGCCTCTGACAAATCACTTTACCTCTCTCACTGCATTTTCTTGTCTTTGAAATAGGAATAAGACCTTGTAAGGCTATCAAGAGCTTTAAATTAAATAATGCATGTAAAGGACTGAGCACAATGCCTGGAACATAGCAGCTCATTAAGGGCTAGTTACTATCATTACTGTTGTTGTTGTTAATAACCGTAGTGTCATTTCATTAAGTATAGAAATCTCAAGGAAGACTCTTGGCCCCTGTGGTCACACAGACTAAGTCTAACTGGATCCTGAAATTATTTCTACGTCTATGGTAGAATGCTGTTTTTTGTTTGTTTGTTTTTAGTTTTTTTCTTTCAAAAGGACATAGGTTTGGAAAAAAAATCAAATGTGACTTTTGAATTCTCTTTAGGGAGGAAAAAGACAGTGTTACATTCCTTCAGCTTCCTCCTTCTCTAAATTTTGAAGCCAAAGTTATCAAATCAATTGCAGCTCCAGCATCCATGGTGAGGGGTCTTTGTCTAATGGGCCATGTTTGTAGTTTGGTTCCTGGATTCAGGTTGACTTTGTCAACACCAATCACTCTTAGCAGGCAAAGGTGAGATCTCTTTATTCCTCATGTCCTCAGGAGAAAAAAAAATATCTCTCCTAAACTTTTATTTATTTTTGTTTTTTAGTGATGGAGTCTTGCTCTGTCGCCCACGCTGGAGTGCCGTGGCGCAATCTCGGCTCACTGCAACCTCCACCTCTTGGGTTCAAGCTCAGCCTCCTAAGTAGCTGGGACTACAGGTGTGCCTGGCTAATTGTTTTGTATTTTAGTAGAAACGGGGTTTCACCATGTTGCCCAGGCTGGTCTCGAACTCCTGGGCTCAGGCAATCCATCCGTGTCAGCCTCCCAAAGTGCTGGGATTACAGGAGTGAACCTCCGCACCTGGCTGCACCTAAGTTTTTAAAGTATGGTTGATGAGAAAAGACAAAGAGAGACAAAGACAACAAAGACAATTGTTTACACTAAAGAGAGAGCAGAGTAAAAGAGAGGGGAGACCACTTATACAATCTCCAAGTCTCAGATTTACTGTACAATCTCCAAGTCTCAGACTTACCGTGAACAAATGTTCTCCCATTTTTATTGAGAACATAAAACAAAAGTAAAACTGAAGTATCACACAAGGGATTTGGATCAGGTGGAAGTAGTCGTTGTGAAAATATGATTCATAAAGGTTCTCTAGGAGAAATATATTTGAAACGCAAGTCAGCAACAATTTAAAAGTCTGTTTCCCTCTGTGCATTTGAATATATATGAAAATACATAGACATTGACACTTAAAATGTAAATCATAACCATTGTTATTTACATATACTCATATGCGAGGTCCCTAGACTTTGCCATTGTAACAAGTGAAGAAGAAGTGTTCCGAGTGGCCGTATTAGACATGATGGGCTACATTATGCTGCGTTAACAAACAAGCCCCAAGGTTTTATGGATTATAACAAGAAAGGTCTGTTGCTCACTCATTCTACATATCCATCAAAGGTAGACAGATACCTGTCCTCCATGAACTCACTCAGGGACACCATCTGGTTGCTGGGTCGGGGGAAAGGACATGTATGGGGAGTCAAACTGGCGCTTAAAGGCTTCTGCCCATTTCACTTCTCCCAACACTGCATTGGCCAAAGCAAATCACCAGGCCATAGAGAAGTGAGATCCTACGATGCACCTGGAAGTGGGGAAATTGGAATCTTCCTGGACAGCCCAGTGGCTATCCGGGGTTTACCAGGACTTTTGACATGTTAAAGTGGTCAATCTGTCAAGTGCAAGATTTATCCTGAAAAGTATTTTGTGACTGTAACAGTGCTTATCCTCCAGGATGGACCACTCTGGGAAGGTTGAGGCAGAGAAACTATAAACACCCTTATTCCTTTTCCATCTAGAATAACATATTTGAACCTTCCTCTAAGCAGAGCAAGAGAAAAACTCACTTATTCAACAAATCTTTATTTAGCTCCAACTAAGCACCAGGGGCTGGGGATACAAAGATAAAATAAAGCAAAATCCCTACTCCCAGGAAAGGCATTGTCTAGTTACCCTGTTGGATTTAGAGAGTTGGGACTTGGAGTAAAGTTTGGGTTCGCAGAGATGTATGTGGGAGTCATCAAGATGGAAGTGACTTCTGAAGAAGCCACGAATGTCTGTGACTTCCAGCTCAACCAGGAGCAAACATGCTGCCCCCGTCTTTTGCATCCCTCCTGCCCAATAAACTCTTATCATTCCATCCCTGGGCTCTTGCCTTGTTGTGTCCCTGTTCCACACCCTTCCTATGGCTTCCATCCGGGATATAGCTGCCCCTACCCACATCTCTGGGCTCATCTTGCACCACTCTTGCCTTTCACAATGTTTCTTGCCTCTAAACTTTTGCCAGTCCTGTCCCCTCTGCCTGGAGCCGTCTACACACTCCCAGCCTGCACATTAACCAGGGAAATCCCTATTCTTGTGGGGACTTGCCTGACAGCATTTCCTTCTCCCTCCCTCTTCCTTAGGCACTAGACCTTCACTGCCCTTATCATACTGTTCTATTAATGTAATAATCTGTTTATGCATCTGTCTTACTCATTAGACTGTGGGATCCTTGAGGACAGAGGCTGTGCCCCTGGCTCATAGTATGATAATTGGTCACAGCAAACACTCCAACAACTTTTGTTGATATTTCTGTGGCAGTGAAGTATGATGAGATTATCAATAAAAGAGATGCAAGCATGAAAATATATCCCATAAGGTTGGGTGCAGTGGCTCACGTCTGTAATCCCAGCACCCTGGGAGGCTGAGGCAGATGGATCACCTGAGGTCAGAGGTCCAAGACCAGCCTGGCCAACCATGACCAATGTGGTGAAACCCCGTCTCTACTAAAAATGCAAAAATTAGCTGGGCACAGTGGCAGACACCTGTAATCCCAGCTAGTCAGGAGGCTAAGGCAGGAGAATTGCTTGAACCCAGGAGGTGGAGGTTGCAGTGAGCCAAGATCATGCCACTGCACTTCAGCCTGGGTGACAGAGCAAGACTCCATCTCAAAAAACAGAAAAAAAATTCCATAATAGGATAGTATTCCAAGTGTGTATGGGGAGATATAAAATGGAAAAATGACTTCAAGGAGAAAAAAGAATAACATAACCTTCTTAATTTCACGATCTCAGTATCAAATTGCTCCAATGTGTAAAGTTTATTGGATGAGATGCATTTAAAAATTAACATGTGTTTCATTTTAAAATATCAACATTTCTATTATGCTAGTATAACATTATTGTGCTTCATTTTAAAGTATTAACATTTCTATTGTGCTAGTATAATATTACTGTAGGGACTTATGATGAAAAATTAGATATAAACATTAAGAGAGTGTTAGTTGAATGAATGAATAAACGAAGAGTGCTTTCCTTATCAGTTAACATTAGGTTTGACTGGGAGTGACAGAAAACCCAAGATAGCAGAATCTTCAATAAAAGTCATTATATTTCCAGCAACTGAAGTATCTCCTGTTGGCGTTCAATATCTTGCTCATATAGAAATATGAAGTCGGGCAGTCCAAAGCCCTTGAGGCAGCTCCATGATCTCAGGACCCGACCTCCTTCTAGATCCTCAACACAATGCTTCTATATCATGGTCCAAAATGGCTGGCCCAGCTCCAGCCATTGGGTCCCCATTCCAATCAGCAAGGAAAAGGGCATCCTTTTGGGGACACTTCCCAGAAGTAGCACCACCACCTCTGCTTATATCTAATTGGTCAGAACTTGATCGTGTATTACACAAGGAAAGCTGGGAAACACAGTCTACTCTAGGTGTCTTGGGCCTTGCTAAAAATTGGTAGATCTGAAGAAGAGGAGAACAAATATTAAGGGACAATTATCAATTTACTCCACATCTATACTTGGATAACTCATGGGCATTTTGGACTGGATATCACAAATCTGACCTCATCTTTTCTCCAAACATTATTCTCTAATATTCTCTAGCTCAGCCAATGGAGAACCTTAATCTGGTCAAGCTGGAAACCTAATGTCATTATTGATACTTTCCTGCTGTCAATCCTCCCTCGAAAATACATCTCAAATTCATCTCTATTCCTACTGCCAGTACCCACAACAAACTCCTAACCAGTGTCCCTCTCACCTCTTTCCAGATCATTCTCTGCATTGCAGCCAGAATAACTTTCTAAGAAAAAATAAAAATCTGAGCATGTCACTTTTCTGCTAAAACCCCTGGAAGGCTGCCTATGATGCTTAGGATAAAGACCAAAAACCTTTACATGGCTTTCAAAGGCCTAATGTGATCTGGCCCTTGCTTCATCTTGCACTGCTTACCTTTTGTTCTCCATGCAGCAGACAAACTTGGTGTTCTGCTGGTTCCTCCTCCATACCAGGCTCCTTCCTGACTGCCCATGCCATTCGCTCTTTCTCCACCTCCCTCTTTAACTGTCCAATGCCCACTCACCCCCCAAGTCTCTTCTTAAACACCACATCATCAGGGAAGACTTCCAGTGTTTGAGACTAGACTTCCATGGCACCCTGTGCTACCTTTGCTTTTCACCCTTTACTTCTTATGGCACTTATCACAATGAGAATTTACATGATGATTTTGTTTATTGACCCTTATTCCCCTTGGGTGATAAGCTCCTTGAGTCTGGTGACTAGGTACCACTGGTGCTCTGCTGCATCCCAGCATTTAATGAAGTGTCTGCACTTTTCTACTCAGTGTGGCCACAGTCCATAAAGGGATGTCACTGCAGATCTCAGCCCCTATCCTGTTTAAACAAGATCACCAGGCAATTTCTACACACAATCAAGGTTTAGAGGACCTGGTCTAACACATACGAATCATAGTAGTAGTAATAGTTAATAATACTTACTAGGTATTGATAATGCTCCAGGCATTGTTCTAAGCACATGGCCTGTATTAACTCATGTACCTCTCACAGAAACCCTATGGGATAGAGAATCATTTAACAACCCAGTTTTACAGATGATGAAACTAAGGCCCACAGGGATTAAGTAACTTGCTTAAGGTCACACATCTAGCAGTAGCAGTAGCAGATGCATAGAACCAACAGACTGTATGCCTACTGTGTATAAGAGACTAGTTACATTGAGATACAAGGATGTGCAGCACAGAAAGAATCAGATCACAGGGCACCAAGTGAGGGGGAGGAGAGCTGCAGTGAGGAGGAGTCCCTCAAATCTATCTCCCAGTGGAGTGCTGGGCTGGGGTTTTTAAGGAGATCATGGAGGTGAGGGGCTAGATAACTGGGGTTGTCCATTGGTGGGATAAGGGGGATGAAAGTATCAGGATTTGGGAACTGCATTCTTTGGTGAGTCAACTTCTGGTCAGCTACAGTAGGAGACCTGGGGGGGCAGCAGGACAGGGTCATAGTGGGGCCCTCAGACCAGCTGGTGTCAATGGGTCCTTCAGAACAGCTGACATTAGTAATTTCACTGGTATGCAGGACCTGAAAGAATACTCCAAGTGGAAAACACAATGTTTTATGTTCAAGTTGTTAACTATAGAGCAGTTAAGGGGAACTATAATATTGTAACTGGGTCTACGTGATTCTGAGATAACAGACACTAAATAATTATGAAGAAGCAGGCCAGAGAACAAGCTGACCTCATGGTTCATGCTGAATGTGCTGCAAGCTGGGCTTATTTTATTTCTCCCCTTCCCTGCTTCCCTGATTAATTTTATAAAGTTTGTAAGGAAGGTTTCAGTAGTGTTAGTAATAAAAAAGGAGGAATATGATCCCCAGTACATAGCACAATAGAAGGTGCATAGTAGGTGCTTCAAGACATTTTAATGAATGCTAATAGGTGGAGATGTGAGATTTGAACCCAGCAAAATGGCTCCAGAGCCCCAGCTCTTAACCACTTAGCATGTGATGACTATTTGTCAAGTGCACCCCAGGGGCCTTCCGCTGCATCTAGCACACTACAGGCCACTCACACTAGCTGAACAAATGTGTGAGTGAATGGTTAGGTGGTACAGTCAGTTGTGGGCAGATACCTCTGGAACCTAGGAAAGGAGTTTAGTGAAAAGAGTAGTAGGATAGGAAGTAAGTGATTTGGAACTATTGGCCTCAATGTGATAAGAAACACCCTGAGGTTGGGGACCATAGGCATATAGCCTTCATGTATTCAAGGCCTCACAGGCCTAAGAGGAAAATGGGGTGATACTAATGGTGATAACCAAAACATCACTGGTTCTTGTCTCCATCAATTCCCACAGGCTGGAAGGTCACTGTGAAGTACCCTATATCTTTCTGAGGATCCCTATGGTGTGCCTAGCCTGTGCTCATCAACGTCCTTGCTCCTGCCAGGCACCTACACTGTCTGCTACTTCTCCTGAGGCACCTCATTCCCTTGGGACAGCCACTGTGACCATGTCCTGCTGGGATCCCCAGGTCTCCTGCTGCAGTTGATGAGCCAAAAGACTCACTCTGCTGATGCTGTACCCATTCAGCTGCCAAGAGGAGCAGAACATCCGTGGCCCCTTTGTGTTATACTGCATTAGAGGGGTACCCAAGCAGGATGGTATGTGTACCAATGCATCATAGAGACTTCAGCCAAACAGCTCTTCTGTTCTCTACAGGACACAGGCATGCATCCTATGGGGCCTAGGCCACAAGAGAGTCAACAGGCTGTACTTGGAATCAACACTAGAGCTAGCTGGCCATGCCTGGATCCCTCTCCCCTCTGGCGAATTCCATCTCTAGGGGCTCCTTGTTCCCTGCCAAACAGGTTTCCATAAAGCACTCATTTGCCAAGAAGTTCCGGGTGTTTCTGACCGTGAACTTAAGCTCAAGTTTCCCCTAAACCTGCTTTTTTTCCATTGGTAACCCTGCACATAATACTCTGAGATTTTGTTTAGAAAAACAGACTGAAATTTCTTTAGGGCTGTGTGCATGTATTTGGGGCATGAATGAATGTGCCTATTAGCTCATTCTGTTCTAAACCCTATGATTCCCCGGATGTCACGTGCCACCTGTTCCTACTGACTAGGTACCAGGCACTGAAACCACCATTGCAAAATTATAACTGAGATGGTGAAAGGGATCTGACCTAACCGACTCCATCTTGCTTCTCATCTCCAAGCTGTCTTTGTTCATTCCTAGGCATAGGCCAAACTAACTTTGGGGGGAACTTAGTTTATAGTGTAGCTTTGAAACAAAGACAATACCAGCCCTTTCCCAAACAAACCCCCTTCTTGCCCAGGAACTAGACTGCCTTTTCAGGACTAACAAATTAGCCACAAAATTAGAAATTATGGTTTAGGAGTCATGCAGCTAGAGGCTGCAAGATTCTAAACCTCAAATTGCTCCTGGGGATAACATCAACTATTGTAAAACCTAAGATCAGTGCTTAAGATATTTCACAGACACTGCACTCGATGGATCAGCTGGCACCACCCAGATGAATAAACTGGCTCATCTGGTCTTATGACCCCCACCTGGCAACTGACTCAGCACAAGAGGACAGCTTTGACTCCCTGTGAGTTCATCTCCTAGCCTACCAATCAGCACTCCCGACTCACTGACCCCTACCCACCAAATTATCCTTAAAAACTCTGATCCCTGAAAGCTAGGGAGACTGATTTGAGTAATAATAAAACTCCGGTCTCCCTCACAGCCAGCTTTGTGTGAATTACTCTTTCTCTATTGCAATTCCCCTGTCTTGATAAATCGACTCTGTTTAGGCAGTGAGCAAGGTGAACCTATTGGGCGGTTACAGCACTTTAACCATAAACCTTATGAGAAAGTGCCATTTCTCCATTTCACAGGTGAGAAAACTGAGGATTAAAAAGGTTACTCAAATAACTTTCCTAAGGATAAATGTGTGAGTCTTCTAACTCACACATTTATCAATGAACAAAACCGGATTCACAAGTACACTGGAGACTTTACATTTTGGGCAAGGATATTAAGCTAACGGGAGTGAGACAACCCTTCTTCAGTAGAAAAAAGGCGAGCAGCAGGCGCTGCTTTAGTTACCAGCACTTTGCTTCCTCCGTCTCCCCGCGCCAGGCATCGGGCATCCCAACCTCGACTTTGGCCTTCAACTTGGCGCGCTCCGGAGCTAGAGCTCTGCGGTAGCGAATCTGATCGCGTGTCCATGCCCGCCCCCTGTCCCGCCTCCTGGCTTTTGACCCCGTCCTTGGTCCCGCCCCGGGCCCTGGCTCCTGGCCCCGCCCTTGGTCCCGCCCCGGGCCCCTGGCTCCTGGCCCCGCCCCAGCCCAGGCAGGTCACTGCGCCATTTCCTGTCCAAAGCTGGGCGAATCAGGTCGGTGCCGCGGGGTACCCCGGAATCCCCCCTGGGAGCTGGTCCTGCACTGGCCTTCAGAGCCGAGCAGAGGACGCTGCTTTGGGCCCCAGAGCATGGGAAGGTCTTGGCTGCGGTCTGGGACGGCTGCGGTCTGGGACCTGCATGGAGGGCCCGGGACTTGCGGACGCCTGGGAGCGGTTGCTGGGCAACAGTGCGTGCGGCCTGGCCTCTTTGCGCCCGGCGGGCAGCGCGCGTCTGGGGCAGGCTCCGCGCGGGGCTCGGGCACAGGTCCCCGCTGCCGCAGCCCTACCGAGTGAAGCACTGAGCGCGGCGCCGCTTCGCCATCACCTGGCTCTGGCCCTCTCACCCTAGCGTAGGGGGGCACTGGCCAGGCAGTGAGGACCCTGAGATCCATGCCCTGGGAGACAGAGGTTGTCTCCTGTCCATGCACCCGCGCGCCTGCCTTCTAACCTTCATACCGTTGGGCAGATTAATTCACTGGACTAGGCCTCTGTTCCGTGGGAGTTGAAAAGATTTGACCTGGAAGAAACCCTAGCGATTATTCAGTTAAGCCGCAACCCCACCCCCTGTTTTATATAGGTAAGGGTGCTTCACGGTGAGGACTCGTCGCGTGCCTGGTGCTTTACATCAGTCCCCAGAATAGTCCTCGTAGTTTCTCTCTTACTGTTCCCATAGTATGGGTGAGGACTCTGAGGCTCGGAGAGGTTGTGAATTTAGCCAGAATCACACAGCTTGTAACTGGTGGAGATGAGGACACTGAGACTCGATTAAATCACTCGTAGTTTGTTCGTGGCAGATTACGTGTTAGAAGCGTGTTACACTACTATGAAACCTGGCCATAAATGAGAATCACCTGGAAAGTGTTTAAAATCTATATTCGTGTCTGGGCAATGTCCCGGGTTTACTGACTTGAAATCTCGGGCTACGGCTGAGGAAGCTGTATATTTAACAATCTTCCCGATGATTTTTATGATCTGTGGATGAACCACTGAGTACTGCTGGGTACACCACGGGGCCTTCTCGCACAAAAACAACTGTAAAATAATATCTGAGGTACCTAGAGCAGAAGAGACGCTGGTGAGCATGGTAACATTATGTTCTAATCCCTTCAGTCAATTTGTACCCTTTCTTCACTCTTCAGAAACAAGCCAAAGGCAGATTTTAAACAAGTATGGACATTTAGATGCAAATTGCCCCAAGTTTGTTACCTGTCACACATCCACATTTAAGCTTCTGACTAGACCAGCCTGTCATGATCAAAGTCAGGTGTTAGTGTATTTCTCTATCCTTGGCAACCTGTCATCTGCTCTCTTCTCATCTCCATGCCAGGTCCCTAAATCGCCGGGGTTGATGTTGGCTTTGGAAGAACTATTTGCAGAGCGTTTTCTGCACTGGAAGGAGGGCTGGAAGCTTTCTGGAAGCATTGCCGCACGTAAATGAGTGCCTCTTGGCCTAAAACAGCAGTTGGAATGAAAGGGATCACCCTGCTGTTATTCATTGACATAAACAAAACTGTCATAAAAATAATCACTTGGCTCTTAGTTTTAGAAGGCTAATAAGCCTGACCGTTCTGTTTAGTGCTTTATTATTATTAATTTCACCATTATGCTGCATCCCTTAGGGATTCCGGTTCACAATGGATGCTGATAAAGAGAAAGATTTGCAGAAATTTCTTAAAAATGTGGATGAAATCTGTAAGTACTAGTAAATCATAAATTAATTTCTGCTTTAGAGAAGTGGAGTAGATAAATGATTGCTCTAAGTTCCTGGGTGGCTTGACAGGTTTATAACTCTTAGGAAAAAAATGTAATTGAAATTAAAGAGAAGGGTATTGAGAAACAAGTTATAGCCTCAGGGCTGTATTTTCTGGCTGTTAATTGGTATCAGAGAAACTGTTAACATTCTGATAGGAATTCAGGCTGACGGTTTTCTTCCATATTTTGTATCCTTCTATGTGGAATCCAGTCAAAACCAGCTGCTGTTTCCCCATTGACAATGAACCCAGCTGTTCCCTTCAAGGGTCAAGAACCTCATTGATCAGTGTGAGATTCCTCCCGTTTTAGAGTAGAGCCATTTCTGTTTTAGAGCTGCAGAGGCAAAATCAAATGGCTTTCCTTTAGGATCCATCAAATTACATGGATGGTTTATGATCATCATTCCCTTCTCTCTCTCTAGACAAGAAAGTCCTTTCCCAAGTTCAGGCAGGTTGGATCTCAAAGAAATGTACTCTGATCCCACAGATCACATTCAGGAATTTCCAAACCTGTCAGTCCCTGTTCAGGGAGCTTGCTTGAGTATAGAAACAAACAAACCAACAAGCAAACAGACCTTACATAGTAAATACAGGCAATATGCTGAAATTGCTGCTTGTAGCAGATTGTATGGGTTCAAGGAATAAAGTGGTTTTAAAGCTAGCTTGGGTGACATCGTAAATGATACATGAATAATGCTTATCCCTGAATGCTGTTCCATGGAGCTCTGGCCTTGGCCCACTGCCACCTTTCTCTTCAGCTGGTCTAAACATGTAGCTTTACCTGCCACCTGTTTGTTCATGACCCCCACATCTACATGGACACTTAGCCTTCTTTTCTGAGCCTCTGCCTCTATGGTACTGTCATACCTACTGTATCCCACAAATAAACTTAAATGTGTCCAAAATTGAGGCATCATCTCTTTCCCTCCCCTTTGCCCTCCCCCTCCCAAATAAAACCTGCTTCTCCTACCCTCACCTTCATCCTGGTCTCAGTTGGTGACACCACCATCCAGAAATTTACAGGTCATCTGGGACTCCTCCCAACTCATAACCCTGCATCCAATTAGCCATCTAGTTTGGTTGGAGAGCCATCCTCTCCAGCCCTCCCTTTGTTCTGGTTCTTCTCACCCAGACTATGTCAACAACCCCCTGATTGTTTTTCCTGTCTCCAGGCTTATACTTCCCACAGAGTAATGTATCTAAAATGCAAATCTGACCCAGACACTTCTCTGCTTGGATTCCTTTTGCAGTCATAATAAATCCCAAGCTCTCATCAGGACTTAAGTCCTCCCATGACCTTGTCCTTACCTCTCTCATATCTCCCTACCTCACGCTTGAGCAGCAATAAACTGCTGATACTTCGCCACACATACTCTGTGTTTCACACTCTGCACTGGATCTTTGCCATTCCCACTGCCTCTTCATCTTTTTTTTTAACCTGGCTAACTTATGCATACTCAAAGTTCATTCAGGTATCATGTATACCAGTGCTGTCCAATAGAGCTTTCTGTGATGATGAAAATGTTCCATAATCCTCACTGTCCACTATGGTAGCAACTAGCCACATGATTATTGAGCATTTGAAATATGGCTTATAACTCCACCCTGTGGTCTAGTGCTTAGGGTTCTGTGTGTTTGTGGCTGCAGCCCAGGTTTGAAATGCGGCTTGTTTCAATTAATTTAAATTTATGTAGCCACATGTGTATAGATTCTGTACATTTACTTCTTGGGCTCTTGCTATGTGTTGAGTGTTGGTAAGGCCTAGAGAATACAGTCAAAGAATTATTCTTTTCATGGTATTAATAGTCCAGTGGAGAAAACAGATATTAAACAGTAATTTCAAGTATGCAATATGAGACACAGAGAATTACAAAGTGTAGGGATCTAACCCAGCTTTGGGAGGTTGTATTAGTCGGCTAGGGCTGCTGTAACAAAATAGACTGG
This sequence comes from Homo sapiens, assembly GCF_000001405.40. NCBI lineage: Eukaryota > Metazoa > Chordata > Mammalia > Primates > Hominidae > Homo > Homo sapiens. The sequence continues at coordinate 113,318,319 of NC_000011.10, forward strand.
CTGGCTTAAATGACAAAACTTTATTTTCTTAGAGTTCTGGAGTTTAGAAATCTAAGACCAGGGTGTGAGCAGGTTTGGTTTCTTCTGAGGCCTCTCTCCTTGGCTTGCAGATGGGCACCTTCCCGCTGTGCCCTCACATGGTCATCTCTCTGTACGTGCATATATTTGGTGTTTCTCTTCTTACAAGGACACTAGTCATATTGGATTAGGGCAATGATTAGTTACTTCTTTAAAGGCCCTATCTACAAATACAGTCATACCAGGAGTTATAGCTTCAACATGTGAATTTTTGGGGGGGATGCAATTTAGTCCATAACAGAAATTAAATAAAGTTTTCCAGAAGAAGTGAGATTTAGGCAAAATGTGAAGAGTGAGTCGGAGTTGGTCACTGGGAAAATGACAGGGGAGTGTCCTGGGTGGGAAGTAAGGAGGTAGGAAAGCTAAGAGTGAAGAAAGAGTGTGGTGCTTTTGAGGAACTAAAAGAATAAAAAGCCCCAAATGTCTGGAAAGAAGAGATCAAGGAGAGAAGAGTCCCATCTGAATATGGAGGGGCCAGATTAGGAAAGACCTTGGAAACCATGGTAAGGAATTTGTGTTTACCGAGAGCAGTAAATCAATTCCATCTAATTTATGTAATGACTCTTCCCCCAAGGAGGTGGAGCATCTCTACCCCTTAAATGTGAGATACATTTAGTGACTTGCTTCCAAAGAGTACAGTATGGAAAGGGAGGGAAGAAAGTAACTTTACAGTGGAAAAGGTTGGCAAACACAATTTCAGATAGATGATCAAGGTTAACCTCCTGATAAATCACACTGATGGCATGCATCCCTGATACGCCATAATGTGCCATGGTCTTTTTCCCCAAATCCTGTAACTCCAGTCTAACCGTGAGAAAAATACCAGATAAACCCAAATTGCAAGGTATTCTATGCAAACTCATAGAATGTCAAGGTCATCAAAACTGTCAAGGTCATCAAAATAAGGAAAGGGTGAGAAATTGTCGCAGCCTAGAGAAGCCTAAGGAGACATGACTAAATGTCGTGTAGTGTTCTGGATGGGATCCTGGAATAGGAAAAGGGCATTAGGGAGAAAAAACAATGAAATTAGAATAAAGTGTGCAGTTGAGTTAATTTAAAAAAAAGTTAATTAAAAGACATGAAAGAAGAGCTAAATAAATGGAGACGTATTTAATCCTAGGAAGACTTATTTGGTAAAAATGTCAATTTTTAAAATATTCTATGCAGTAAATACAATTTAGATCAAAACCCGCAAAGTAGTATGTACTAAAATTCAGCAAGCTGATTCCAAAGTTTACGTGGAAGAGCAAAGGACCAAGAAGAGCCAAGAAAACTCTGCAGGAAAAAAAAAAAAAGCAGGACAACTTTCCCTACCTGACATTCAAGATTTATTATAAAGCCATAGTAATCAATGCATGGAGGTTTTCGTGCTGGAAAGGACAATCAGGGGAAAGGAATGAAGAGCCTGGAGAAGATTTGCACACATAACAGGGATGATGAGACACATTGCTGGCAGGGACTTCTCAACAAATAATGCTCCTGCCCTACGTGAAAGTCAACTCTAGGTGAATTACATACCTTAGTAAGAAAAAAACTTTAAAACTTTTATAAGACACCATAAGAGAGTATATTTATAACCTTACTGACACAAAAGACCTAAATTGTAAAGGAAAAGATGGTATATTTAACACACTAAAATTAAAAAGAAAATCTCTTCAACAACATATTCCATAAAAACAAATGAAAAGACAAAGAATACCCAAGGGGAAGATGTTTGGAAATACATGTAACCAGTCCAGAATATATACAACTGATACGGGTAGGAGATGGGAATAGTGGATAGAAGAGGGTGGTTCCCTGGCAAAGACCCCACCCTCAAGCCGGGAGATCTGCAGCGCTAAGTGGAAACAGGCATTTCTGTTTTCGTGCCCAAAAAGTTGCCTTTTGGCCTGCCATGCTCCCCTATCCTGTGCCCATGTAAACTCTGAACCCCAGGCTCCAGAAGCAGACGAGCAGGTGAGATGAGGACACAAGCAGACAAATGGCAGAACGACACAGTAGAGAAAAGAGGAGGAATGTCTGAACGCCGAGAGGAGTTTGGCTGGGAGCAGCCAGAGGGGAGTTGGGCCACTGGATGGCCAGGCTCCAGGGGAAGATCATCTTTCCCCTCCATTCCCCCTTCCAGCTCCCCATCCATCCCACTGAAAGCCACCTCCACCACTCAGTAAAACCCCACATTCATCCTTTAGTCCTGTGTGTGACCTGATTCTTCCGGGGATGCTGGGCAAGAGCTCGGGATACAAAAAGCTGTCACTTCCCTCTGCCCTTGTGAAAAGGCAGATGTCCGTCAAGCTGGTTAACAATCAAGTCGTCCGCAGATGGCAGGGCTAAAAGGACACGCTGTAACACGTGCCCAACTGGGCTCCTGCACTTGTCCGTCTGCGTTCTCCCCCTCCCCTCAGGGGTTTGAGCAGTGGTGGTGACTAAACAGGCAAGCCACACCCCTGTCGCATGTCCTGCGAGGGGGATCAGAGAACTCCCCTGTTTCACAATCAAATCAACCAGGCATGGTGGTGTGTGCCTGTAGTCTTTGCTACTCAGGAGGCTGAAGCAGGAGGATCGCTTGAGCCCAGGGGTTCAAATCGAGCCTGGACAACATAGCAAGACCATCTCTTAAAAAAAAAAGAATTTTTTAAAAAAGAAATTATATTAACTAATAAGAAAGAGACAATGACCCAATAGAAAATTGGCCAAGGATAGGAGTAGGCTCTTCGTAGAAATCCAAATGGGTGCAAATCAATAAGAAGATGCTCAATTCCAATCAAATTCAGCGAAATGCAAATTAAAACAATGAGATACCATTCCCATCCATTACATTGACAACAATTAAAAAGTTTAACCCAGCAAGTGATGATAAGAATGTAGAAGAATGGGAACTTCCTCTTGTACTCTTTTGTAGGAGTAAAAATTGGTACAGCCATATCCTGAAGGATATGTAACATGTGCACAAGGAAATATGTACATACAGGTATTCAATTCAGCATTTATTTACTTTAGAAAAAACTGAAAAACCACCTGGCTATCAATAAGAGAATGGATTAACTATGGTATATATAATGGTTTAAATGAATCAACTGGAACCATGTGTATCAAGAACACATCTCTAAAGCATCTTAAGAGAAAAAAGTAGGTTGCAAATGAATGCACATTTTATACAACTATTTTAAAAAATTGTTTAAATATTACATACACAAATATTCTGGTAGATTGCAAGAATGGTTACAAATTCCTTTCTTCCCATCAAGAGTGGAGCCTATTTCTCTGCCACTTGAATCTGGGTTGGCCATGTGTGTTGCTTTGGCCAAAAGGATGTTTGCAAACATGACACAAGCAGAGGCTTGAAAAGTGCATTTGAATTAGGGCTTGCACTCATACCACTCATGAGAAAGTAAGACACACTTACCCGGGTTGCTTGCATTTCTCAAGCCAACAGCCAGCAGACTTTCTAAAGCAGAGCCACTTAGATGACTGACAGTTGACCATGGATATATGTGTGAGTCCAGCTGAAACCAGAACTGGCCAGCTGAATTCAGCTCAAATTGTTGACATAGATAATTGTAAACTAAGCCACAAAAATGGTGGTTTGTTTCAAACCACTAAGTTTTGATGTGGTGTGTGATGCAGCAAAATCTAAATGATACAAATACTAAGTATTAAAGCATGCTGGAGAAAAGATACCATCAACTTATAAATGGCATAGAAACAAAAATATTATATTACTTTCGGTATGCTTGAAATATTGTACAATTAAAAATTTATAATTTCCTTGAAGACTCAGTGGGAAATGAAGAAATTAGAACAGGAAAATGAATTAAGAAGTTTAATTGTGAAGGGGAGGAGACAGAGCATTAGGAGAGATTTAAAGTACATAATTTAGAAGGAAGCTGGTCGAATGGAATAGGTTGAAAATATTGCGCAATAGGATTATTAATTGGTGATGCAGCGTTCCTGATTATGCAAAATATGACAATGGAATCCTGGGCCCAGGATGAGGGACTAACCTTACAGAAGAATGGGCACCTTTTCCTGGTAGTAAGGAAGGATGGATGTAGGTATAGGCAGTTTTGTAGTTTTAATAGCAGGAAGTCGATGGCATCTCTTTCCTCTCTGAATTGATAAATAAGGGCATCTTTTTGAGATGGTCAGGTTTAGATTGCAAACTGTTAAAAGTCATTGGGGGAGTGACAGGATATCTTGCCCAGGATAACAAGGATTGCTGGGCATCACTGAAGGTCCAGTTGAGTTTGAGTTTGGACCAGTCCCCCAGGCATCTATCTGTCTCCCTCAGTACATAGCATTCCTAATGCAGACTGGTAGAATTGGGTAATTGGAATTATGTAGAGCTGGAATTTTGTCTGTTAGGTGAGATAGCAGGGCAAGGGAGTTGAGTATATGGGCAGGATGGCTGCTGAGTGATTGACCATGGAATCTAAGCTGGATAAGCAGTAAAGTGAAGACAGGTGAGGATAGGGTTAAGGGCTGCTGTTTTGCGATTTTGAGCTGCCTGTACTTACATGTTTGTCTCCCACACAAGTTCATAAACTCTTCAAAAAAGGATCTTTTTTTATTCATCATTGTTATCTATAGCATCAGCATAATATCTAACTCATAATGAGCTCTCCATAAATTATTGTTGAATTGAATAATGGCTTAAAACTCTGTTCCTTAAAGCTAATAGCTATACTCACCTGCAACTTTTTCTAGGCAAAAAAAAAAAAAAAAAAACCTGTTGTTAATTTTTTCTCATTGGTTCTGCTTGCTCTATTTTGCTTTCTATTGCTCTATTTTTTTCTTTAAGATCTTTCCCATGCATTTTATGCACCATCCTTTCTAGTGAATAGAGTCTTTTGAATATCTTGTTTGATTAAGTCACACCTGATTTCTTCTCTAGCCAATTTAATTCAGGAGATGAATTCTGATGACCCAGTTGTGCAACAGAAAGCTGTCCTGGAGACAGAAAAGAGACTACTGCTTATGGAGGAAGACCAGGAGGAGGATGAATGCAGGACCACCTTGAACAAGACTATGATCAGTCCTCCACAAACTGCTATGAAGGTTTCTTTTTCTATTGAGAAGTTATATAAGTACTTACAGTGAGAAGACCTACACCTAGGCAGTAGTTTAATCTCAAACTGTCCAGCAAGGCTGAAATGGTCTTTTGTTTCTTAGATTTATTTTTTATAAGAAAGTATAAAATTTGATTTTTTTTTTCCTTTGATCTTTCTGGGTTATCTTTAAACAACCCTTTGGATCTATTTTAATGGAAATTTCCCCTCTCCACCCCCTGAGCTTGTGTGATATATTTAAGCTGTACCTTTAAGGTAATGTATTCTAACTCATTTCCAACTCATAAGCCACAGCTGAGGTCCCTTGACCTGGGCAGCCTTGTTTTGCAGACTCGGTCCCATAGCAATTGTGCCCATACTCAGATCTCCTGATTTAAAGCAAGCCCCATGAATTCTGAGCCCTTCAGTTTTGATGGTTAAAAGAAATGACCTCTTGTTTGTAATTGATTTGCCTTCTTGGTTTATATACATATAAATTAGAGTGGTTTTTGAAATTTGTTTCTTTGTTTTTATGGTAACCTACGTCTACAGAGTGCAGAAGAAATAAACTCAGGTAAGGACAGCATCTCTCTTCCCAATTTTCATTCTTTATATAGGACCAGTTTTGATTGATTGTAGCTCCCAGACCCTTAAATTATTGCCTTTGAGCTTACAAACAACCTGTGAACAAAAACCTACTGATCATCCCATTCTGTTACTAGTGATCAGCGGGAATGTCCCTGAGAGGTTTTTCTTTATTTTCTCTTGGTCAACCTTTTGTAAACTCAATTCAGTTATTCTGTATCATCCAATTTACCCTGTTCAAGGGATCCAGATAGTTTCTCTGTTGCTCAGCTCAGAAGCTCATTATGCTAAACGGAACAAAAAAATCTCTCTTCAAAGAAAAACTCTTTTAAAAGACATAATTCAAATTTGAAGCACAGTCATAGCCATCATGTGTAATAATGCATCACACAGATTACCATTTAATGTCAAATGAAGAAAATGTCATTTTAGTTGCCTCAGAATGGTGTGTGTGCGTGTGTGTGCCTGTGTGCATATGCATACGTGTGGCTCTAAAGTAACACTTCGAATTTGAGCTAAAGAACTGATTATAGTATTTGGATTTTTCTTTTTAATATCTGAAATTACCCTGCTGTCAGAGGCCTTCTTGGCATCTGTGGAGAAGGATGCAAAGGAACGAGCCAAGAGAAGAAGGGAAAACAAAGTCTTGGCGGATGGTAATTGTCAGTCCTTACTTTTCAATGGCTGGGATGATTTGTGCTAGAAAGAGCACACGAAGGCCTGTATGCTGACATTTGAGGACATCTAGATTCCCAGTGGTGAGGTTTGTGATGGGCTTGAGGCAGTGGGACCTGGCCAGAAGGAAATCATTGATGGTCTGTTCTCTGTTCCTGCTGCAACAAGCAGAGGGTAGGATACACCTACCTCCAGTGAAACCTCTTTCTGAAGCTTCCCTGTGCACTTAGCAGAGCAAAGTGAATTGTACTAAACAATGCTCAGGAAGTAGTGGGGGGTGAGAGTGAGCTGCCACTGGCTAGCCTAAGGCATAGATGAAGAAGTGGAAAAGAAAAATAAAACAGCTGTGAGATAGGAGAGGAGACATCAAGGAAAAGGAAGGGATGGGATTGTGTATGTTGCAGGGAGATACATATGATAGAAGAATGTTTTCACTTTTATTTTATACCACCCAGGGCTGTGTGTGCTGCAGGTCTGAATGATTCCATATTTGTTGGGAAAATTAATTATTTGACCCTCTTTATGAGACACCGAATGCACAGATTTGGTCTCTGTGGCAAGCTTAGTATGGTTCTCAGCCTCAATGCAGAAACATTTACTTTTTCTGAGAATCTACTTAGAAGACATGGGTGGATTTGGAGGAAAAAAAATACTTGAAGAAGCTGGTCCTGAAGTATCTGCAGAAAAAAACAAGTGTCAAGTCCCTTTAGGATCGATAGAAGTGAAGACCTTCGAAATAGAATTGGAAAATCGGGGGAATAAAGTCTGAGAGATTTTCTGATGTGTGGTGAGAGCTCACCTGTGTAACTTATATTCCCATAGCCCTAAAAGAAAAAGGGAATGAAGCATTTGCTGAAGGCAATTATGAAACAGCTATCCTGCGCTACAGTGAGGGTTTGGAGAAGCTGAAGGACATGAAAGTGCTGTACACCAACCGAGCCCAGGTCAGTGAGGCAGGGATGTATCCATGGGGCTTTCTCAGGGAATAGTTGCCACTAAACTTGGGAAAACAAAGATGAGGCTAGATGTTGGGCTGGGAAATGTTTATAAGAACTGGCTCTTGTTTTAAGTGTGGGAGGAGCTGACTTATACACAGCATTTACCAGTTTCCATGATGCAAATATTCTCACCATGATCTAATTTGGAATCACTGCAGGAGGACTTGGGAAGAGCTGTCCATTATCAGCTCTCTCCATAGTATAAGTCAGCTCCATCATATCACTGATGGTGACCATGCACTTGTCCCTGTGGATAAAGGAGAAAACTAGTGGAATGAAATGACCTATGGGACCTTAGAATTCTGCTACCAACATATTTCTTCAGCCTCCTTTTTTGGTACTAGTCTTAACTCCTAGCGGATGCCCACCTGTTAGTTTCTCATTCATTGTATCAGTCTCTCTTTAAGATTCTGCGACAGGGATAAAGTGGATAGCCAATGGTCCTGGAGCCAATTTCTTGGAAATTTTGGGTTTCTGAAGGTTTTTATGCATTAGTATATGTCACAAATGAGCTCAATTTCCTGGAACACCAGGTAAAAACCACCCAGATGTTTATTTACTACTTAATGAAGGGATAGGCTGATAGCTCTCAACTGAAACAAAACCATCACCTGTGACCTTATCTTTGAAAAGTAGTTTAGTTTTTGTGTGGTAGAGTTCTCTGCTGGACAGGCCTGAAAAATTGGCAGATTCATGGACATGATTACCCCATGGTCAGAATATGTCAGCAGGACCTGTGTGAGGTGGACTTGATGCCCTGTCATTTGCAAGAGGGAGAGGCTCAGCAGAGTCCTCATCAGCTCTAATTTCCCTAACTCGAGTTTAAGAATGTCTGGCTCTGGGATGTTGAGGAAGAGGACTGGAAGCAAGAAACAGGACATTCGGAAGCCGAAACATATGGGGAGTGACAGTGACTTAATGATAAATAAATCCAAGCAGTATAATCTCACTAGTTTAGCAATTTGGATATGTTAGACTAGAGTTGAAGTGTCATTTAAACTATCCCAATTTTGGAGAAAACTTGTTATAAGGAAGTGAATCGGTAAAAAAGATGGCCAGAGGTTGATTTAGCAGTACATTGCATTACCCGAACAAGATTATAAACTTTTTGAGGGCAAAAACTGCCATATACTTTTTCCCCTAATGCTTTATTTATAGCAGATGTTCAATAAATCCTTTTTTAGTTACATAACGTTAAAAGCACAATAAGTCCAATTAAGGGAGTTAAGTTTCTGTTGACAATTCAGAGGCATCACTTAAATGCAAGCAATTAATAGAATAATTATAGTTCCTTCTTATTTATTACCAAATTTGGTCTCTAAAAACATCTGCCTACTGATGCTTATTCAGTTGTGTTACTCTGAAATTATTTGAAAGCAACAAAATTGAATTGCTTTAAAAAAGTTATATAATTTCAGACATATCTAATTCAGACTGTCTATACTCTGATTCATCTAAATTATATTTTCACTGCACTCATTTTTAAGCAGCACTTTGATTAGTTCTGAAGAATCACATTAAGAATGAATGTGGATAAATATAAGGAAATGTAATGAAAAGGTTTGAGGGAGTGATTCCTCTCAGCTTTCCCAAGGAGAAAGCTTATGCAGAGACAAAATAATGGACAATGTGCTCCCTGGTGTTACAAACCGTTTGAACCATTGACTATTTTTAAAATGCTTCCCCTGTATGCATGCAGTGTCAGAAAACACTTAATAAGGACCCTGTAAATTGAGTGTTGCTTGCTAGAGAGAAAACCTAACCTTTCATTGCTTTGTTTTTCCCCTGGAGTTAATGTTATGATCAATAGATTGCCGGTATAATTTAGATAAATCTGGAGTTTAATTGCTGTTTGGAAAAAGTAGTTCCTTTTTAAAATGTGCAAAAGCAAAAGAGATTGAGGAAGTTATAGGGTGTTTAATCCAAGCCTTAAGAGAGAAAGAAAAAAAAAAGTAAAAGGCTGTGTAGAGAAATTGTTGGAACCCATAAAGACTTCTTCAGAGTCTGCATGTATCCTAAATAATAGTGCCATGAAATCATGGCCACAGCTGTCTAGAATGATGCCAGCTTCCTCTTCACATCCTCTAATTTTCAAATGAAACCTGAGACCCTGGAGAAAAGGATGATGCTTTACAGAACAGATAGCTCAAAGAGTCGTCTTCTCTAATTAGTACAGAACATGAGTTAATGAAAGCACCACTCGCAGCTTCCTTGCTATGGGAGCCAAGAGCGGCATGATTTCAATTCATTTGCTGGCTGTTGCCTACTCCCTCCTCACTTGGGTTGGATACTTGGATTCCCTGTGAGTTGCAACATTGACCCCACAATTGGCTTGTCCATGTAAGTATCTCATGAGGTTCGTTGTTAAGATTGTGTTGCAGTGCCCTGGTACAGTTTTGATCATGGACAATCCTATGTGTAGTACTGGCTTTATTATTGGTTGCTGATGGAACCCTGGAAAAGCCACCACTCCTGGTGCTTGGCTATCCTTTCGTACAAATGGGATGATCGATGCTGCCTCTCAGGGAGCTTTCCAGAAGAAGAGTGCTTCAGAGTTACTTAGTGCAATTTGATAAGACTTTATTGACCACTTACTGTGTCCAGTAATTAATAGAGAGGTTATAGTAGCCATTGTGCTTGTTTATAGTCTTTCATTTGTTTATATTCCTCTAGTCCTTAGAAACATTGAACTAAGTTCTCAATCAGTTCAGTTTGAATGGATCACGGAATTCTGAGTCAATTCTTGATTTTCAAGATTTTCCCCAATTCTAGGGGATTCTAAAAGAGTGCCCCAGGCATTTGATACTAAGGCTTCATGGTGATGCTCTGACTCTCATATGTCACTCTACTTCTTTCATTTTTTTTTTCTGCTGTGCTCGGGAGGACAGAAGCAGAGCTTTATTATCTTTTGATAACAGCGTTATTGAGATATAATTCACATACCATACAGTTCACCCTTTTATAGTACACAATTTAATGGAATTTTAGTATAATCACAGAGTTGTGCAACCATCACAATCAATTTTTGAACATTTCATCATCATCCCCCAAAAAAGCTCCATCTTCAACTGTCAACTCCCCCAATCCTCCCATTACTACTCCCAGCCCAAGATAATCACCAATCTACTTTTTGTCTCTATACCTTTGTCTGTTCTGGACATTTTATATAAATGAAATCATACATTTGTCCTTTTATGACTGGCTTCTTTCATTTATCGTAATGCTTTTAAGATTCATCCATGTTATAGTATGTATCAACTCCTCTTCATTTCTTTTTATTGCTGAATAATTTTCCATTGTGTGGATATACCATATTTTATGTATCCCTTCATCACTGATGGACATTTGGATTGTTGCCTTTTGACTATCATGAATAATTCTGCTATGAACATTCATGTGTAAGCATTTGTATGGATGTATATTTATATTCTTCTTTGGTATATACCTAGGAGTAAAATTACTGGGTCATATGGTAACATATTTAACCTTCTGAAGAACTTCCAGGCTATCTTCCAGATGGGCTGTGCCATTTTAATGCCCACCAGCAGTGTATGAGAGCTCTAATTATCTGTCTTTTTTATCCCCTTTATCATTTGGTGTTTTTCTGGAACATTCACAGCAGGGTAGACTCCAGAATCCAGCTCTTCCTTCTTGGATGTGGCTAGTGAGCTGGGTATTTTCTCTGTCCCTCTAGATCCTTCCCTGCTTTGTGCCCTGGAGGGCTGACCTGTGTGGACTGGCTCCTTGGCTTCCTAGCCCTCTAGCTTCCATTTGCATTCAGCCAATAAAATGAGAAGGAAGGAGGAAAAGTGAGATTGGGGTATTTATTCTCCTGGCCTTCGGCTCTGGTGAAGGCCTCAGCTCATGTCAGGCAGTTCTTTTCGCAGAGCTGTCCTCCCACATTTTGTTCATTGCTCCCTCCTTCTGCCCCTTCCATTACAGCAGTGGTAATGGCTGTCCACTGTTGCTAGCCCTGCGATTCTGTAGCATCCCTTGTCAGGTTCCCTAAGCCCTGCCTTCACCGTGGAAGAGGTCCCTGTATTCAACTCTCCTCAGTTGCCCAGTGCAAGTGTGCCATCTGTTTCCTGGCAGGACCATGACTGATCCAGGTAGGGGATAGTTCTCGCTGACATTCTACTGTTCGAATGTTCTTTCTGTGTGAACTGAAAACTGCCTGATGCAGAATTGTGTGTGAATATCAGCTGTTGGTTTCATTACAGGCTTATATGAAACTTGAGGACTATGAGAAGGCACTGGTGGATTGTGAGTGGGCTCTCAAGGTAAGAGGGTATTTCTTTTCCCACATGATAGTGTTGGGCTGAAGTAGATAGAAGGCAGCTGCCAGTGTATCAAGATAGGAAAGGGTATAGCCTCTGTAGCCAGAGCTTCAGTTTCCTCATCTGTAGAATGGGATAGAATAGAATTGTTAGGAGGGTCACGACAATGCACAGAAAGTGCCTAGTTCCTAGAAAGCAATCCAGGGAGCTGCTGCTATTGAAGTTTCAATGTCTTATTTTACTTCAGCTCCTTCTTTACTATTGTGTTATCAGACACTTGGTTCTATGTGGTAGTGGAAATGCCTCCTTCTGTCTTCTAGAGCCAGCCATTGGAGCTTATTTCTGCAATGCTGTTCTTCCTTGTCAGTTTGTGTTTTTTCCCTCCAGCCCTAGTAATTTGGAAATATAACATCCTCTATTTGTAGAGGAATAATCAGAAGAAAGAATTCCTATTTTTCAACTTTAGTCAGGCCTTGAGCAGATAAAATAATTCTACACATGGCATTTCCTCTGAAATCTGCCAAAATAGATGGTCAAGGATGCATAGACATAAAGACTATTGGTGGAAATGTTAAGAGTTACTAAAAGAGAAATAATACGATCACTTTTTAGGGACATGACCAAATATTTAAGTAACCCTTAATCCACATTCCCCTAAAGTACTCTGTCACGGGGGTTTTAACTAAGTAACCAAAACTAGTGCTTCTCAGACTTCTGCACTATGCTGCTAACAGCAGAGGAGAATGAACATGAGCCCCTCGAGAGGGACTAGAAGCAGAAAGCATGAAATTTCTTTTAAGATGTGTGTTTTACCTGAAAAACCTTGTTAATTTTGCACAGCACTTCATAAAACTTATCTTTGTTTTGATATAACAGCATGATTTTCAATAACTTAGAATCAAGTAAAATTGAGGTACCAGGAGAATGTGCCAGGTTTATCCTGTGGCTTCAATTCTTGGGTACAGCACACCTACCCTAGCCTAATGAGTATGTCCCAAAACAAGAGGACACTTCCCTAGCAGCATACTGGCCATATCTGCTTTATTTCTTATTGAGAGGGTAAGCAAAGGAAACAGAGATGAATGAGAAAGTCACCTCTGCTTATAATCATTCATAAAACACTAGGGATCCTCTAACACTGACATCTGGAGTATCCAATTTCTTTATCCCTTAGAAGATAAAATGTGTGGCAAATTTTGTCCCATTGCACAGGTATAGTCTTTAAGTTATAAGAGTTGCCCAAAGCTGATGACGTCAAGCTCCTCACAGCTCCATCATAGATCCACTAACCTGCTTTGTCGCCTTGCTTGATAATGGTTTATTTTTCTACCATTATTCTGCAGGAGAAGAGAGAGGCAAGGATGTTTTCCTTGGTTTTTCCAGTAATAACAGCAAACAACATCATTTGCTGCATGCTCACGAAATTCTATTCTGTTCTGTTCAGTGTCACTATTTTCTCTATTTTTCTGACAAGGAAATCAAGCCTCAGTGATTGATTAAGTAACTTGTGCAGGATCATGAAGCTAGTGTCTGTCTAACTCTAAGCCCTTGCTCTTAAACCTCTATAAAGGGCCTCTCCACTGCAACTTTAAACCCCGTAATCCCTGGGTGTGGATGTCATTCCCTTCTATGGAAGAAACACGATCTCCTCACAGGTTCACCAAGAGTATCTTTTCTGATCTGAAAAAGGCCAAAGGGGCAGACATACCATCATGCTGATTCAGGATAACAGGCTGGCCTGTTCCCAAATGTTAATTGAAGTACAATGTAATTAACGGTGAAACCGAGGCCAAGCAGGCCCAATGGAGCTGACATTAAAAAACACTGACACTCAGCAGCCAATCTTGTTAAATGCCCAGCGAGGCTCCCAGTTGAAGAGATTGGGTAAACACTTGGAGAAATGAGAAAAAAAAATGTACAAAGAGTTCTAAAAACTAATAATGATTTGTTTTATGTTGCAGCTGTGAATTAAAAGAAAAGCTTTTGCTCTCTTTAAAATTAATGTATCAATAGTGAATGTCACTGGCACTCCATTACTAATAGTATTAGTACTTTCATGCCAATTTAATCTTTTTGGACACTTTTAAATTGGTAGAGACAAGCTTATGTGATGATATTTCAAGACTGATGTTTCTTGTCAAGGAAGATAAGGCAGCAAAGCTGGTTTCAATTAGGACCAGAATCATTTCTTTCTCAGCAGAACACTTCTTGCACAATGAAATACATCTTCCTCTGAAGGCAGGATTCCTTTAAAGGGAAGCTGGGGTTCACCCAAGAAAATTCTCGTGAGGGTCGACACATGATCAAAGGAGAGTGGGCCTATTCGTGAGAAAAATCCATTAGTAGCCTTTTGCGTCATTGTCTGAGGAAGGCAAAGTCACAACTATCTGCACTTCACGGTGACACACGATAGGCTGGGGGACAAGGCTTTAATGCTTGGGGCTCGGTTTCCCCCGCCTGCTGTAACCCCGGTGCTCTGCCAGTGAATGCACTGTGAATATTTGGCTTTCATGAGCTGAAGTGCTAGAGTTTCCTCTTTTCCCTTTGACCATTCCTTTCCTGCTTCCTCAATTTTATCCTTTGTGAATTCATGAGGGGTCACCCCTCTGCTCCCCGTCTTTCGTCTCTCTACAGTTACTCCCTTACAGCTCTCTTCTCCTCTCATGGGCTCAACTCTCATCTCTGCAAAAGGCTCTCAGACCTACTTCCCCAGTCTCCCCTTCCCCAGCTCCAGGGCTGCATGTCAGCTGCCTCCTGCAGGTGCCTTTTGATAGTCTTGATGTCATCTGAAACTCAGTATGTCTAGAAGCCAACTCTTCATCTTCTCACTCAGACTTTCCCACTCCCTGCCCTAGCTGACCTCTTTCCGTTAATGACACACCATGTCTTTCAGGTATCTAGGCCCGTGGTTTTGACTTCACATCCTCCATATCCCTTATCATTGATAGTTAGTTGATGCTGGTCAGATCTTTCTTTGACATAGCTCTGGCATCCTTTCCCTCCCACTCTCACCAGGACTTCAGATATTAGCCCTTGTTCTAAGTGATTGTTCTGGTCTCCTTACTCATCTCTCATTGTTCAGCCCACCATACCTCTTGTTCAGCCATTCCCTCCTCTGATCATGTCTGCGTGCCACCTTCCTACCAGCTTACCTCCACACTGCCATTGGTGACTCACCCTCCTCCAGTGTGGCATGCAAGGCTACCATATGGTGTTGCCATTTAGCTCAAGATGGGGTCTGCTCTCCACCCTGCACCTGCCCCTCGATCCCAGCTGGACCGTCCCCGGAGCCCCCTATACTCTCCTCACTCAGGTTCTTGCCCAGCCCACTCTCCCTCCATCCTCCTCTCTTCACCTCTCTGTGTCACTAAGACTCAGCCCAGATCCCTCCTTTGCATGCCCTTTTAAAGACTGCATTTTAGAGAATATTTTCTTCCATTGATTTTTTTCAGTAGCATTTTCTGTAGCATTTATATGCTTTTTTCTGTAGCACCTTTCTGAAGGAGATTTGGTGTCATTTTTAAACCCTTGAGAGTTTAATGGCCAGATTTCAAATTCCAGCTCTTCCGCTTGTTATCTGTGTGACCTTGGGCCTCTCCAACCCCTAGTTTTCACATCTATAAGATAGGGATAATAACTGTATCTGCTTCATAGAGTTGTTATAAAGCTTCTGTGAGATCATCCATATGAACCATAAAGCTCAGTGCCTGGCACATGGTTTGGGCTGAACAATCATGCACATTTATTTTTATTATGACTTCCATTCACTTAGCAGTGAATTGAGAAATGATATACACAAAAGTGTATCTCTAAAAGCTTCTCCAACAATTATTGTTCTCTCTTTTATTATTGTTGTTATTCTTCTCTCTTTTATTATTATTGCTCTTTTATTAAATTTAGATTTTCTCTTTTGCTCCGAAATGAATTGCTGCTGATATAACTGCAGCAATAGCAGCTAATACTCTGTTACCCAGAGCCACACCAAGTGTTTTACATAATTTCTTTCTCACAACAACCTGAGAGAGATACTATTATTGTCTTCATTTTCTAGGTCAGGAAAATGAGTGTCAGAAAAGTTAGGCGGCCTGGCCAACAACACGCCACTTCTGCTGAGTAGCAGAACAAGGATCCACCCCGGGACATTTTAGACTCCCGAGCTTGAACTCTTAACCTCTTCATATCTAAACCTTTGAAGGGCATCTGATTTGGCACAATGTCTTGCATATAAAAGAAGTTCAATAAATGTTCATCAACTGGATGTCTTAGATTTAGCGTATGTCTCTGTCAAATCATTCCCTGTGGAGTTAGAACAACTAGGGGCAGGCAGGTGCAGGGCCTCCTGTGTAAATGGTCTAGTTTCAGCCATAAGTTTCAATCCTGCCTTTTGAAGGGGGCATCCCTACTGATCTTAAGTAATATGAACAGAAGGTCCCAGTACACATGTTGTGGTTTATTTGGGAGGAGGGACTTCCCAGGTCCACTAAGATATAATGGTAACCTCAGCTGTTTTCTTAGAGTAAGTTCTCTTCTCTTCTAGTAAACCAGTGACTCTCAAACTTGCCTGCACATTTACCTCACCTAGAGAGCTTAAAAAATTATTGATGCCTGGGTCTTATCCCAGAGTATAATGTAATTGACATGGGGTGCAGGGCCGGCAGGATTTTTACAAGCATCCTAGATGATTCTAATGTTCTGCCAGTGTTAAGAGCTCTTCTAAACTGAGGGTTTGCTTCCTGATTGCATCTCATTAAATGGAAATGAAAACTGGCAGGTATCATTAATTAATTTGGTGAAGAGCTTGCTGCTGCATCCAGGCTCCTTGCAGGCATCAATTAGTTTGGTCACAAATGCATAAAAAAGTTTTGTCAACTCTGGTAGTTGCCCTGAGAATCAAAGTTTCGCCTTAACTCTTTTAGCTGTATAGTGAGGGGAGTGGCTAATGACTTCACATCTTCTAAAACTTCTGATCAGTCATTCTCTTTTATGCAGTGTGATGAAAAATGCACAAAAGCATATTTTCACATGGGAAAAGCCAACCTGGCCCTGAAGAACTACAGTGTGGTAAGTTCTTAGAGGAATGTAATTGACATGTTTGATCACAGACTGATGCTCCCAGTTGTGCTAGAGGAGAACCATGATTCTCCAAGCTGATTAGGTATTAATCCATCCTTTAGTATTTTCCAAGGTAAAGCTCAAGATCTTAAAGTTGGGAAGAATTTTGGGTGTCAGTTAGTTCAACTCCACCAGCTGTAGGACTCTCTTCTGCAACATCCTCTACCAGTGTTTGTTCAGTCTGTGGAGAGAAAAGACCTGAGCAAAAAGAGAAAACAAAATTTGCTGTAACCTCATCACCCAAAAGTAACCATGCAGATCAGTCAACCTGTCTATCTACCTATTTATCCATGCTAAGATATTATATATCGTTAAAAGTAGCTTTATTGAGATATAATTCACATACCACACAATTCATCTGTAGAATATACTAAAAACTATATGATTCAATAGTTTTTAGTATATTCACAGAGTCAGGCAGCCATCACCACAATCAATTTTAAAAAATTTTCATCCCTTCCTAGGAAAACCCCATACCCATTAGTAGTCAGTCCCCTTCCCCCAACCCCATCTCAACGTTAGGCAACCATCAGTCTTTCTGTCTCTATACATTTGCCCGTTCTGTAGATTCCATATAGAGTCATACGATCTGTGGTCTTTTGTAACTGAGGTTGTTCACTTAGTATAATGTTTGCCTGGTACATTTTTGTTGTAGTGTGTATCAGTTCTTCATTCCTTTTTATTGCTGAATAATATTCCATTGTTTGATACCATATTTTATTTATTTATTCATCAGTTAATGGACATTTGGGTTGTTTCCACTTTTTGCCTGCTATGAATAACACTGCTATGAACATTCATGTGCAGGGTTTTCTTTTTTATGTTTACAGTCCTCTTGGGTATATATCTAGAAGTGGAATAGCAGGGCCGTATGGTAACTCTATGTTTAACCTTTTGAGGAACTACCAAACTGTTTTTGAAAATGGCTGCAGAATTTTACATTCCTACCAGTAGTGTATGAGGGTTCCAGTTTTTCCACATCCTCTTCAATACTTGTTACTTATTTTTTTATTATAGCTATTCTAGTGGGTGTGAAGTGATATGTCATTGTGGTATTTGATCTGCATTTTTTTGGTGACTAATGATGTTGAGGATCTTTTCATGTACTTGTTGGCCATTTATATATTTTCTCTGGAGAAATATCTTCTTTTATAATGAGGTGTAAATGTTATTTATATATTCTGAATACAAGTTTCTTATCAGATACATGATTTCCAAATATTTTCTTCCACTCCTTGTATTGCCTTTTCATTTTCTTGATGATGTTCTTTGCGGCACAAAAATGTTTAAGTTTGATAAAGCCTCAATTACCTATTTTTCTTTGGTTGCTTGTGATTTTGGTGTTATATCTAAGAAAAGATCATCTAATCCAAGGTCAGGAAGATGTATACCTATATTTTCTTCTAAAAGTTTTATGGCTTTAGCTCTTAAATTTAGCTATCTCCAATCCATTTTGAGTTCATTTTTTGTATGATGTGAGGTAAGGGTTCAACTTCATTCTTTTGCCTGTAGATGTCTACTTGTCCCATTACCATTGAGTGATTTTGGCACCCTTGTCAAAAATCAATTGACCATAAATATATGGGTTTATTTTTGGACTTACAGTTTTATTCCATTGATCTACATGTCTGTCCTTGTGCCAGTACCACAGTGTCTTCATTTTTGTAGCTTTGTATTAAGTTGAGAAGTGAGAGCCTTCAACTTTGTTCCTCTACTTTTTCAAGATTGTTTTAACTATTCTGGTGCTCTCAAATTTCTATATGAACTTCAAGATTATCGTGTCGATTTTTGCAAAGAAACCAGGTGGAATTTTGATGGGTATTACATGAATTCATAAATCAATTTGGCAAGTACTGCTATCTAAACAATATTAAGTCCTCCTATCCATGAACATAGGATGTCTTCCCATTTATAAGATATGTCTTTAAAATAAATTGCTTCATATTGTACATTTTTTAAAAGTTTGTTGGACTTTAATTGTAAATGTAATACAGGCTTATTGTAATAAAGCCAAATAAAAGAAATGTGAATAAAGAAAATGTTAATCTTTCCCTGTCCACCAATTTTTATTTACTCATTCAATTCATTCATTCAGCAGATATTTATTGCATGCTTTCTATGTGTCAGACACTGTTAATACAGGCAATAAAGAATACATCAGTGAAACTAGACAAAGTCCTTGGCTTCATGGAACTCATGTTCTTGGGGTAAGGGTGACCAGGAGACAAAAAACAATCAAATAGATGTGTAGTGTGTTACATGTACTATGTTAGGTAGTGGTAAGTAGCATTGAGAAAAATCAGGAAGCAGTAAAGATGAGACTGGTTTTATATAGAGGGGTAAGAAAAGGCTTTCTAAAGGAATGGAGGGAGTGACGTGAGCAAACCATGTGGATATATAAGGGAATAAGTTCCTGGTGGAGGGATAGCTAGAATGCAGCCAGCAAGAGGAGAGCAACAGGAGATGAGGTCAAACAGGTGATAAGGGTAGAGAAGGGGCTGATCCTATAGGGCCCTACAGGCTTTTCAAAGGACTTTGGCTTTTACTTTGAGTGATCTTCAAGCTTTATTGAAGGATTTTGAGTAAAGGAATTAAATGATCTGACATATTTTAAAGGATTACTCTGACTGCCATGCCGAGCATGTGTTTTGGCATGGTAAGATAAGAACAGAGAATGAGTGATAAGGCTATTGCAATAAATATCCAAGCAAGAGGTGGTGATGGGGACCAGGTTGGTGGTGATGGAGGTGGTAAGAAGTGGTGGGATTTGGGATATTTACTGACAGTGAAGCCAACAAAAATTGTTGCTAGATTAGATCTAGGGTTGAAGAGAAGTTGGATACAGGGTCACTCTGATATATAGACTTCTGTTCCTGCGACACTGTTCTCTACTTTAATGTGTTATTGTTTTCCTTCAGTTTGTTTCTTAACTCTAGTCTTCTAGATGAACCTTGAACCTTCAAGATTATCTCAGAACTGTTTTGTTGTTGTTGTTGTTGTTGTTGTTGTTTTCTGAGCGTTTTCTCTAGGTGACTAGTTAGATTATACTCTGGGCAGTTCTTATATTCTTGTGAGAAATACTGCCCTAAGCCCAGGAATCCTATGAACTAGAATCTTCCTTTTTCTGGTAACTTTCTATCTAGCAGTTTCCTCAATGAGAAGCCCTCACTCTTGAGTTTTCCAGCTGACTCTTATGTGGCCAATAAATGGATCCCTTACCGGTTCTCTTCGCAGCTTGTACATTTAACTAGGCAGTTCTCTTTTCCTGTTCCCAAGTCTCTGTCAACATTGCCTCTAGCTTCATTTATTTCCTAACTCCATATGGACATATTTGACAGCCTCCTTTCTCAGTGCAAATATCATATCTAAGTTTTGCGTTTACTTTATGATTATTTCTATCCCAGACAGACATGATCCACAAGAATTTAGGACTGGATATTTTTCATCATGAGCATCTAAAATTCTTTAAAACTAATTTTGAAATAATTCCTGTTGCCCCCTAGAACTGGAGACGCCTGAACAAAAATGTCAAATGCACATTGTGTTCCTATGCCTGTCTCCTGCACTGGGAGCAGGAGGAGGTGAGGAGAAAATAATGAAGCAGCCAAGCCCAATGACACCCAGTGTCTTTCTCATAATCACCTTTACCCCAACCACTCTTCAAGGTCTTGTTTCTTTTTTCCAGTCTAGAGAGTGTTATAAGAAGATCTTAGAAATAAACCCCAAGCTGCAAACCCAGGTGAAAGGTGAGCACGTTCCTGCTGAGGTCCTTCATCTGAACTCCACCTCCCTCTGCCCCCTGCCTTAGAATGCCTTCCGTGCTTTCACTGCCCTTGGCCACTAGGCAGCGGCGGATCCTCTTTCCTGCACAGTTGGGTCCTCTGTGTTAACCAGCCCACTCTGCTCCTCTGTTTGCTGTGCTCCCTTGCAAATAGTAATATTTTCCTTCTTCATTTTCTACACCATCCTCCCTTAGACACTTTTAGACTCCCTTGAATCCCCAACAAGGTTTAAGATTCTGGTTGTAGATTTAGACTGTTTCTAAAATTTTCCTTGCTAACGAAGAGTTTTAATTATTTTAATGCTTTATGCTTCTCAAACTCCCATCCTCAAAAGAAAGGAAAAAAAAAGGTTGCTTCTTGTGTGGTATTGTTGATTGTTAGGGTTTTGTTTTGCTTTCCTTTCTTGTTTTTCTAGGTTACCTGAATCAAGTAGATCTTCAGGAAAAAGCAGACCTTCAAGAAAAGGAAGCCCACGAACTGCTGGATTCAGGAAAGAACACAGCCGTGACCACCAAGAACCTCCTGGAGACCCTTTCCAAGCCTGACCAGATCCCCTTGTTCTATGCTGGGGGGATTGAGATCCTGACTGAAATGATAAATGAGTGTAAGCCAGAGATGTGTGTGATCTCATGAGTGCTGTCAGTGTGAAGGGACACATTCAGAGGTCTGCCTTTACCAGGCCAAGAATCCCTCCCTTCCTTCCACAAATATTGATTAAAGATATACGCTAATGTAGCTGCTAAAAGGGGTGCACAAGAAATGTCCTCCGACTTCTGCTCCATCCTCTCTACAGAGCATGCGTACACTCAGCACACATGCAATAAACATACACAACACAACACGTACACGTGGCACACACTCGATATATACTTACATACACCACACATGCACTCAGCTTTCACTCACTTGAATATATCCTTGTATTACACACACACCACATACCACACACAGCACACTCACACCATAAGTACTCATGTCAGTCCACATATCCTGCGCACACTCCACCCTCACATTTTCACCACACACCCCATGCACATCCTGCGTGTACTCCACACATACCCCCACAGACACCTCAAGCATCCCATACCACCTCGTACACCTTCCCTCCACTGTGGAGGAATGGAAGACAGAATTTTGTAGGTTAAACTGTAAGGTTCACCCAGTTACAGTTAATGGCTGCATAGGATGTGAAAATGGTTTCAGAGCAAACATCAGCTCTCCTACTAATGAGGGCCATACTGTTCTCTTTTACTAGCTCTTGTAAACATTGTTACCAAGGCTTAAATAATCTCTATACTCAGTGACAGCATGTTGTTTGTACAAATAGATGGAGTGTCTGACTTCTCTTTAGTGTACAATGGAGGGCACACAAATATCCCCTTCAGCAGTTTCTTGGAGATTATAAATTCCTCTCTGGAGCTTGGAAATAGCTTTGAAATAAATATTTAAGAACAGATGGATATGCTGGTACTTCCCATAGGTTAAGCAGCTCTGGGAGGCTCTCTGAAGATTACAGAATGATGAGCTGTGCAGATAGCCCTCGGGGCCACCCCAGCTCTGCTCTCCTTCTCTAAACAGTCCCTCCGCCTGAGAGGCACTGAGGCCTCTGACGCTGAGAGGCTGCTGACCATTGTATGTTTCAAAATGTAAAGTTCATTTGTTCCTGCCAAACCATTCACGTGGGTACCGTGGCATTCCATATTAGGTTTCTCATTAGCAGGTGGCTGTGTTGCAGCGAGACACCAGCCAGCCAGTTTGGGAGTCTGAAGTGGTTTTCTTTGTATCTGTTTCAGGCACAGAACAAACTTTATTCAGAATGCACAATGGATTTAGTATCATCAGTGACAACGAGGTCATAAGAAGGTAGGGATGTTCATAGAGACAGCCCAGCAGCAAAGCAAGGGAAGATAACCACTGCTTATGAAATCAGACACGAGGCACATAGACAGTCACGTTTCTGAACATTACCCCCCTTCAGTCAGTAGTGGGGGGCTCTCCAGGAGTGCAAAGCTACTCCACGAACATCTTTGAGTGCTTTCCCTCAAGACATTGGAGTTACACTGCAGCTAACAATTGAGGCTGGGCGCGGTGGCTCATGCCAGTAATCCCAGCATTTTGGGAGGTCAAGGCGGGCGGATCACTTGAGGTCAGGAGTTTGAGACCAGCCTGGCCAACATGGTGAAACCCCGACTCCACTAAAAATACAAAAATTAGCTGGGCATGGTGGCAGGCACCTGTAATCCCAGCTGCTCAGGAGGCTGAGGCACGAGAATCGCTTGAATCTGAGAGGCGGAGGTTGCAGTGAGCCGAGATCACGCCACTGTACTCCAGCCTAGGCGATACAACCAGATTCAGTCTCAAAAAAAGGAAACAATTGAAGAGAGAGGAACAGCAGCACTTCCCAGGGCTCCTCTAAGCTCTTCAAAGTCAGAGAAATGATCATTCTTGCTGCTTTCCCACCAGTTTTTGCCAGGTTGTCATTTGTTCATTTCTTCTTTTGGAATTTGCTGATCATATCAAGAAGTGATATAAATATAAATGGGCCAATCCCATTTATAATTTCATCTGAAGAAAGACCTGTATGGTAGGATGCAGTTTGCTAAAGTGACTGTATTTTCATTTCAGTTGTTCTGGTGTGCTTCCTGAGGCTTAGGATACCCGTGTGGGTTGGAGTCACCAGTACATGTCTGTGTGCTCAGCCACAGTTCATTGGTCCCAGTGCAGCCATCGCCCATGGCCCTGGCTCACTGCCCAGCCTCTGTGCAGCCCTGGCTTCCTCAGTCTGCATCCGTGGCCTGGGACTCATGGTTCCGTGATTGATCCTGGTGACCCATGGCTCTGGATTATAAAACTATACTTTCTCAAACCTGTATTTGGTGAATCTAGGGGTGAAATAAAACCAAATGGAAAAGAAAATCAAGACTGATTTTCAGACTTTTAAGATAGCTCTCCTTTGTCCATTCTAGGTGTTTTTCCACAGCAGGAAATGATGCAGTTGAAGAAATGGTCTGTGTGTCTGTTCTCAAGCTCTGGCAAGCAGTGTGCAGCAGGAACGGTAAGCCTGGGTAATCACCGTTGATCACCATTAATGCGCTGCGTGCAGGAACTACGCTGTTGGGTGGACTGTCCTCCCCAAAGGCCAGGCCCTGGAAAGCTGATGTCTAGACTTCCGCACACACCCACTCCCTCCAGGAAAGCTTATGGATCAAAAGCAAGGTAGACAGATGAGGAGCAAGGTTGGGGTGAAGGGAGGAGGTTGTCAGCATAATGAGTGGTCTCCTCTCTCCTCTCCTCCTGCTCTTTGCAGACTCATGACTTCTGTTCATGCACTGGCAATGAGGTAGATGGAGTTTTTCTTTTCTTGTCAGCCTAAAATATTGTTCCTTTTTGCTAACCACAGTACCTTTCCAGCATCCTGAGATTTACAGTCATCCCTGCCAATATCTTCAGACACTGATTAGCATCTAGTATTGAGACAGTAGAATGCCATGGGCATTTTATTTACTGTGCTAACTCTTAGGCTTTTCAAATATTTGCATCTTCCAGAGTTCATTACGTTTTTGTATAATCTTTCTTAATCACTTTTGTAACTTCAACATAAATACAAATTTTACTTACTTCTGTCATTTTTAAAAAGTGTGTTTCATAGGAAAAAGTTTGACCCTGGACAGAAACACTGAAAATGGGGATAATGATAGCTATGTCTCCTTTTCACAGGGCTACTGTGGGGAGCCAGCAATAGAGCTTGTGAATGCAGTTTGCATACTCTGAGATGTTAAGTAGGAGATAATACCTTTTTTTTTCTTCTTTAGTAGAGTAGAGGAATCAAGAACTTAAGAAATTAAGCTCTTGAAAATCTAGACAATACAAAATCAGGGGGCCTATTTCCTGACAAGAATTAAGGGGAGTTATGCCCAGACTACTGTCATCATCAAGGTGCCTTTCTACTCTGTGTAAGACCCTGCACCAGCTTAGGGCAGTGTTTTTGCAAACTCCCCTACAGGAGGGCGAGGAAGGCAGGACTTGGCAATGGTATGTCTACTCAGTGTGAATCTGACATAACAATCTGTTTACTCTTTCTGTGAACCTATTTATCGTTTCTGTGAACCTTAAAGTTACATTTTTTTATCATCTGAAAAATATTTTCAGATACCTGTGATGTAAATGCTGTATCACAGGTCAATAAAATCTTGATATATCTAACTCAATAAATGCAAAGCAGTTTTTCAGAAGGGCAAGGGAATGCTTAAAAGTAAGGACATGAAAATATGTCAGTCATCTATTGTGGAGTTGAGAAGAGAAGCCAATTACAGGGTAGGATGTATAATATTTTACACATTATTTATATGAGGGGTGAATAATAGCTCCTTTGGGGAATGGGCTTACCCGGAGGGGGTATCAACTAACTCTGTGTTGTTTGAATTATTTATATCAAGGTACTTTTCTAGTATAAGAACAAAATATATAATCAACAAGGACCTTTCCATTTCAGAAATCAGTAGATCCTATCTTACGTGGACAAGAGTAATTATAGGTGAAGTATAGGATTGAGATGTAATGTTTGCAACGAAAACATGGTTTGATATGTGGGCTACACATAGGATCCTGTAGTCCTGTTACTCTGGCTCTTTCAGGGCTAGAAGAGACCTGGTGTGTGTCTTCTACTGGATGCCGTGTGCTGTGTGTAAATGGGTAATCAGTACAGGAGGGAAGAAAGCCAAGGGTGATGAGGTCCAAGTGATGGGGCCCACCCCTTTGAGATCCAGTTTGCTCTGTTTCCTAGCTTAGCCTCATACTGCAGTCTGTACCCTGCAGTTTCAAACAAATTCATGTACCTGGTCAGAAAATGAACCAGACTGCCACCACCCTGGAAGAGCTTATGTTCTAGGAAGGAGGGCACACTTTATTCGTTAGTGCTCTCATGTGATATTCTAGTTTTCTGGATAACATTTCCTCAGATGACTACTCTAGCCGTTGTATGAATATTGATGGCCTAAAGACGTTCCACAATTAAACTGATTTATTTCCCTTTGCTAGTGTTTCCAGATACCACACACCAAGGAAGTTTGACAATAATGACACAGTTGATTTATGGGTGCCAGTCCCTGTCTGGCACAGTCATGTACTAACTTATTTAATCCTCATGATGTCCCTGTAGGTAGGAACGTAATCCTCATTTTACTGATGAGGAGACCGAGGAGCACAAGAGTTCATTGGTAAGGTCGCTCCCCTGGGCATTCGGACCCAGCAGTCTGGTTCTAGAATCCACACTCTTACACTTCATTATTCTGCCTTCAAATGAGTGGGCACCAGTTGAGTTTCCCATTAGGATAGAGGGTGACAGAGCTAGTTTAATTGCCATGATGGCATGCACAAGACACACAACCTCTGTGTTTTGCAGAGGAAAACCAGCGTGTGCTAGTGATACACCATGACAGGGCCAGGCTGTTGGCCGCCCTCTTGTCCTCCAAGGTCCTGGCCATCCGGCAGCAGAGCTTTGCCCTGCTGCTGCATCTCGCCCAGACTGAGAGCGGACGGAGCCTGATCATCAACCACCTTGACCTGACCAGGTAAGCCTCTGCTGGCAGGATCTTCCTGGGACATCTCATGTCATCACTTGACAAGTTCAGGCATGCCTGTCTCCCCTCCTATCTCTGTTGTGTGACTTGAAGGATCAATAACAGAAAGAGCCTTTGACAAGAGTGCTCTGTCATGAGGACCTCTGGGACAGACTCCTGTCCGAACTTGGTACCATGGATGGTTTCACTTCTCCTGAGCAACTGGCTCGTCCCCATCCCACAAATGGTGCAAATGGCAGTGCTTCCGTAGCCAGATCAGGAGCCCCACCTTAAAATAGGTCACTTGCTTCTCCGTCTTTGGCCTCGGTCCTATCTCTACCCTGTTCCTGCCATTCGTTTTCTTCTTTCATTCTTATTTGAGGTAATCCTGTCTTATTCTACGTGTCCTTAAACCCTTTGTGGAACAAGATGGAGTATGAATAAATAAAACATTTCAAATACTGTTGCATGGAGGTCTTTCCAAAGTGTAAGACTATGGGCATAGAATGTGTGTACCCTAAGTAGACTTTCTAGAAAGATTACTGAACCACAGTGATTCTGCCCCGTCCTTTATAATTTATTAGTTTATTTTTTAAATCATTTATTTATTTGTTATTTTGCTCACTTGTTTTACGTATTTATTTACTTTTATCTTACTAAGTTTTCAGTTTATTTATCTTTACATGATTAGTTTGAACATATGAAATTGCCACTTATTAGATCTAAAAGGTTGCATGCCAGCCATTTTATGTGGTTCAATCTAACAGAAATAGTGGCAATTATTGTAGCTTGCTTTATAAATGTTTCTCACACAATCTAAAAACAGGAGATGACCCTTCTGAGTTTTTTCATTCACTGCTATTTTGTTTTATCTCCCCTCATCCTGCGGGGTAGGCAAGGTAAGCTTTATTACCTCATGTCACTCATGGGGCAGGAAGAACTGCAGCAAGGAACCAAGGGAATCTCACCCAACTAGGCTGGCCCCCAGGTACTGTTCTGAGGACCCAGCTCCGCTCTGTGTTCCCAGTGGGAAAAGGAGCCAAACCTGCTACAACTGGCTCCTGTTCCTTCCAGATCTTTTTGGGACCCTGCTGAGCCCTCCCACACTGTCCAATTTGGTATGTAGGTCCATGTGTGCCGTGACAGGATGGTTATTAAGCCTTGCCTACGGCTCCCCTTCCAGGCCCAGTCGCAGCCTCAGTGGCTCCCAGGAAAGGCTTTGGCAACCCACTGAAGCTCAGCCTGCACGGCAGATGCAGATTGTTAGTGGAGTTCAATTCCCCAAAAGCACATTTCACATTTCAAATGACTCTGCAGTCATTTCCTCGATACCTTCATCGTATTTTTTTAATATTGTTTTTGTCTCTTTGAGTAAATGTAGCTATAGCTATCATGAGCTTTTCCCCTCAAGCTATCTTTGAATTGCTTGAGCTTCAATGTGCATTTTTCCAGTGTCTCGGAGAGTGGCGTTCATGATCACCTCGGGTGGTCCTGCCTACTCTCTCTAAGATAGTCAGAGAAACCTCAGCTTTTTACTTTTATGCCCACTAGCCTCCTTAACGTTCATCTCCAGTTGAACCAGACAGAATGGGTTCTCTGTGATGAAACGAGGCAGTTTGAAGCAAGACAGGGCTGCTGCACATAGCCCCTTGACCGTCACGGCAGCACACGTATCACATTCCTCCCACAATGTTTATCCTCAGAGAAGAGGTTGAAGGCATGAATGTGTGCTGGCCAAGGGCCAGTGTCATTTTGTAAAAAGTGCTGGGTTTTAGTCTTAAGCGTACTGAGTTTCAATTCCCTGCATGTCTCTGCTTGTGTGACCCAGGAAAGTTATTTAGCATGGACAGGCCCCGGCATCTCATCTGCATCACTCACTTATGATGACACGGGGGGTGATGCAGTTGAATTTTTTCTGCTGCATTGTGCAGAATACTTGAGCAAAAGGAGCTTAAGCAAAATAAAGCCTGGCTTGTTTTGTCACCTAATAAAATGAGACTAAAGATAGCAGCTATTGGTGCGGTGGCTTAAAGACGTCGAGGTCCAAGTCTCTGCCCTTCTCTTGACCTTCCTCACATGGTCATACCTTCCCTCTTGCTGCAACTCCAAGCTTCACATCCTTCTTTAAGACAGGTCAATACCAGCTGGATCGGTCCCTTTTATCAAGAAAACCTACTGCCTATTTCTCTTTGGACAGAATTGTGTCACATGCTACCCCTAGTGGAAAAAAAATGGTCCCAACTTCTTCTGTAGTAGAGTTAGGAAGAATAGAAGGGAATGGAGAATATCTGTGAGGTTAGCCAGCAAACAGCATCTGCTACAGAAAAAAAAAAAAAAAAAGCAACTAACATCAATTAAGCCTGACACATGGTATGATAAGGGCTCAATAATATTTTTATAATCATTTTCTCTTAGGGTATATTGTTTAGGGTCCTAAACTGAAGTAACCTTGCATTTATTAGTTACATGAAAGCATTTTCTCACCTGTGGTTCACTCACAGAGACAGCTGCTTATCAGCAGAGCAGAAAATCTGCCACCAAAAAAGAGGGTATGTGAGGAAATAGAAAGGGACACACCGTCCTCTCTAGGTGCTGAGTCCAGTTAGGATGTGTGCATTGTCACATAGTGAGGGGGCCTAGCTGCTTATGTCTGCCAGGACAAAGCCAAGATGGTCTTAGACTGTTGTCTCATCTGTGCTATTCAGGTTCATTAGCAGTCATCTTCAAGACCGAAGAAAATAGGTTTAAATTGGTGAAGGATGAATCTGAACTAACTGTAAAACAAATAAATTATTTTTGACAGCAGGAGCACTGGAATCCATTCCTGAAGATGTTAGGGATTTGCAGAAGCTTGGCGTCACCTGGGCCCTTAGAAACCATCCAGTCAAGCCCCACTCAGCATAGATGTCCTCTGCGTACCCCCATACAGCCTGTGCATGGTGCCCTCCAGGGGAGATGCCAGCAGTTTTCATTATTTTTAATCTCCATTTGATTCGGGATGGGCACTAACGCAGCTAATAGACTGAGTGGAGGAAGTCTTTCCCCAATTAGCGAGAGGCTGTGGATCTCACCTCCCAAGGTAGCCAACTGTCCATTTCAAGACAGTTCTGATTGAGATAAATTATCTCCTTACACTGTGCACAAGTTGCCTGCCCCGTACTATTCTGGGGCTGATTCTGCCTCCATACACTGAGGCCCAGGCCCAGACTCCTCCCAGCTTTCCAGTACTTTAGATATCTGAAAATACTGATATATTCCAGGTTAAGCATCCTTGTTACCTCCATCATTCCTTTGATGATTTGGCCTCCAGACCACTCCTAGAATAAGTGGCTAAATAGATCCAGCACCATAGATGTGGGTGACTGGAATTCATATTCCCAAAAGCCCAATCTGATGGCCTGTCATCTGTCTTTCTTAAAGATGTCAAGGTCAAAGTCCCTGCCCTTCTCTGCCCTGTGGCATTTGGTCCTATTGATCACTACTCTTCTGGAAACTCCATCACAGTGATTGTCAGGACACCATCCTTCCTGGCCCCTCTCCTACCTCCTGGCTATTCCTTTGTGGTTTCCTTTGCAAGCCCCCCTATGCTATCACCCTTCCAAGTCAGGGACCCCAGGATCCTACCCTTGGCCCTCTTCCCATCCATGGCTTTCGTCAAGAGGCAAAGGGTGTAAGTCTCACTCTGTTGAGTGTGAGATGAAAACGCCCTTCTGCCACTGGACATCTCTATCACAACATCCACAAGTATCATCGACTTAATAAATCAAAATTGGGTCTTCACACCAGTTCATCTACCTGAATTTCCTGTCTTCACAGAGGGTATCTCCACCTATCCAGTCGCCTAAGCCAATGTCCTGGAAGTGACCTGGCTCTCCCTCACCACATCCATAAGATAGTATGCTGCCAGCTCTTTCTCCTTAGCATCTCCTGAATTCATTTTCTTCTAGTTCTCCTCTACTGTCTCCAATCATTTCTTCCAGGTCTTCATGAGTGTCTCTTTGTGTTTTTACTGTACCTCTTACTCTGCTGCTGCCTCAGTCTGGTCCCTTAGCCTTTATTATCTGGACAATCACAGTTCTCCCCTGGTTGAATTCCTGCCTCTTGTACTACCTGCTCCAATCCAGCCTCCACCATACACTGAAGGGATTTTTCTAAAATGCACATCTGTTCTGCTATTTTCCTACTTAACACACTGAAATGACTATTCCTTGTAAGGCTGGTTCTCCAATTACTGAGAAATATAATGGCTAGGAATCACATGAGGACTTTATAAAAAAGCAGCCTCCTGGAGCTTCCTCCCACTCAGAGTAACTGAGGAATCTGTCCCAGAGACCCCCACCACCAACCACACATTGGAGAACAGGGGCCAACAGGGCAAAGTACAGACTTTCCAGCAGGCCCTAGAAGGCCCCCAGGATCTGGGCTCTGTCCAGCTCTCTACCATCCCCTGTTCTCCCCTCACATCCTAAGCATTAACTGCATGCCAGCAGTCCCCAAATGTGCTCCTGCAATTCTATGCCCACATAGTCTGTGACTACAGGCTGCTTTGCCTGACATGCCTCTGTACCCATCCCTGTGGGCCCGACACTGGCCTGCAAGCTGCCTGGAGCCAGGACATTGTCTTGTTTCATCATTATGACCTCAGAACTGACCACATTGCCTGGTACACAGTCAGTGCTTGTTCATTGTGATTGGTCAAATGGATAAACGAATGAATAGCTAACACTACACTTCAAGAGACACTGAAGTGTCATCTATTGAAGGCTTCTTCACTTCCATGCCCACACCTTCCACCAGTGAGACTCTGGTCCCCTCAACATGTGTCTGTCTCTGACATATCACCTAAGACAGTTTATCTTATTTATTTACATGTGTATCACTGTAGGAGACCAGGAGCTCAGTACTGAGCACAGTATACTTAGCACC
This sequence comes from Homo sapiens, assembly GCF_000001405.40. Classification (NCBI taxonomy): domain Eukaryota; kingdom Metazoa; phylum Chordata; class Mammalia; order Primates; family Hominidae; genus Homo; species Homo sapiens. Next base: position 113,349,355 of record NC_000011.10, read on the forward strand.
TTATAGATGCTTAATGCAAGTTTGCTGGATGAACAAATTACTCTTACTTCCATTGTCATGGTGCCAGTAAGTCCGTTTGGGCAGCCTGAGATTTCATCAGGTGTTTTTTGGCATCTGTGTTAGACTGTTTGCTCATTTTGTGTTTGTAAGTGGCTAAAAATCCTTAAATCTTTCTCATAGGAACCAGTTATAAACCAGGTCTCACAATTCTGTTACTTAAGCAGAATTTCCAGCTCTAAGTGGAGGACTTTGAGCTTAACCCTATTAAATTTAATCTAATATATTCAGCAGCCTGTCACAATCTTGTTAAATCTTTATTCCGTCACCCACCTTATTAGGGGGCCCTCCCACTTTAGTCATCAGCAGATTAGTAAGCATGCCATTTAGATGTCATCTAAGTTAATGAACCTGACTGAGCCAGAGTCACATGGCAGAGTCACAGAAACTCCTTCTGAGCTGGCGTCCGATAATCAATAAACTTTGGTTAAAAGTATTCAGCATTCTGGGGATTCACATTAAGTGGTGGAGCCAACCACTTAAGAGTATCTGTCTCTGGGTGGGCAAGGAGCTAGGCTTCCTAGGAGGGCATGACAAGGCACCCTTTCTGCTTATTTCACCCGGATGCTGACTCCTTTTTTGGTTTCCTTGCAAGGTTACCCTGTTGGGATGTTGTTAGTTGGAGGACAGCTACCTCTGAGGTTATTATGGTTTTTTGCAGATTATTGGAAGCGCTGGTGTCATTTCTTGATTTCTCGGATAAGGAGGCCAACACTGCTATGGGACTGTTCACAGACTTGGCTCTGGAAGAAAGGTAATTTTTTTATTTATAGAAATTGACATTTCTTCTTCAGTCTTTGTTGAACTGTCTGATCTTTAAAAATGTGCTGTATTCAGAGAGGCTAGGCCAAGTCTCCAAGTGAGTATTGCAAGATTCACTGAGTAGGAGGGCTGATGCCTCCCAGGGGGCTGCAGCCACCCACTCCCATTCTAGTCACTCTGCATAGAGGCTGACCCGGGCCTCCATGGGTTTGGAAGCAGCAGCATACTTAAAGCAGTGCCTCTCACAGTAGGCAAGCCTCCCAAGTGTCAGGAACCTTCCTCCCTCCTAATCAGTGCCTGGTACATAGGAGCTGCCCAGCAAATTTGCGTTGAATGAACCTGAGCGAGCCAGCGAGCCAGCAAGCAAGAATGAACAGTCAACTGCAGCCTCCTCTGGGGTTGCCAGTGACATTATGAGTAATGACCTCCTTCTGCCCCATGGCTTTGTGTTGTTTTGTTTTGTTTTGTCTAGCTGCTGGGGATGATAGTAAGGGTCTTAGTTTTCATAATTTTTCAGTTGCTTTTTTTTAAAGTGCATCTTGTGTTTTAAATTTCCTCACAAATTTTAGGACACCTTGCTTAGAGATGATAATAGGATGAGAGAGCTCACAGGCAGGCCAGCCAGCTGGCACGGGCCGGGGTATGGAACAGTGGCCATAGAGTGTGGAGATGCGCATGCATCCAGGCCCTCCCAGTGGCTCCGATGGGTAAACATGCTTGCATGGTATTTGCCTTCCGCACCGCACACACACGCTGTAGACTCAGAGCAGGGGTTGGGGGTAAGTCAGCTTGGCAGAAGCCTAGAGATTCCAGTAGCTCCTGCTTAAGGGAGCCACCATCTGAGATCTGTTGTTTAACATCAAAGGCAATTCTCCAGACTCAGAAAAATTAGAGCCACATTACATACACAGTGACATGCTTTTTTCTTTTTTTGGTTCTGAATTGTCCATGCACACTCTAAATCATATGGACCTAGAGTTTGCAACATTAACTATCTGAGACACTGTATTTATGTTATAGTTTATGCAATGTAAAAATAAATCCTGGCTGATGGTTTCTCAACAGATTCCAAGTCTGGTTCCAGGCCAACCTTCCAGGTGTTCTCCCTGCACTCACAGGCGTTCTGGTGAGCAAACTGTCATTTTCATCCTCTGTAACAGACACTCTCAGGAGCGTGAATGGGGCTGTTTAAACACAATTTACAATCCAGAACAACTATTGTCTCTCGGTTGATTAGTCATTTATTCACAGCTGGAATTTACACAATTCTCAGTTATTGAAACAGCTACAGGAGGGACAGGTGGAGGTGGCATATGGATGGCGCTGGTTACAGGGGAGGAAAAGCTGGATATGGGTGGCATCTTAAGTGAAGGTGGATAGAGTTCGTCAGTCTCCATCAGTCCCCTGCTGACACTAAGTACGACGTGCAACCCTATTCCCAGATGGAAGTCATCCTGTCAGGAAGACCAGTGTAGCAATTTGAGCTGATAAGGCAGTGAATAGTGTGGGGGGCAGGGCTTCTCCTTGGAGAGTGTGTTGCAACTGGAGCCTATCCCTTATGAACCTTAGAAGTTTCAGGGGCCCTTAGAGAGCATAACCACACCTCAGTATGTCACAGCTATGGAAATGGAGCCTCTGAGAAGGGAAGGGATTTGCCCAGGTCCCTCCAGCTGGTTGGTGGAGGAGCTGGGATTAAGCCCTAGGCCAAGACCCTTTTGGGTTTACCCCTCTATGTGCCTCCATCCGTTGCCAGTGAGACCCCAGGGATGCCCCTGTGTGACATGAAGCTATCTGGTTGGTTCGTGGGCCTTTTGGTGAGTGAGGGATGCACCTAGAGATCATGCGGCATCCTTTGCCTGCTCTCTGAGGCTCTGCCTTCTCTCAATTCTCATTTAGAAGACAGATCCCAAGGTAAGCAGCTCCTCGGCTCTGTGCCAGTGCATTGCCATCATGGGAAACCTCAGTGCTGAGCCCACTACCCGAAGACACATGGCGGCCTGTGAGGAATTTGGGGATGGCTGCTTGAGCCTCCTGGTATGTTAGCTTTTCTATTCAAAATTGGTCTTTATCCTCTTTGGGGGCATTAGCGTCTTCTTAGTTATCTGACTTTTCCAAAAATTCTGTTTCTGTGGGTGTTGGATGGCGCCAGTTGGCTTATCCCTTCTGTAACCACGGATTTTATGCACTGCTGGCCTTAAAGAGCCCTGCAGATCAAGTCTCATTTGCCCTGGGGAGATTTGAAGGATTTTTTTTAATTTTTAAAAATTATTTATTTATTTATTTATTTATTATTTAACTTTTAAATTCAGGGGTACATGTCTAGGTTTCTTATATAAGTAAACTTGTGTCATGGGGGTTTGTTGTACAGATTATTTCGTTACCCAGGTATTAAGCCTAGTACCTATTATTTATTTTTCCTCATCCTCTCCCCCTTCCTCCCTTCTGGCAGGCCCCAGTGTGTGTTGTTCCCCTCTATATGACCACGTGTTCTCATCTTTTAGCTCCCACTTACAAGGAAGAACATGTGGCACTTAGTGTTCTGTTCCTGCATTAATCTGCAAAGGATAATAGCCTCTAGCTCCACCCATGTTTCTGCAAAGGACATAATCTCTTTCTTTTTTATGGCTCTGTGGTATTCCGTGGTGTATATGTACCACATTTTCTTTATCCAGTCTATCATTGATGGGCATTTAGGTTGATTCCATGTCTTTGCTATTGTGAATAGTGCTGCAGTGAACATATATGTGCATGTGTCCTTATAATAAAAAGATTTCTATTCCTTTGGGTATATACCCATTAATGGGATTGCTGGGTCAAATGGTATCTCTGTGTCAAATGGTATCTCTGTTTTAGGTCTTTGAGGAATAGCCACACTGTCTTCCACAATGGTTGAACTACTTCACACTCCGACCAACAGTGTATAAGTGTACCTTTTTCTCTACAGCCTTGCCAGCATCTGTTATTTTTTGACTTTTTAATAATTGCCATTCTGACTTGTGTGAGATGGTATCTTGTGGTTTTGATTTGCATTTCACTAATGATATCAGTGATATTGAGCTTTTTTTCATGTGCTTATTGGCCATATGTATGTCTTTTGAAAAGTGTCTCTTCATGTCCTTTGCCCACTTTTTAATGGGGTAGTTTATTTTTCTCTTGTAAATTTTTTTAAGTTCTTTATAGATGCTGGATATTAGACCCTTGTCAGATGCATAGTTTGCAAAAACTTTCTCCCATTCTATAGGTTGTCTGTTCACTCTGTTGATAATTTCCTTTGCTGTGCAGAAGCTCTTTAATTAGATCTCATTTGTCAGTTTTTGCTTTGGTTGCGATTGCTTTTGGTGTCTTTGTCATGAAATCTTTGCTCGTTCCTGTGTGTAGAATGGTATTGCCTAGGTTATCTTCCAGGGTTTTTATAGTTTTGGATTTTACATTTAAGTCTTTATTCCATCTTGAGTTAATATTTGTATATTGTGAAAGGAAGGGGTCCAGTTTCAATCTTCTGCATATGACTAGCCAGTTTCCCCAGCATCATTTATTGAATAGGGAATCCTTTCCCCATTGCTTGTTTTTATCAGGTTTATTGAAGATCAGATAGTTTTAGGTATGCGGTCTTATTTCTGCGTTCTTTATTCTGTTCCATTGGTCCATGTGTCTGTTTTTATACCAGTACCATGTGTTTTGGTTACTGTAGCCCTGTAGTATAGTTTGAAGTCAGGTAACGTGATGCCTCCAGCTTTGTTCTTTTTGCTTAGGATTGCCTTGGCTATTCAGGCTTCTTTTTGGTTCCATACGAATTTTAAAATAGTTTTTTCTAGTTCTGTGAAGAATGTCAATGGTAGTTTAGTAGGAATTGCATTGAATCTATATATTACTTTAGGCAGTATGGCCATTTTAACAATATTGATTCTTCCTGTCCATGAGCACAGAATGTTTTTCCATTTGTTTGTGTTATCTCTGATTTCTTTGAACTGTGTTTTGTAGTTCTTCTTGTGGAGATCTCTTTCACTTTCCTGGTTAGCTCTATTCCTAAGTATTTTCTTTTGGTGGCAATTATAAATGAGATTGCGTTTCTCATTTGGCTCTTGGTTTGACTGATGTTGGTGTATAAGAATGCTAGTGACTTTTATATGTTGATTTTGTATCCTGAGACATTGCTGAAGTTGTTAATTAGCTTCAGGAGCTTTTGGGCCAAGACTGTGATTTTTTCTAGATACAGGATCATGTCGTCTACAAACAGAGGTAGTTTGACTTTTTCTCTTCCTATATAGATGCCCTTTATTTTCTCTCTTGCCTGATTGCCATGGCCAGGACTTCTAATGCTATGTTGAATAGGAGTGGTGGGAGAGGGCATCCTTATCTTGTGCTGGTTTTCAAGGGGAGTGCTTCCAGCTTTTGCCCATTTAGTATGATGTTGGCCATGGGTCTGTCATAGATGGCTCTTATTACTTTGAGGTATATTCCTTTAGTATGTAGTTTATTGAGAGTTTTTAACATGAAGAGGTGTTGAATTTTATCAAAAGCCTTTTCTGTATCTATTGAGATAATCACATGGTTTTTGTTCTTAGTTCTATTTGTGATGAATCACATTTATCTATTTGTGTATGTTGAACCAACCTTGCATCCCAGAGATAGTCTACATCATTGTGATGGATGAGCTTTTTGATGTGCTGCTAGATTCAGTTTGCCAGTATTTTGTTGAGGATATTTGCATGAATCTTAATCAAGGATACTGGCCTGAAGTTTTCTGTTTTGTGTGTGTCTCTGCCAGGTTTGGGAATCAGGATGATGCTGGTCTCACAGAATGAGTTAGGAAGGAGTCCCTCTTCCTTGATATTTTGGAATAGTTTTAGCAGGAATAGTACCACTTCTTCTTTGTACATCTGGTAGAAATCAGCTGTGAATCTAGCTGGTCCTGGGCTTTTTTTGATTGGTAGGCTCTTTATTACTGACTTAATTTCAGAGCTCATTATTGGTTTGTTCAGGGATTCAATTTTTTTCCTGGTTCAGCCTTTGGATGGTGTATGTGTCCAGAAATTTATTCATTTCTTCTAGATTTTCTAGTTTATGTGCATAGAGGTGTTCATAATATTCTCTGATGGTTGTTTGTATTTCTGTGGGGTCAGTGGTGATATCCCCCCTGTTGTTTCTGATTGTGTCTATTTGCATATTCTCTCTTTCCTTCTTTTTTAGTCTAACTAATGGTCTATTTTATTAATTTTTCAAGAAACCAGCTTTAGGATTTATTGATCTTTTGAATAGGTTTTTATGTCTCAGTCTCCTTCAGTTCAGCTCTGATTTTGGTTATTTCTTGTCTTCTGCTAGCTTTGGGATTTGTTTGCTCTTAGTTCTCTAGTTGCTTTAGTTGTGGTGGTAGGTTGTTAACATGAGATATTTCTAACTTTTTAGTTAGAAATATCTGTTAGGGCATTTAGTGCTATAGATTTCCCTCTTAACACTACCTTACCTATGTCCCAGAGATTCTGGTATGTTGTATCTTTGTTCACATTAGTTTTAAAGAACTTCTTGATTTCTGCCTTAATTGGTTTATTTGCCCTAAAGTGATTCTGGATCAAGTTATTCAATTTCCATTTAATTATATAGTTTTGAGTTCATTTCTTAGTCTTAATTTCCAAATTGAGTGTTAAGATTTCAGTTATTTTGCATTTGCTAAGGACTATTTTACTTCCAAATATGATTGATTTTAGAGTATGCACTATGTGGCGATGAGAAAAATGTATGTTCTGTTGTTTTCATTTGGAGAAATCTGTGTATGTACATCAGGCCCATTTGATCCAGTGCTAAGTTCAGGTCCTGAGTATCTTTGTTGATTTTCTATCTCAGTGATCTGATATTGTCAGTGGGGTGATAAAGTCTCCTGCTATTATTGTGTGTCAGACTAAGTCTCTTTGAAGGTCTCTAAGAACTTGCTTTATGAATCTGGATGTTTCTGTGTTTGGTGCATAAATATTTAGGATAGTTAGATCTTCTTGTTGAACTGAACCCTTTACCAATATGTGTAATCCCTTCTTTGTCTTTTTTGGTCTTTGTTGGTTTAAAGCCTGTTTCATCTAAAACTAGGATTGCAACGCCTGCTTTTTTTCTGTTTTCCATTTGCTTAGTAGATTTTTCTCCATCCTGTTATTTTGCCTATGTGTGTCATTGCTTGTTGGATGGGTCTCTTGAAGACAGCATACCAGTGGATCGTGGTTCTTTGTCCAGCTTGCCACTCTGTGTCTTGGGACATTTGGCTCAATTTGGCTCATTTACATTCAAGGTTAGTATTGCTATGTGTGGATTTGATCCCATCATCGTGATATTAGATGGTTATTTTGCTGACTTATTTATGTGGTTGCTTTATAGTAATGCTGGTCTGTGTACTTCAGTGTGTGTTTGTAGAAGCTGGTAATGGTCTTTCCTTTCCATATTTAGTGCTTTCTTCAGGAGCTCTGGTATGACAGGTCTGGTGATAATGAATTTCCTCACCATTTGCTTATTTCTCCTTTACTTATGAAGTTTAATTTGGCCAGAAATGAAATTCTGGGTTGGAATTTATTTTCTATAATGATGTTGAATATTGGCCTCCAGTCTCTTCTGGGTTGTAGAGTTTCTGCTGAGAGGTCTGCTGTTAGTCTGATGGGCTTTCCTTTGTAAGTGACCTGACCTTTCTCTCTAGTTGCCTTTAATATTTTTTCTTTCATTTTGACCTTGGAGAATTTGATGATTATGTGTCTTGGGGGTGATCTTATGAAGTATCTTACTGGGGTTCTCTGCATTTCCTGAATTTGAATGTTGGCCTCTCTAGCTAGGTTGGGGAAGTTCTCATGGATGATATCCTGAAATATGTTTTCCAAATTGGTTCCATTCTCCTCATCTCTTTCAGGGACACCGATTAGATGTAGATTGGGGCTCTTTACATAATTCTATATTCCTCAGAGGTTTTTCTCATTCCTTTTTATTCTTTTTTTATCTATTCTTGTCTGACTGTCTTATTTCAGAAAGCCTGTGTTCAAGCTCTGAGATTATTTCCTCTGATGGGTCTATTCTGGTATTAACACTTGTGATTACATTATGAAATTCTTGTAGTGTGGTTTTTCAGCTCTATCAGGTTGGTTATGTTCTTTTCTGTACTGACCATTTTCTCTGTCAGCTCCTTCATTGTTTCATTATGATTTTTGGCTTTCTTGGTGTGGGTTTCAACGTACTCCTGTAGCTCAATGAACTTCATTCCTATTCATATTCTGAATTCTATTTGTGTCATTTCAGCCATGTCAGCCTGGTTTAGACCCCTTTCTGGAGGGGTGTTATGGTTGTTTGGAGGAAAGAAGGCATTCTGGCTTTTTGAATTATCAGGTTTATCATGTGGATTCTTTCTTATCTTTGTTGATTTCTCTACTGTCAATCTTTGAGATTGCTGACCTTTGGATAAATTTTTTTTCTTTTATCTTATTTGACGACCTTGAGGGTTTTATTGTGGTATAAGGTGGCTTCAGCTGACTGGCTTTATTTCTAGAAGATTTTAGGAGGTCAATATTCAGCTCCCAACTTCTGGACTGGATGCTCTAACTCTGAGGGACTTGTATTGGGCCTCAACTTTGTTTTCTGGCTTCTCTAGGTTAAGAATACACTTTACTGGGGGAGCCAAGGTGATCCCGAACCTCTGGTCACTACACTCCAATGGGTGTTGTTAGCCCAAGAATTTCATAATGTGGTGACAATGGGACCTTAACTTGTTCACTCATGCCAACAGCAGCAGAAGACCTGTGGCAGAGTGCTAGCAGGTGTCAGGGTGCCTGCCTCCCTGCGGGTGTTTGCCACAATGGCAGAGGCAACGCAGCTGGGGGAGAGGGTCCCTGCTGATGACTGTGTGTGTGGTCATGCTGAAGATTGTGCCTTCTCTGTGCCTCACAAGCAGAGGAGGTTGCTCCTAGGGGGAGAAGGATCTGCTATACTCTATGCCATGCTAGCACAAGGGCAAGGGGAAGGTGCTGGTAGGGGTGGGGCTAGCTGTGCCCATCAAGACTCCATCTGCAATGGTGATCAGTGGGAAGAGGAGGGGCAGGACTGCACTCCCGTGCTCTGGCAGGGCAAGGAAAGCAAAACCTGCCTGATCAGACACTCACCAGCAAAGTGATGTGGGGAGTTGCCCTGGGCCCAGGGGAAGCTGCAGTGTGGGGAGGGAGCATGTGGGCTGGTGCATGGTGATGGGGTACTCTGCTGGTGCTCTCCACTGGTCAGGCATGGTCTGCCAGTGCAGAAGCTATGGTGTGGGCCCCCAGAGCCCCCAAGACTGCTCAGCAAGCAGGTGTGGCCTGGCTGGGGCCCCAGGAGAGGCCAGCAGAGCAAGGGGTCCTCAAGTTGGACTGGCCCTGTTTGATGGGCAAGACCACCCTGCAGAGTTCAGGTCTGATGATTCCCCGAGGGCTAAAGTCTCCTGTGGGAGCAAGTTGAGCCTAGTGGGGATGGCTGTCCCTGGCCATTCTCCACTACAGACACTTCTACGCCCAACCCTCTGGGCTCCACATCAACTGGCTTGCCACCCCTACCACTTCTCTAAGCAGCTCTCCCTGACAACTCGATGAGTGTCTGTGCTGGTCAAGGGGATTTCTCCTGCCAGGGTTCCAGAGGCCTATGATGAGATCAGGTTGCTCTTTGCCAGTTCAACTCACCCATTCCCCAAGAGCCTTTGGGGACCAAGAACAAGCCTTGGTACATAGGCTTGCATGCAGCATTCCCAGTTACTCCCTTTCTGCCCTGCTTCTGCATCTTCCCTTCATCTACTCTCAGTGCCTTCCCTTTGAAGATCTATTAGGAGCATGTCAGTCATCTCTGTCCCTCAGTGGGAGCTGTTCCACCTGGCTGTATCTAGTTAGCCATCTTGCCTGATCCTGATTTGAAGGATTTTTCTGGTGGAGTTGAATGATCACCCGTCTCAGCAGCTGACTCTTCACTTTAAACCCAGGACCAACCTCAGCCATAGTCCCATGGCAGAGGCACCAGAGACTCCTTCCAAGTCTCCTGGACCAACACTAACTCATAGAACTGGTCTCTGATCCTCCACCATCATTTAGGTTCATGACATTGGCAATTTAGGGAGTGTGGGGAACTCTGAGACCCTTGTCCAAGGGAAAAGATGACCATAAAAAGCTGTAAGGCAAAAAGGTCATTGGTTACCTTGTTTTGTTTCCCAAGGCCAGGTGTGAGGAGGATGTGGACCTGTTCAGAGAGGTTATCTACACACTCCTGGGACTCATGATGAACCTGTGTCTTCAGGCTCCCTTTGTCTCTGAGGTATGGCATTCTTGTCTCCCTGCCTGGAGCCCTGGGACAACCTGTACACATTCTGTGGCATAAAACCATTCTCATGTTCACGAAGAGACAGAAGCATGTACACTCACACACTGGCCGTGGAATGGGAAAAGGCTGGAGGGATGCGCTCTCCCTTTGCTCTGCTGAGGGATGGATGGATCACCACTCAGTCATGTATTCACTCAGAAAACAGACTGGGTATCCAAGGTGTGCTGAGCAGAGTATGAGGTGCTGCATTTACAAAGTCAAATAAAAGGCGGTTCCTGCTATCAGGGTAATGCCCTGGAGTTAGGGGAGACAGACATGGGGAGGAATAAAAGCAGTAAAAGATGGTGTTGTGAGGGAACCTGGGCATAGTGTGGTGGTGCTAAAAAGGAGACGGTGCTCAGAAGAAGCTCCGCTGAGAATTCAGATTGTCAGAAAATTAAAATCTCCTGCTGGCCTCTCCCCATTGTTGTAGGTTTGGGCTGTGGAGGTGAGCAGAAGGTGCCTGTCTTTACTAAACAGCCAGGATGGAGGAATCCTGACAGTAAGTTTCTCCCAGGGAAATCCAGAAGCAGCTTCCATTGTTCTTGTTTTGTTTTGTTTTGTTTTGTTTTATTATCAGTGTAATCTTTTTGAAGTTGCCACCTTTGAGAATCTGCTGACTCTGAGATATGGTGTGGATATACTATTCAGAATAATGTACACAAGCACATAAATACCAGGTTTTGTCTACAGTTTCAGAGATTTGGTGACCTCCTTGCTGTGTCCGTCATCTGTGGATCCCCTAGAGTCCAGGAACCCAACTTAAGAATCCCCCTTCCGTATGGTCTGAAATTTAACCAGCTTAGATGATATAATCGATCCGATCTGTCCTATTTCAAAATATCCTGTGCAAATTGGACAGATCAAGTGTCCAACTTATTTAGAATCCCTTTTTTCCATAAGAAAAAAAAAAAGCCAAGCCCATATTTTAAGCCAGTGATCCTAGAGGTTGTTTGTGCATAATAGTTTTACCCTCTTTTTAAAATATATGCTGAAATGGCTTTCTCAATTCTGTGTCTGACATTTGAATAAGAAAACTGAGAAAGGCCTATATGTTAGCACAGTGCATCAGGAGAAGAATATTAGTATGATTCAAGAGGCTATTTGCCATCACCCTAGAACGTATTCTTCACTCACATTAAGTGATCACCCGTTTTTCTCCCTGTCAGGGCAGGACCCTAATGGCTAGGGAAGCAATTAGGGCCACATCTAGGGTGGGTCTGGGAAACCAGCCTTTCAAGGGTTGCAGACTGAGGACTGCCTCCACAGTTTAAAAAATGTTCTGAGTAGATCCAACATACCCTGTTTGGGGGTAGCACTCTTTAAACGTCCCCAAAGTCAATTCAGACAGGATAGGGCAAAGGTTTTGTGCGTGTGCATTTTCACAGACGGGGCATCGTAGCTTTCATCAGATCCTCAAAAGAGGTCTATGACCCCCAAAGTGGTAAGCACCACCGTTTCCGGATGGTCCAGACCTAAAGGTGAGCCTACACTAGTGCCTGAGTAAACCTTTAGGAGAGCTCTTGGGCCAGATTTCCCCAGCATTCCTTGTGTGCCACGTTGGGTGCTTCCCAGCTTGCTGAGCAGAGCAGCAGCTTCACCATGGGCATCTGGTCCTTGTCTAGCACAGTCTCCACTGTCTTGGGCCTGAAAGGGGATCCGTGGTGTCAACTATAGCAAAATTCTAGGATCTTTAGGAAGCAGATTAGGGAAACAAGATTGATAATACACAAGTTTATCTTTTCTCCCTCTGGAGACCTCATTAAAATGAGATTAAAGCCATTGGGGGGGAACAAAAAAAGTAGAGACCTACGTTGACAGTGAACAGGCAATGGTTACCAATAGGTAAGTAATTTTAACAAGTTTCCTGAAGATGGAGAACAGCTGCAAGGGTGGTAATTAATGAGGCAGGGCTGAGGAAACCTTTGTATGGAGTACAAATGGAGGAACACGTAGCTGGGCAGTAGCAGGTTTGCCTTATAATACCCTGGAGAGGATGAAGATTTCAAAACTCCCGATACAACAGAGAGCAGAAGTACAAGGCAGTGGAGCTGCGTTTGCTGGCAGGCATCTATCCTCCAGGCATAAAATCAGAACACTTTTATCTCTAAAGAACTGAAAAACTGGAGAAAACATTTTTCTTTCTAGTATACGGGGGTGCCACCTCTATATCTTTCCATACTTCTGATAAACTTCCCATAAACATAGCATGCCCAAACATATTTTCTTGCTTTTTTCATACATGTGATTGGGCAGGTAAAGGGTCAACCAGACATTGCAGGAAAGCTACACACATAAATAGGAAAACCAAGATAAACATAAAAATTGATCCAAAAGAAATAGAGATGATATAGGAAACAGAAGAAAAAAATAGTAACTATCATTTGTATCCTGAGAAAGATTTAAGATAGTTATATCCATAAAAGAGTAACAGCTTGGCATTTATTTAAAAAAAAAAAAAAAGAAAGAAGAGCCGGGAAATAAAGTAAATGAACTATCCCAGAAACTAGAACAAAAGACAAAGATTCGAAAAGATAAAGATAAATGACACAGAAGACCAATCCAGGAAATCAAACATCTCCTTATAAAGGGCCTGCTGATATCAGAGCTCTGGGAGGAATCACAAGGGAGAACTTCCTTTCTCAGAGTGGAACTGGTTGATCCTGTGTGAAGCTGAAATAATATGGGCCTCTGGGTGGCAAGGGGCTATGATTACAGCTCCTTGACAGCTTTATTAAAAAGAACAGTGCTTTCTATTATTTGGCCATCATATTTTTTATATTTTGCTTCCAATATAATGATTGCTTTTGCCTCACCAAACTCCCCGTTAGCTTTTAAAGGTTGTCAGCATTTCTGAAAAGGACATTTAATTATCCTCTTTCTGCTGTACTCAGAGAGCTGCTGGTGTTCTGAGCCGGACCCTTTCTTCCTCTCTGAAAATTGTTGAGGAGGCCTTGCGAGCAGGAGTGGTAAAGAAAATGATGAAATTCCTGAAGGTAAGATCACTTTATTGGTTACAACCCCTGAAATGTACAGAAGTCTCCTATTTTATTCGGGGAACAGAATTAAGGTGGGCTTTGTTTGGTTAATGTGCTGCCATTTCTTCCTTGCTAGATTTTAAACTTCTTGGATAGGGATTTGCTTCTGCCTGTCTACCCAGACCATACTCTGAACATCAACAACAGATTGTTGAATAAATAAGAAAATTGTTCATTAGATACATCTATAAAACCTGCTTACCCCTCAAGCCTGACTTAAAAATATATGGCCACTGTTCTTGATAAAAATGATCTGAGTGGCTTTCTGTAACGTTTCTCAGGCACATTGTTCTGCTCAGGTTTTGCTACTCATGATGCTTTATACAGTTATCTGGAGAGTGTTGGATGGAACTCCATCTATGAGACATGTAGCCTGCAGAATTACCATGTGACCAAAGGATGTTGGGATTTCCCTGTGAGATGAGTGTGGTGAATCTAAGCAAGCCAGTAGAGCAGTTATCTGGATTCACCTGCAAGGGCGAAGGGGATTAATACACTAGGCTGCCATCTCAGAATCCCACCTATGATGTGTGTGCCCATGAGGTCCATACACCCATGTTAGTGTGGTGACACATGGCTTTTATTCATAAAGCATCAGGCTGAGTGGCGCAGGGAAGCATGCTCTGCGGGCTGCTGCTAGGGCAGGGGTGACACTGAGGGGGCAGCACAGGGGGTCTGAGTTTAGATTGCCACTTGAACAATGACTGTCATTCATTATAACTTTTGCAAACCCACCAAAAGCTCCTGATGGCATGCATACCCATGCATCACACGTGCATACGTGCACACATGCCTTTTAAAGACCCCACATGGGTGATTGCAAGGGCTGTGTTTGACAGTTGTCATCTCTTAAAATGATGTAGGTTCCTGAAGTTCCTCATGCAGGACTGTCAGCCTGACAGCCTTAGCAAGTCAGTCCTCGTTCTCAAATGGGAAAATGACATGGGAGGGCCTTTTCCTCCCTTTTTGGTAGATCTGCCATTCATCAGCATCATTCTCTTCTCAGCCACTTGCTCATAAAGCCTTCCGGAGGCAATTACTCAGGTGTACATGACAGGCCTACATTCCTGTCAGGGGTGTGGGCTGGGTTAGAGAGGATGCGGGTGACACTCTGTTCCAGCAGGGACCATGCCTGCCCACCAGGAAGCACATGCCGTTCTCAGTAGAATTCTCTTTTCAGAGTTTAGGAAGCCACTAGCGCTATAATAACTGCTTGCTGTGGTTTGTGGTCAAGAGCAATCATAGCACTGATTTTATTTTTCTAATTTCATTCTGAAATCTAGACAGGAGGTGAGACTGCATCACGTTATGCTATAAAGATACTAGCTATCTGCACGAATAGTTATCATGAAGCTCGGGAAGAAGTAATAAGACTGGATAAAAGTAAGTGATGATTTCCTTAAGGGAGCCCTTGTCCCAGAGGTTCATCCACCCTTGAAGCTGCAAAGGGAACTGTGGTCGAGGAGGAACTTAGCAGCAATGCTGTTAACCTCTCCCAGACTTCAGCAATGTTTACAGAAGATGTTTCACATCCAGATCTGAAAGCATTTAATTAACCTTTTGGATGCACACAGGTAGAATGCCCAGGCTGGAGACCCAGCTGACAGATGGCTCAAAGATAACAGGGTCAAAGCTAGGAAACTCCCTCCTCTCACCAAGTTCAGTTCTCTGCCTTCACAGAAGGAGAGGGGGAAACACCGTCAACGTTTAGTGAACAAGGGAAATATCAGAGTCTGAGCCTAGGTTTAGTCCAGTAACTTAAACCGGCTGTAGTTATTCACAGCAGGCTTCCCAGGAGAGGCAGCCTGCTAATGTTCTTCTTACCAACTCCCTGGAATGCACAGAAGGTGAACTGAAGGAGGCTCCACCATGGAAGCGGCAAGCCTTTCTCCTGGATCCTGTTGCATACCCTGCAGGTGTAGGTTGCTGGCACATTGCCTCCACCTGGGGGCTGTCAGATAAGACCTCTCACCCTGGCGCAGTGAGAGGTTAAGAATAGGCTTTCAAGAAGACAGACCTGTCTGACACACAGCATTCATTCATCTAACAACTGTGTTGTGCTGGGCACTGTTCTAGGAAGCGGAGATACTTCAGAGGTTCAGCAAGGAGTTGAGGAGGTTCATATGCATTCAGTGAATGTTTGCTGATGAGTAAGTGAACAAGTTCTGCTGCAGAGTTACTGGGGAAGCTCGGTGTCCGCTGACATCTCCCTGCACCCCTCATGTCCTGTTGCCAGCCTCCTATTTTGGGATTAAAAGGAGCTGTTGCTTGTTCTCTTCTTTCCCTGCAGAGTTGAGCGTTATGATGAAGCTGCTCAGCTCGGAGGATGAGGTTCTGGTGGGCAACGCTGCCCTCTGCCTTGGTAACTGCATGGAGGTGCCCAACGTTGCGTCTTCCCTGCTAAAGACGGACCTTTTGCAGGTCTTGTTAAAGCTTGCAGGCAGTGACACACAGAAGACGGCCGTGCAGGTGAACGCAGGCATTGCTCTGGGGAAGCTGTGCACAGCTGAGCCCAGGTATGCTGTGGACACGGAGCCAGGCTGACCTATTGCAGAAAGAGCAGCTGAGCTGAGGTGCTGAGTTTTGGCTGGGACTGCATGCCACACAGAACAGTGTGGGAAGCCCTCATGCTTTCTGTGCAGACCTAGGTTAAGCCCAGTAGCTGCTTCTCTGAAGAAAGCCTTTCTAGAGGAAACTGGGGAGCTCTCGGTCTCCAACCAGAGAGGGAATCGGCTTGTCTGACAGGGACGTGCTGCTCCCACTTGCTGCCGTTGCCTTCTCTCCATTCCATTCTCCACTGTTTTGCATCCCTCTCCCTGTCTCTTTATCCTCCTTCTTCCCCTCCCTCCCACTCCACCTCCCCTTCTCTTCCCTCTTTTCTCTCTTCTCCACTTTTCCAGAAACAGACCCCCCACTTCATGTTCTTTGCCTCAGCCTAAACAAATGGAGGAACGGCCAGCAAGGGTCACATGTTCATGCAGGAGAAAACAGTGGAGAAGGAGAGACGCAGAACAGCATGCCGAGGTCCCCAGTGAGCGAGGGCAAGAGATGTGGGCTGTAACTGTGCCCATGGCTTCTCTGTTAGCTCAGACCTCCACTCTGCTCTGCTCCTCTTCTGATGTGCAGACGCATCTCATTGCACGTGCTTTTGGGAGGTGTCCACCTGTGGCTGAGCAAAGGAGCCCTGGCATAGAGCAAGGGTAACCCCGGGAGCTGAGTGAGAGAGGCTCCTTCCCTTACATCCACATGCCTTTAATTCCTCCTCTGTAGATTGAGGGGGTTGGCCTTGATAATATCTAAGGTCCTTTCAAGTTCTGTCTGGTTGTTCAAATGGAAGGAATAGTTAAAATCTTTCTTCTATAGAAAGAAAGCACATTAGCTAGGATGACTTCAAAGTGGCAACCTATGGGGGAGTTCTCGAGAGCAAGGTCCTGTCTGATCAGCCTGACACACCTGCCACCTGCAGCGAGTGTTTTCAGTGCTTTGTGGGCCTCCCTGAGGGTCTTACTTACCCCTGTGATCTTTAGGGTACCCCAATGCCACAGCCACTTCCTGTTTCCACCCAGAGTGATAGGACTGACGTTCTCAGCCAGCTTCCATCTGAGAGGGTGTTGGCTCTGGGCTCCAGAAGCCTGAACCGTGGCACTTATGCCCTGGGTTGTTTGTTTTGATTGTGACAGATTTGCTGCTCAACTGAGAAAGCTTCATGGCCTAGAAATTCTCAACTCTACGATGAAATACATCAGTGATTCTTGAGAGAGACAGGGTTTGTGTGCATTTGGGGAACACACAGATGCACACCGTGTGTTGTTCCTATGCTAATAAAGACCTTTGATGTATCCACTTCAGAATCAAGTACTCATTTTTAGAGTGTTTGCATTTCAGGTTTTCACGGGTAACAAGAGAGTGGGCATTAGGCTGGCTGCTGTGGTGGGCTCTGTGCACTGGCTTACTCGACTTCCATTGTACCCTCCTTTGAATGTTCTTTCCTGTTCTGTAGAAGCTAGAAACCATCTCACAAAAAGCCACATTGCCCAGACTCCCTTGTAGCAACGATTCTAGATGGGAACTAGTGGCCAATCTAATGCCACTTCCTACCCCTTTTGCTATTTTCTGCTGGCAATATGCTAGAAACATCAGATTTGTTGGTAGCAGCATTTCAGCTCCGTTTTTCCAGCTGTGGAGTGCTGAGAGAGAGTTGCATTGGCATCATTGGTGGCCTGCAGCTGACTCCTGGCCTGCAGCCACTGCATGTGCCGTTAAATTCAGTGGGGTGAGTGGTAGGTGGTGTCTCCCCTGTTAGGAGAACTCTGCGTGAATCATTCTGGGAATCATTCCTGGGGGTCCCTCTGGCACCCTCCTCCAGCCCATCTGGTGGTGCTATAGGCACCCTGTTCCATGGGTTAGATTGTTCTCTGCTAAAGGTGCCAAAGCACAGGCTTCTCTTTCTACAGTGAACCCTGACTGATGCAAATGTGTTGATTTCCCTAACCCACCTTGTACTCTCACCCCATCCCCAGAGGCAACGCTCCCTTCCAGTTGCCCCAGGGTCACTCTAAACCAGGGTCACCTGTGGACTGCAAGTCCCTAAGTGAGAAGTCCAATAAGTGGCATTATCTCTGGCTCCTTACAATCACAGAATCATTTTAGAGTAGGAGGCAGGGTCTTCATGGTACAGTGAATGTCAGGAGTCCCAGACCAAAGTTCCAAAGACTTTTGGTCGTACCCTGCTACCTGCCCTGCCAGCCATGTGACTTTGGGCAAGTTGCTTAACCTCTCTGAGCTTTGGCTACTGCTTCTGGAAACACTAATACCTGCCCAACCTACCTCCTCCATTGTTGTAAAGGTTAAATGAAGTTTTGGAGGTGAAGGCACTTTGGGAATTATAAAGTACTACGCAAATATAAGAGATTACCAGACTCTATCTTGAGATTGAGGGTGTCAACTATGACGTCATTTGGGTTAAGTTTGAAGGGTCTGGGAAAGGATGAAGCTCATGTCCTTTAAGGAATCAAGCTGGCCATTCTCTGAAGCATGTAGGAAAGGAAATCCTCCTCCTCCAGGGAGATGTTATTCAACACACCCAAAGAAAGTGTTCTTCACAGGTAAGGCAGCTGTTGGCTTAAATTAAGAACTTCGTTTCTGAAACGGAGATAAATAATTGGCATTTGGTGACGGGGGTGGGCGGTGGAAGAAAATCAATGGCCTGAGCCCCTCATTCAGATTGATGTACTGCGCATGGCTGGAGGGAGCTCACTGGGGCACTCTGTGGTGGCGCCCTGGGTGGCAAGCAAGTGACAGGCCACTAGCCAGGACCTGCCCATCAGTCCTATCATGCAAACAAACACCCTTCAAGAGGCTACTGAATTGCAAAGGGAGAACGGCTCGATGCTAATCAGAGCACAAAGAAGAAAATTAGAGGGTGCAAAAGTTGCTGTTTTCACAGAATTCCGTGGAGCTTTGAAAACGGAAAGGCTGTTTGTGTTCATAACCACCAGCCCTGTCTCCTTTGAAGTTCAGGCCCCGCCTTCCCCTGCTATGGCTGCCCTCCTTCTTGGCTCTTGAAAATGGCTATGATAGGTGTATTCTCTTCCCCAAAGAGTGGGGAATGTCAAATTACGTTATTATGTTTATTGTTCCAGAGTGCCTGCCGAGAGCAGTCATCTCCAATTTGGAAGAGAGTCTGCTGCACCTGAAGCTCTGTCTCCTCGCAGGTGGGAAGAGATGTTTCACATGCTAGTATTCTCCCTCTCCAGTGTGGATCCACCCCCGCCACCGCCCCAAACTTGTTACCCCTAACACATGCTACCATGCAGACCTTCCAGGCAGCATGGAAAATACCAGCGCCATCTTTCAGAAGGCCTCATCTCCACTTGCCAGGAGCCCCGACACCACCCTTGGAGACACGGCTTGTTCCAGGTAATCAGAGTCTTCTGGTTCAACAAGCAGAGGAGCTGGGATTTTCCATCCTAAAGAGGATGTGGCCGGGATGGAACTCCATCACCATCCTGAAGCCACAGCAGAGGTGGCAGGTAACAGACAGTCCAGAGCTGCTCACTGTCTTCATACATGACGTGAGGACGGTGGTTCCAGTGCGCCGCAAGGTGGGACTGAGGTTCAGAGTTGAGAGGAAACAATAGGAAGGGGCTGAGATGCTGCAACAGGTCACGGGCTGCTATTGTAAACACTTTTTTAAGGATAGGTTCAAATAAGAGCTTCTTGGCTTGGAGAACTGAGGGGAAGTATGACTAAGAAGTATTAGGTTGGTGCAAAACTAATTGCAGTTTTTGCCATTAAAAGTAATGACAAAAACTGCAATTTCTTTTGCACTAACCTAATATTCTGAGGACAAGAAGACATTTAATACCACATGACTTTTTTTAAGTAAGAGGTCTCATTTTCTAAATAACTTGAAAATAGAGGCTCTCCAAGGGTTCCGTTACAGGAGAGAATAATCAGAGGTGAAGAAAACCCATTTAGAGCTGACTCCCTTTCCCAGGGAATGAGCTTTTGGTCCTCATAGACTGGCATCCTGCAGACACGCAGAGAGAAAGAATAAAGCCTGCCTGTGCATTGTTTGTTTGTTTGTTTGTTTGTTTTGAAACAGAGCCTCACTTTATCGGCCAGGCTGGAGTGCAGTGGTGTGATCTCAGCTCACTGCAACCTCTGCCTCCCAGGTTCAAGTGATTCTCATGTCTCAGCTTCCCATAGCTGGGATTACAGGCATGCGTCCGTATCCCAAATTTTCATATTTTTATGAAATATGGTGTTTCACCATGTTGACCAGGCTGGTCTCGAACTCCTGACCTCAAGTGATCCACCTGCCTCAGCCTCCCAAAGTGCTGGGATTACAGATGCGAGCCACCATGCCCGCCCCCCCACCCCCCGTGCATTGTGCCTTTGCTCTGCACTAGGCACCCTATCAAAACTTGAAGATCCTGCCCTAACATAAGCCTCATAACGACTGTGAGGTGGGTATTATCTCCACTTTACAGGTAAATAAGATAAAAACAGAATAGTACTTTCCCACCCAGGATCACATAGCCAGGAAGCAGGGGAGTCAGAATTTGACCCCAAGCTGTGTTCTTAACTCTTCCTGCATGTAAAACATTCCTCTCCTTACTAAGTGTGACCTGCAGAAAAGTCACCACATTTCTCAGAGCCCCAGTTTCCTCTCTATAAAATGGGAGCATCAACACCTACCTCTCCTTCTGTGGTTTGGATATAATATACATGAAGTACCTAGCATAGGTGACTGACAGATAGAAAGTATTTACTTAATGGCGACTCTTTTTGAGAACAGAAATGACCATGAGCCCATTATCTGCCCCCTCCCACCCTCACGGATCTGCTTATCTTCCTTGGTCCTCCGTCTCACTGAAGGCAAGCATGTATTTGGCTCTGTTTACCTTTCCCTCTCTCCTGTGACTGGTGGCAAACATGAAGATCCCCCAAGAGCCAGCTGCCAGCCAGAAGCCTGCCTTCTTACATGACCCCATGGCAGCAGGGCCTGAGAGCACTGGTCTTGGGTGGGATGGGGTTCAGAGCAACTCAGGGCTCAGGGATAGGGTAGCAGCGCTCCTTGTCAGGGCCTGGGGCCAGGGGTGCATGGGCATCAACAGGACCCAGTGTGAAGTGGAAGGTGCTAGGATCAATGCTCTAAAATCCTCTTTGCAAACAGATACTCCTCTGTTACTTGCAGTTTGTCCTCAGTTTATAATCAGGAAAACCTGTTGATTGCAATGACTGTAGCTCCAATCATATATTCATCAGGATGTCATTAGTTCTTTTCTCCTAAAGCCCCAGAGCTGCATCCCCCTACCCTCCCTGATGCCCTAGAAAGAGGAGTGCTAGCCCAGCGGGACATCCAGTTGCCCACCACCTCCTCCAGCAGCTCCCGGCCCTGTGGGTGGCCACATGCCAGCCAAGCACTGGGCTTCTGTGACCTGAAGCTGCTGGATGACTTATTTCCTTTTAATAAGACTCCTAATTTGATCTCAATTTCAAAAAGGCAAAATGATGAAGGAGTTCTCCCTGGAGACATTCTGCCCTGTGGTCTGATTTTGCCCTGGGGCTGGATCAGGCTTTCTTGGCTGCTCTGAGGCTCAGCCCTGGCTTAGGTAGGAGGGAGCCTTAGGGTGCTGGCAAAGCAGGGAACAGTGGGCTGCCGATTACCTCTGCCAGCCACCCCAGCCTCAGATCTCCCCAGTTCTGGAGCAGGGCTCCTGTCACCAGCGGGTTGGAAGGAACTGCTTTAAATGAGGGTGGCTGCCTGCCAGATGTGCTGATTCAGCTCAGCCTGAGCATCACTCCATTGTCACATCTGTCCCCAACTTTATGTTTGGGCTTCTTATCTTCAGCAGCTCTGGATGCTCATTTAGATCCCTCAACTCCCCTCGGGCAACAAGCACACACATACACACACCCCCACACACACGGAATTCATCTCGCTGCTGCTGGGAGATGAATTTGCACATTAAAATAGGTGAGTTAACGTGCAAGGTGATTTACACTAGATCAAAGGCACAGCAAGATAGTGAGAATTATTGGAACAAGAGGCTGAAGAAAAGGCTCCTAGAATGTCCAAGCTGAAAAGTATTCAGGGATCATCTAATCCTCTACAGTCATCCCTTTGTATCCACCAGGGATTGATACCACAGATACCAAAGCCCTGGGATGCTCAGGTCCCCTATATGAAATGCATCATATTTGCATATAACCTACATACATTCTCATATACTTTAAATCATCTCTAGATTGCTTATAATACCTAACACAATGTAAATTCTATGTAAATAGTGGATATACTGTATTTCTTAAAATTTGTATTATTTTTTATTGTTGGAGTGTTATTTTTATTGTTTTTTCCCCAAATATTTTTGATCTGCAGTTGGTTGAATCTGCAAATTTGGAACCCGAGGGTACAGAGGGCTGACTGTATCTGCTTTGTTGGAGTCCATCTGATTCATTGTCTAAATACAATTAATTGCTCCAAAATGGCTAGTCCATGCCCCCTTATTTTATAAATAAGGAATCTGAGACTCAGAAAGGCCAAGTGAAGTATCTTCAATGTTCTTACCTTTGTTCAAGAACCCTCTGAACTAATGGTCCAGAGTGGGGTAGGGACTCCAACAAGACCCGGAGAGGCAGGAAGCTCAGTGGTGGGAGTGCAGGCTCAAAGTCCTCCTCCACCTTGCTTTAAATTTCATAACCTCGCTTTAAGTTTTAAGTTTCATAACCTTAGTGAGTGGCTTAGCCCCTCGATTGCCTTGTCTGTAAAAGGCAATAGGGGAGATATGATACCCACTTCTTAGGTTTGTTGTGGGGATTAAATGAGATGATTTCTATAAAGCTCTCATCACCGTACTTGGCACATGGAAGCCCTGAGGAGATGGGCACTCCTGTTGTGGTCATGTTGGTTGAGCATACTTCCATAGATGGCCCCACCCGGCCATCCCTATATGCTCTTTTCTGGGGTTCTTAAATGTGAGGATTTTTATCAGGGTTGGAAGGGTTTCTATGTGACTCTACCCTAAAGGTGGGGGATAAAGAAGTAGGCCTCCAAATGGCAGGCTGAGCTGGCAAGGAGGGCCGAGAGAATCTAGATGGAACACAGGGCAGGCACAGGAAGAGCATGAAGGATTGAAATGTACATTCTGTGGTATTAGGCATTGCTGAATTCTGCACTGTATCATCAACATCAGGGGAAAATAAGAAAAAGACAGGTGCTGGATTTAGTTAACTTGACTTATTGCCATAGCCTCCTTGCTGATCTCCCCATCTCACTCCACCTTCTAAGCCATCATGCACACTGCAGCCAGGAGAATCCTCTGAAACATCACTTTCATTATGCTGTACGCCTTCCCAGGCACCTTCTCACAACTGTCTACAAGATAAAGGGCAAACTCATTTGCTTAGTGTGTGTGCATACGTGCATGCGTGTCTGTAGGGGGAGTAAGACCACAGAGCTTTTTAAATTCTCTGAAGTTTTACTGATAAAGCACTCACATTATTGTACTTTAACTATTGTAGGCTATAGATGCATTCCGTATACTGCATATGAGTAAGAGCTATGATTCATAAGTTTTAGGTATAATTTAAAATAAGCATATCTATTATTATCCCTCAAATTATTTTTCTTTATAAATAATAGTGATAAAATTCTACATGGCCTTTGCACATAAACCATCCAACGTAATCTGAGCAAGCCTTAAAGTAGGCTTGGTTTTAGGGTCATGTTCTTGTTCCCAGTTAGGCCAGCCAATGTTGGGCATCAACCCTGGGTGTCATTGCTCACTATGGTGTTCCAGCATCTCAGGGAAGCCTGAGCAATGTTTGTTGAAGGGCAGCTCCCCACCATACCATCTCTCCTCTTAGGCCAGCTTCCCAATGGGTGTCTGCAGGCATTCCACTCACTCCTATATCCTCTGTTTCAAAGACCTTCTCCTTTCCTCTCTTCCAATCTTACACATCCACAAAGCCCCAACATAATAAAAATGATAGGTATCTCCTGTTAAATACTTGACTGGTTTCAGATCTGTCTAATGAAACGGGTTCTATCATTATTCTCCCTTTACAGATGAGGAAACTGAGGTGCAAAGCAGTTAAGCAACTGGTCCAAGATCTAGACCAGGTACTCAACCACCCCACTCCACATGCAACTGTCCCCAACCCATGCGATTCATCCTTTCCCTGAAGGCTTGTGTGGTGCTGCCTTTTAAATTCATAACATAATGACTTCATTGTTATGAAATTCTTTTCTGTGTCTTTATTTTTTCTCTCCAACTAGAATTTAAATTCATTAAGGATTTAGAAGATTCATTCTCCTGTGAGAAGTCTTATAGACAAGAAAAAGAGAATTAGGCATAGACAGAAGGGTTGTAATCACCCTTCTCTGAGCATGTGTCATTATGGAGGACAGGACCTTGAATTTGGGCTTGGCTCTGTCTTCGAGAGTATGTGGGTGAGTCACTAGTAGTGAACATGACTTCCCATTCTGTCGTGGCATTATTTCCAAACTCATGGCCAGACACAACTTGGCTCTCCCATTCCTCAGGGAAGTATGTGGCTGCCACCACAATTCTCCCTCTCCACATGGGCAAATGTAGGCCGAAAGACCATCCTTCAAAGGTCTCAGAGAATCCTGGTGTTTTAGGCCAAGCCTCAGCCCTGCAGTGTGTCTCTTGTCCATGATAATAATAGCCTCACACAGGGAAGTGCTTTTATCTTCTTCAAAGGCCTTTCATGTCAGAGATTTCATTTCATCTGCACAACATCCCTGTGAGGTAGGTATTATTATTTCCCATTTGAAGCTAAGGGAAGACAGGCCCGGAGATCCAATATCTTGTCCAGAATTTCCTAAGGCTGAGCCAGTGCCAAAATCCAGCCTTTACCTTGAACCTCTCTGCCCGCTGCCTGGCCCTGTCTCTCCTTTCATTAATTTTCTGGTCCAAACTGCAACACAGTCAACTAGCTAGTTCTTTTCACCTGCTCCCTGAGTGCGAAGGGGAAAATGAAACTAACCCATTTAAGGTTTTATCAGAAAGCCTCGTTAATCCACCCGCAGTCTGTTAGATAACAGCTTAAATCTCTCCACTGCAAAGGATTACCTTCCCATCTGATCAGGCACAACACATTAGAGGAGGCGTGGGGTGGGCATGAGCGTGTGGAGGCCACGGCGCTTTCTCTGCAAAAATGGAGATATTCAAACTTCCGGATCTGCTGTCCTCCCCCAGATGGGCTAGGAGCCCAGCATCTGCCTGTACATCAAGCAGCTCCTCCGTGAAGTTACTTGAATGACAGCGTGTTCCTGAAAAGCTCCTCACTCACTCATTCATTCAATATATATTTGTCAGGCACCTACTATGTGCCAAGTATTGTGCTAGAAAGTACAAAATGACATTGGGAAAAATGAGTCCTATTTTTCTCATCCACATGTATTATTATTCTAGCAGGGCATTGTCAAGGTGAAAATAACTCAGACACATACAAAAACTCCCCTTAGTGCTGTCAGGGCCTTAGAACCTGAACCATGCACCCCATAGCAGGTATCACAGAAATAGCCACTGAGAATAGAGGGAAGGGCCTGGCTGGCCTGGAAGAATCTCCACGTCTTAACCCTTGGATAACAGGAGTTATCACTCCAAAGTTCAGAGGTTCAAAGTTCAGACTTCTGTCGGTCTGCTCTCGGTCATTTATAAATGAAGGGATCTGGGCTGATTAAAGCAAATTCGCTCCTATGTGGTCTTTCTTTCCATTAGACCCAGCTGCGACTTGCTCTTCAGGGGCAGGTTGGAAGTACATCAGGATAAATTTGGTCTGCCCTATTTACCCCATCAGGAGGCGGAGCGACCCCCTCTGAGCACCAGCGAACAACCTCTGACAACTAGGGCTAGATGGACCTGGCCTCATCTTTCCCTTAGATGTTCTCTGTGCTCACCCTTCTCCACGAAACCGCAATCCGTTTGGGATCCCTAGTTCTGGCTGAACCACACCTCTGAGGCTCTGGATCACTAAAAGAACAACAAAGAAATACGTGCTTTTTGTTTGTTTGTTTGTTTATTCATTAGAACTAGTGGAATCATACAAAATTCACGTCAGGAATTAAAGTAGGTGTGCTGTTTTTGAAATGAGGACATTCCAAATAGTGAAGCTGTTTGCTGCTGTAACCGAAGTCATTGAAAAAAGAAAATCACAAGTGGAAGGCCAGAAGGCCCCCAGTGGGTTTTTTTCTGAGGGCACTCAGAAGCAGTGTGAACTAAGAGTGGGGCTTCCAGCTTTGGCCTTGCCAGGGGTGTGACCTCAGACAATCAGCTCACTTCTTTGGTTCTGGGCCTTCGACTTGTTCTTTCCTTGTAGATAAGACAATGGGTATTTGCTTGCCCATTGCCCACTCTCCCGATTTTTCTTAGGAACCACCTCACCCCAGGCTTAGACCACATGATTTAAGTGGACCCGATGCTAGCTAGCCCTGCTTCCAGGGGTGCACAGGGATTCGGACTCAGCCAATTACACCATTGCACATCTCTCTCATTACACTGATTGGGTCAGAGATGGTCATGTGACCGGAAAAGTACCAATCAGAGGTCAGCTGAGAGTTTTGCAGGCTTAAAGGAGAAAGGAACTCTTTCTTACTGAGTCTGCTCAGAAGATAGGGTGAGCATTTGGAGCTGCAGTGATGATATACCATCCTCGAGAGGCCATTCACTGAGAATGGAGTCAACACAAGAGGAAGGCAGGACCAAGAGATGAAGTTGAGGAGAGCCCTGACATCACTGCTGGGGCCCTCAGATCCCGCTATGCCTGGGCTGTCACTGGGCTTTTTAGTTATGTGAGATAGTAAATTCCCTTCTTGCTTAAGCTACTTTGAGTTGTCACCATTACCAAAAGATCCCTTATCAATACCCCCTCTGCGTGATTCCCCTCGTCCCTTTTATCTTGCCTAAGTTCTATTCACCCGTTGTGAAAGTTGCAGATACCAGGACAAAATCACTTTTGTCAGAACCAAATTGGAGGTGGGAAAGCAGGAAGGAGAAGGACCCACGCTTGCTTGAGATAAGAGTGTTTCAAGGACTTTCTAAAATAAGCCCCTAAGAAATTCCTTCACGTCCTTCACACATCTCATGCTTTTCGTGATCTATATTTTATACATAGGCACATATTTCTAGGACCAGGTTTATCACTAGACATTCTTTAGGACTACAGCAATTCAGAAAAGATACTCTCAAAAGACTACTTGCCTAGTAACAGCATCTCCACCAATGAACTGACGCCAATTCTGGCTTTGAGTCTCCAGAGCCAATGAACTCTGTTTCTAAGCAGCTTATGTGAACTTCTCCTTTTGCCAATAAAAGCTTCCCCTCACCCTCCCCTCTTCGGGTGCATCTGTTGCTTGCTATAGCTGTGCATCCTAGATTATAATCCTTTTGCTTACTCACAAATAAGATCATTAAATTAGGAGATATATTTCTCTGATGTCTTTTTTTTTTTTAGGCTGACACCTTAAGGTATCAGTTAAAATGTTAAGTGCTCCTGCCCTATTTCCCCCATCTCCTTTCTTTCCCCAACATAATACCTTAATAGATACATATTATTCTGACATACTGTTTAACTTGCTTCTCATGATATATGATTTATTGTTTGCATTCTGCTCCCTTTTCCCACTAGAATGTGAACTTCGTAATTTTTGTTGGTTCTGATCCCTGATGTGTCCAAATACCTAGAAAAGTGCTGATACATAATAGGTGCTCAATAAATATTTGTTGCCTGAATGATGAAATTTAGCAGGAGAAGGCATTAGGGGACTTTCACTAGGGCCAGCCTGGGGTGAAGCCTGGTTACTCTAACTTTAGACTCTCCACAGCTCCCCAGCCCCTACTGGTGATAATGGTTTAAGCTAAAATACTACAGTAAACACTAGCTTCTGTTTACTAGTTTCCACTATGTACCAGGCATTGGGATAAGTGCTGGGCACACACAGAGGGATAGGACCTTCTCTTCTCTCGAGGAACTCCCAGTCAAAAGGGAGCCAAAGGACAACACACTAGAGGGTCACATACCCTTGGGCTTAGTGAATGTTTGTGATACAAAGCTAGGACATCTGGCCCAGCATGAGGCACTGGGGTAGAAATCTTCCTGGAAGAGGTGATGTCTGAGCTGTCCCTTTCCTACATTGGAAGAAAGACATGGCAAATACGAGTGTGGGTTGTGGGTAGGGAGAGAGGATGAGGAGAAATGAATGAAACTGAGACTATATCAAAGGCTGGGGCAGGAAAATTTGCTGTGATTCTCACCCTCACTTTCCTTATCTGAGCTGACCGAAGACATCCCCACAAATTCCTTTATCCACTCTCTGCCACCAAAACACACTCTCATTCACCTACCCAAGTAGATAAGGTCCTCTGCTCCTTTGAATTTCAAGGCAAAAAGACTCTTAGCAGGCCTTCTTTGGTTATCTGTTCTCACATCACTTGATGCCATCATCTGGAAATACCTGTAGGCTTGTGTCTAGACCAGTCTTTGTTTCTATGAAAAGCCAGCCCTTGCACCTGTGGCTAGCACCAGGTGCCTGCCACCACTGTATACCTGGAAAGGGGCATTGCTTCAGCTCTCATCTTCAGTCACTTGCCTTCTCCACTCCCAATTGCTCCTGATTCGTGCTCCCGGGGCCAACTATCGGTTCCTTTCTCTTCTAGATCATCCTGAGTAATTCCCCCAGGAGAGAGAGGATAGCTCAGAGCTGGATGGAATCTGAAAGGCATTCTTTTCCCAGTCTGAAACTCCATCTGCTTGACACTCTATGTGCCAAGTTTCCATATTCAATGCAAATTTACCAGCACATACATAGTTTTCCTGTTACTGGTTAAAAAGCGTTTTGACAGTCCCAGGGACACATTGCTTTCTTTCCAACCAAAACTGTAGAGACAAAGACACATTTCCACTGCAACTAAGTAATCCCGAAGTTTCTCCATAAGCCAAATTTGATTGAGCTAATACTGACCTTTCCACAGGCACAGCTTCCAAAGATATCTTTTTGCTGCAGGCAAAGTCCTGATGAGCATATTAGTCAAAGCTCCACCTCTTCAGTACCAGCACACCCACCCTCTCTTTTCTCTTCCTTTCAGGTTGAAGGAGAACAGGGAGTGTCTCTAAATTTCCACAGCTGATTTTTCTCCCCCCAGGAGGTCCTATTGTTCAGGCCTGGCCTGGGGAGCACGTGACACCCCACCCCACCGCCAGCAATGGATAAGCCTCAGGCTCAGAGTCCTGTATTTGATTTGATCAAGGCTATTCTGGCCATATGTTAAGAGCAATGTACCTTGGCAGGAAGCAAGCCAGGTTTAAGTCCTGGGCCACTGAATTGCCAACTGCGTGACCCAAGGCTCCTCTAAACCTGCAAAAATGGAAATAATAATAGTACCAAACTCAGAGGGTTGTCAAGAAAATTAAATGAGATAATGCAAGTTGAGCACTTGGGATGGAGTGTCTGGTTTGAAGCAAAGGCTGGCTAAATGACCATCTGATTATTGCTTTGGCCCCTGAAGCCTCGCCATCAATTTGTTCTCTCATTCATCAGAACAGCCCTTTGCTTGGAAAACCATACTTATAAAAATATGAAGCATCGTAAATGATCATAAGGAAACCGACCGGGGGAAGGTAGCAATGATGGGAATCTCTAAGGATCTCTCCCAGGAGAATCTGCCTAGGGGTTTTAGTGGCCTGACCCTGGGGAGGCAGGTTGGAGAAAACTGTAAAGGAAAAGCCTGGTCTGCTACAAAATGACTCAGAACCTACTCAGACTAGAGAAGTCTCTGAAAAAAGGCTAGAAATCAACCTTCACCCCGGGAGATTCACCTTCCTGTTCATTCATCCATTCATTCATTCATTCATTCATTCATTCATTCATTCATTCATTCATCAAATGTTAAATGAGCTCCCTCCTACATGGCCAAGTACTGAGGATAGAGCAGAGAACAAGATTCCTGTCCAGGAGCCCATATTCTATTGGTCTATTTAAGTTTCTTTGACTTTTAAGAATTGTATTCTTCACAACCACCTATACCACATAGTGAAACAAACAAACAAAATATTTTCTTCTTTTTCAACTTGTATTTTAGATTCAGTGGGTGCATGTGCAGGTTTGTTGCATGGGTATATTGTGTGATGCTGAGGTTTGGGGTATGAATGATCCTATCACCCAGGGAGCAAGCAAACAAGCATAGCACCCGACAGGTAGTTTTTCAACCCTTGCCCCCTCCCTTCTCCACCCCCAGTAGTTCCCAGTGTCTGTTATTCCCATCTTTCTGTCTATGTATACCTAAGGTTTGGCTTCCACTTACAAGTGAGAACATGTGGTATTTGGTTTTCTGTTTCTGTGTTAATTCACCACTTAGGATAATGGCCTCCAGCTGCATCTGTGTTGTTGCAAAGGACATGATTTCATTCTTTTTTATGGCTGCATAGTAGTCCATGGTGTATATGTACCACATTTTCTTTATCCAATCCACCATTGATGGGCTCCTAGGTTGATTCCATGTCTTTGCCATTGTGAACAGTGCTGTGATGAACATATGAATGCACATGTCTTTTTGGTAGCAAGATTTATTTTATGCCTAGTAATAGGATTGCTGGGTTGAATGTTAATTCTAAGTTTTTTGGGAAATATTCAGCTTGCTTTCACAGTGACTGAACTAATTTGCACTACCACAAACAGTGTATAAGTGTTCCCTTTTCTCCACAGCCTCACCAGCATTTGTTATTTTTTGTTTTTTTTTTAAATAATAGCCATTATTAAAATGGTTGCTGCAAAACAGTAACTCATTGTGATTTTGATTTGCATTTCTCTAATGATTACTGATGTTGAGCACTTTTTCATATATGTGTTGGCCGCAGGTATGTCCTCTTTTGAGATGTTCTGTTCATGTCCTTTGCCCACTTTTTATTTTTTATTTTATGTTTCCATAGGTTATTGGGGTACAGGTAGCATTTGGTTACATAAGTAAGTTCTTTGGTAGTGATTTGTGAGATTTTGGTGCACCCATCACCTGAGCAGTATATACTGCCCCCTATTTGTAATCTCTTATCCCTTGTCCTCCTCCCACCCTTCCCCCCAAGTCCCCAAAGTCCATGGTATGGTTCTTATGCCTTTGTGTCCTCATAGCTTAGCTCCCACATATCAGTGATAACAAACAACATTTAGTTTTCCATTACTGAGATACTTCACTTAGAATAGTAGTCTCCAATCTCATCCAGGTCCATGAAAATGCTGTTAATTCATTCCTTTTTATGGCTGAGTAGTATTCCATCATATATATGTATATCTCACAGTTTCCTTTTCCACTAGTTGATTGATAGGCATTTTGGTTGGTTCCACAATTTTGCAATTGAGAATTGTACTGCTGTAAATGTGTGTGCAAGTATCTTTTTCATATAATGACTTCTTTTCCTCTGGGTAGATACCTAGTAGTGGGATTGCTTGATCAAATGGTAGTTCTACTTTTAGTTCTTTAAGGAATCTCCACACTGTTTTCCATAGTGGCCATATAGTTTACATTCCCACCAGCAGTGTAGAAGTGTTCCTGCATCCACACCTGATCACTGCATCCACACCAACATCTACTGTTTTTTGGTTTTTGATTATGGCCATTCTTGCAGGAGTAAGGTGGTATGGGTTTGATTTGCATTTCCCTGAGTGATGTTGAGCATTTTTTCATATGTTTGTTGACCTTTGCCCACTTTTTTTTTTTTTTTTTTGAGACGAACTCTCGCTCTGTTGCCCAAGCTGGAGTGCAGTGGTACAATCTCGGCTCACTGCAACCTCCATCTGCCAGGTTCAAGCAATTCTCCTGCCTCAGCCTCCCAAGTAGCTGGGACTACAGGTGCGCACCACTATGCACAGCTAATTTTTGTATTTTTAGGAGAGACAGGGTTTCATTATGTTGGCCAGGCTGGTCTTGAACTCCTGACCTCATGATCCACCCGCCTTAGCCTCCCAAAGTACTGGAATTACAGGCGTGAGCCACCATGCCGGCCTCCTTTGCCCACTTTTTAATGGAGTTATTTGAAGGCATCGTACTACCTGACTTCCGACTATACTACAAGCCTGCAGTAACCAAAACAGCATGGTACTAGCACAAAAACAGTCACATAGACCAATGGAAAAGGATAGCAAACCCAAAATAAAGCTGCACACCTAACAACCATCTGATCTTTGACAGTCAACAATCACAAGCAATGGGGAAAGGACTCCCTATTCAATAAATGGGATAACTAGCTATCCATATGTAGGAGAATGAAACTGGACCCCTACCTATCTCAATATATAAAAATTAACTTAAAATGGATTAAAGATTTAAATGTAAGACCTAAAACTATAAATATCATAGAAAACCTAGGAAAATACCATTCTGGACATTGGCCTTGGCAGAGACTTTATGACTAAGTCCCCCAACAAAACAAAAACAATTGCAAAAAAAACCAAAAGTTGACAAGTGGGACCCAATCAAACTGAAGTGCTTTTGCATAGCAAAAGAAACTATCAACAGAGTAAACAGACAACCTTGGAATAAGAGAAAATATTTGCAAACTAGGCATCCAGCAAAAGTCTAATATCCAGAATCCACAAGGCACTTAAATAATTCCCATGCAAAATCTTTTCTTGGTTTCTTTTAGTGTACCCAAAGTGGTCTGGCTAACTCTTCATCCCTAAAAGAGAAAAGGAGGAAGGAAGGGAGGGAGGGAAGGAGGGAGGGAGGAAGGAAAGGAAGGAAAGAAGGAAGGAAGGAAGGAAGGAAGGAAGGAAGGAAGGAAGGAAACTTACTCTACATGAATAGTAAGGAAAATAGAAAAAAAAAAAAGAAGTTATAAGAAGCATGACACTAGTCACATTTTAGAAGTCCCTTTCTTTACCTGCAGAGCCAGCAAGCTTTCAGAGTTCCCAAGAAAACCACCTTTTAGTGTTTAAGTCCTTCCCTAGTCCTAGCTTTCCTTCACTCCCCCCTATCCAGGAAGGGCCCAGAGGAGAGCAGAAGGATAGATTTATGGCCAGATCACCAAGGTTGACATAAGGAGGGCATTTTCCCTTTAGAGTCCTGGTAATAGGGACTCAATCTCCCTGGACTGACTCTTTGTTAAATTAAAAAGGGTTAAGTTTAGCATTCCTAGTCTCTTGGACACTGCCAGAGAAGGTATTGACCATGACATCTTGGGCATGCTCTGAGGCTGTTAAGGCCCCATGTTGGAATGATGTTTCTCTGAAGCCCTGGCCACAGCCAAGCATTTCTTCTAAACTGCTTGAGATGGCAGGATGCTTGAGACATCTGTTTGTTATTTTTATATGGACCCAGCCCAGAATCACAATCACCCAAGACCATAAAGAACCTGTGGCCATGATTTTGACAATGAGAACCATGGTTCATGAAACTCAGGGCTTCCATTTTTGGCTTCTTGACACTCAAGGTAGTTTTTCATCAAAAAGCCCTTCAAAAGAGAGACTGGTTTCCTTATTAGGAAGGAAAATCTATACTCTGCCAACTCCAGAAATTGAGTCTTAGAAGGAACTAGTTCGCTCCCTCTCTCCATCGTCTCCAGCCTCAGACATTTAACACAGTGGCCTTTCTCTTTCTCCTTGGGGTTTCTACGTGTCCACAGGGGGCCAGCTGTGTTCCTTAAGGCATTCTGTGGTAAATGTTAGATTACTGCCTTTCTCCTATTATGGGAATATTTTCCTTCCAAGAATATAACATTACCTAGTAATAAGGACAAGAACGAGAAATAGAAGGGGGAAGGAGAAGTAGGAGGAGGAAAAGGAGGAGGAGGAAAAGGAGGAGGAGGAAGAAGAGAAGAAGGGGGCTTTATTTGTATTTTTTAAATGTTCTGCTTGGAGATAATTACAGATAAGCACACAATTTTAAGAACTTATGCAGAGATACCCTCACCCAGTTTCCCCCAAAGGTAACATCTTATGTCACTATAGCACAACATTACAACCAGGAAATCAGTGATACAATCCATAGTCCTTACACAGGTGCCGTCAGTTTTACATGCACTCATTTGTGTGTGTGTGTGCATCTGTGTGTGCATTTAATTTGATGGAATTTTGTCACATGCATTGATTCATGTGGCCACCACCACAGTTAAGATACAGAATAGTTTCATCACAAGGTTCCTTTGCACTAACCTTTTACAGCTACACCCACCTGCCTCTCCCCCAATCTCACCTCTGACAACCACTAATCTGTTCTCCATCTCTATAATTTTGTCATTTTAAGAATGCAATATAAATGGAGTCATACAGTATGTAACCTTTTATGATTGGCTTTGTTCACTCAATAGAATTCTCTGGGGCCTCATCCAAGTGGCTGTGTATATCAGTAGTTGCTGAGTCCTATTCCATAATACAGCACTATGGTGTGTTTAGCCATTCATTGGTTGAAGGACATCTGAGCGGTTTCCAGATTTTAGCTATTGCAAATAAAGCTGCAATGAGCATTCATATACAGATTTTTGTGTGAACACTGTTTTCATTTCTCTGGGATAGATTCCCAAGAGTGCAATTGCTGGGTTGTATGGTAATCATATGTTTAGTCTTATAAGAAATGGCCAAATTCTTTTCTAGAATTGCCATACCATTTTACATTTCCACCAGCGTATGAGTGATCCCATTACTCTACATCCTCATCAGCATTTGGCGTTGCCACTATCTTTTCAGTTTTATTTTTAGCCATTCTGATAGGTAGTTAGTGATATCTTACTTGCATTGCTTAGTGGCTCATGATATTAAACATTTTTTCAAGAACTTATTTGTCATCTGTATATTCTCTTCAGAGAAATGTATTTTCCCATTTTCTAATTTGATGCTTTTTTAGCATTGAGTTTGAAGACCTCCTTATATACTCTATGAACCAGCACTTTGTCAAATATGTGCTTTACAAACATTTTCTCCCCATCTGCACTCTTCTCTTCACCTTCACCAGGTCTTTCACTGAGTGAGAGTTTTTCATTTTGATGAGGTTCAGTTTATCAATTTTCCCTTTTATGGATTGTGCCTGTGGGATTCGGCCTAAGAACTTTTCATCTAATCCTAGGTCCAGAATATTTTCTCCTTTTTTTTTCCTAAAATTTTTATAAGTTTACATTTAATATTTAAGTCCATGATTCATTTTGAGTTAATTTTTCAGGTGTGAAGTATCAGCTGGTTCATATTTTTTGCCTAGGAGTATTCCTAGTATATACCTAAGGAATGTAACCTTTAAAAATATACCTAGTATTTAGATATATTTTATGGATGATAATCATAATAACCATTCCAAAAGGTTGCTGTAAGAATTATAACCTTTAAAAATATCCTAGGTATATTAAACTAATATGATATTATATTGTATTTTTATGTTATATTAGTATAATATTATACTAATATACTAGGTATATTTTTAAAGGTTATAATTCTTATAGCAATGTTTTGGAATGGTTATTATGATTATCATCTATTTTACAGATGGAGAAACCCAGAAAGATTTGATAATGTGACCAAGGTTAAACAAATGCTAAGTGATAGAAAGAAGCCAGGGTTTAAATGCGGGTCTGACTGACTGACTCACTCCCACATTTAAACCCTGTTCCTATTGCCTCATTCAATCCCTTTCACTCTGGGAGTCCTGCTTCCTGAACAGATGTTCCACTTTCCTGCATACATTCCTTTATCCTGACCAACCTCAGTACACAAGCTACCAGAGGCTGGGGCCTGCCAGAACCTGTCCAGGGTTCTCCGTGACATGTTTGCAGGGTGGAGAACAGGGGCAGACTGGGAAACTTCCCTATATGCAAATAGCTTGTCATTCCGGTTTGGGGAAAGGCTCACATCAGATTTCAGCATCTTCTAAAGTATTGCAGAGCTCCTGTACCAGCTCACTTGTCTGGGAGGAGCAGGCTAAAAATCTTAGGTTCCCCAAAGACAATCACACATACACACAAAATTCATTTAATAACTCCAAATCCAGAACACTTCCATCTTCAATCTGCCCAAACAAAATGCACTGATAGAGGTTAGTTGGAAGGACTCAGAGCATTTTGGGGTAAAACTTCTATAGCTAGAACCTGTTCCTTGCCCCTTCTGGTGGGTGGGGGTCATAATTGGACTATAACCACTTCATTATCCATTCCCATTTGTAGGTAGATATGGGTAAAGGTAGAGTTTCCCTCCCAACCCCCCAGCTCTCTCCCCTCCACACACTGGCTGCTGACTTCCCAACCAGCCAGGACCTAGGGACTTCTGCACTCAGACCACTGGAAAGAAACCAGCAGCCTCTGAGTTGACTTTACTCTTTTGCAAATCCCTATACCTCACCCCACTTTTAATGAGAGATCCAGGAGTTCTTTGCCTCTGTGACCTTATACTCAGAAAGGGTCCCTCCACTTACAACTTCTCCCAGAGCTTATCCAAAGACTACTAGGCCTTTGCCCTAGCCCATGTTAGACAGCTGTAAGGAGCAGGACAAGCCCAGTCAAATGATCCAGTCCCTCTGGGTCAATGAATGTATCTATTTTGACTGACTCCTCAGAAGCCTCAGGGGTGCTTGAACCCACAGCAGAGAGTTTCAACAGGTGGGTCAGCAGTAATACGCCCTGACCCTGCAGTTCCTCCACCTCCACCCCTGTGAGAAATTCAGAGGTATTTTGTTCGGGATTCTGGCAACATGCCTTGAGCCCTGGGTGTCCCCTCTTCTAGGAATGATGCTTTCTTCAGTATTCCTGTGACAGTCTCTGCAGGCAGACAATGGCAGCTTCTGGTTACTTCCTCTCCCTGGAGAGCCACTTCAGGTATAAGTGGATCAAGGGGAACTGCTGAAATGACTCAGGCCATTCACCCTTGGTATTTCCTCCAGGAGCTGAGATAGGTCTCGCTGAATGTCAAAGATCGGGCCTCAGTCAAACTTCCGCAGAGCTGGGTGGCTGGTCACCTTCCCAGTCTCCATGTTCACCCTCCCAGTAGAAGGTATGAAACATCCTCTTGACCTCCTGGTCTCCCTGATGACAATGTCCTTTATCACCTTCCAAACTTCTCTGGCAGAGGCTTTAAACTTGGGCAGGCAGGGCTACTCCAGAGACAATGGGTTCTGTTATGCCCTGTCTTGCTCCAGCCAAAGCAAGCTGGGGGCCTCCCTCTGACATATGTTTGGGGGATACGTCCTGCTCCTGATGCAGTTTCCATCATCTCCACCCTCTTCCAGGGAGCATGACTCTCTCTCTTCCTTTTTTGTATTCATAAAAGGCTACTCCCTGATCCTCCCCTGGCCAACCATTTCCATAGAAACTAAGAGACTTGAGTTTGAATATCAACTACCACTTACTAGCTATGTGTCCATTGATTACTTATTGTCTTGAAGCCAGTTTCCTCATCTGTGAATAGAAGATGTTGACCTCATAACATTGTTGCAAGATAAACAGGATAATATATGTAAAGCAATGCAGTAACTGAAATAGTCACTGATCCTGGAACAAAGTGAGTGTTCAATTAGTAGTGGCTATCACTAGTTTCTATGACAACTGTCTCCAGGCCCAATCTTTGATCCTTAATCTGCTTGCCAGAATTCATCCTGGAAGTTGCAGGTAAGTTGTTACAGAGGGAGCAAGTTCTCCAGCTTCCACAGGGAGTCTCTGTTTGCCTATCATGCCTACACTGTTCCCTGGGAGTCTGGTGGGCTT
This sequence comes from Homo sapiens, assembly GCF_000001405.40. NCBI lineage: Eukaryota > Metazoa > Chordata > Mammalia > Primates > Hominidae > Homo > Homo sapiens. The sequence goes on from NC_000011.10 coordinate 113,386,746, forward strand.
GTGGCATGGACGAGGGGCTCTGCAGGTTTGGGCTGAAGGCAAGGCACTTCCTTGTCTGGTAGGTAGGCTCCTCAAACCTAACAGTGATCACTCTGAGGGCTCCTTGTGGACTTACTCAGCTGTAGGCAAATAGTGGCTGACTCTGCACTCCGTGGCCACAGTTCCTCCAGGTATGCCTGTCTCTGGGCAATGGCCCACTTGGTCAGTGCCCCTGGGGAGACCTGTCTGTTCAAGCACTTGTCATTTTCCCTGCTCTGAGGGTCTCCAAGGTGAGAGGGCAATCCCATGGACCCAGGACCCAGGGGAACCTCCAAGCTCAGCACTGGTCAGGCTCCAGCTAGAGCCTCCTCTCATCCCTGGCAACAAACTGCCCCTAGTAACTGCGCCAAGGAGGCCACCTCCCCCGTGGCCACCCCGAGGCTGGGGTCCATCCCTCTGAGGTTGGATAGAGCGCAGCCCAGGAAGGGAGTCCCCTGCAGACAGGAGCCCAGCCTCCCCCGCAACTCTGTCCCTGCTGACCCCTCCTTGGTAACCTATAGCACACCAAGGCTGGCTAACAAACAAACAAACAAAACCCCAACAAGAACAAAGGAAACATGAAACCAGTCAGACCAACAGATTCAGACCAGAAAATCCCCATTAAAATTGTTTGAGCCCCATACTTGCTGGATAGGGGCAGGGGTCCAGGCCTGAATCCTTCATAAACCATAAAACCTTGAATGCACTGAAGGAATGCATAAACCGATTTCACTTAGCGCTGGGCCTAAATAAACTGGATCCAACTTCTCAGGCTGGACTTCTTCCAGCTTCGGGACACCTTCTCCCAGCATCCCTCCCTAGGGGGAACTGGGGAAAATCAAAGGCTGAGACAGGGGAAATGCGAGGGCTTCGGAGGGACATACCCTCTTCCCCAGGCCCAGGTCGCTCCATCCCTGCTGGGGCCTCAGGGCTCATGTCTGGGATTTCCCCACCTTTGCGGGGCAGGAGCGGCTCCTCTTGGGCGGGGAAGGAGGCAGGGCCGGCTCGTCTCCCCATTCCCCTCTCCCGGACCCGAGGAGCAGGAAGCGGCGGCTCCTTCGGCCACCCAGGCAGCAGCCACAGCGGGGAGTGCGCGGCGCGGGGACAGGAAGAGAGGGGCAATGGCTGCCGACCCCACCGAGCTGCGGCTGGGCAGCCTCCCCGTCTTCACCCGCGACGACTTCGAGGGCGACTGGCGCCTAGTGGCCAGCGGCGGCTTCAGCCAGGTGTTCCAGGCGCGGCACAGGCGCTGGCGGACGGAGTACGCCATCAAGTGCGCCCCCTGCCTTCCACCCGACGCCGCCAGGTACTGCCAGCCTCGCCCTCCCCTTTCTCGGAGGAGAAACTGAGGCCCGGCAAGCTTTGGGCCCAGGGAGCTTGCGAGGAAGGAGTGGGCTGAGTTTGGGGCTGAGGACTGTCCCCCGCGGTATTTCTGAATTCCACCCAGTAGCCTGAGCCTCCCAGGCACACCCATACCTGTCTCCCTAACCAAAATAGAGTTGGCACATAATACCTGTTTGTAGACTCAACAGAGGTCAAAGGCAAGCGGGAACTACCTACCAAAGACGCCTTTATCCCATCTGACCTTCCGAACTTGTCCTGCCTGCTTCCATCCTTCTCTCCAGCGCCTTCTTCCCCCGGTGTCCTGTGGCAATAACTGCTCTTGACCGCTCTCTGCCATCCTCCTACCCACCCCAGCTCTCAGGGCAGGGCTGAGCATCCTGGGAGGCTGTGGCACTTTGCTCAGATCTGCAGGGAATCATGTTCTCTCTTCCCACGGTGGCGGGAGGGAGGAGGCCCCTCCCAATCAGTGCAGGCTGAGGAGGTCAGGGGATGGAGACTGCCCGGCCTGATGGCCTGTCCAGGCCCTTGGAGGGTCAAGTCTGGAGTTCTCTCATCTCTGTTTTTGTTTTTGTCCCTTGCTGTCATGCGCACTACAGCGACGCCTTGACATGCCCCTATTTTTCTCTTCCTACCTCTTTCCTACGTTTCCATTATTCTCTGTCTTCCCACTGATTTGGAATCCAGTCTCATTCCCACTGGAGTTGCATATACTAGCTGTGTGCTTGCACCTTGCAGCCATGAAGAAGACACTCGGGATGTTAAACCTGAGCATGATAACCATGTCCTCCTCCCAAGGCTCTGGGACATCAATTAGAGAGTCCGGGACGGGGGTCTCTCTGACTGGCATCTGGCTTGGATGCTATCTGTGGTTCTCTAGGATTACCATGCAAACTCTTAAGATACAGCCTCAGGTGCCACACACTCAGTTCCCAGGCCTTCCCCCACCTTATGAGGAGAGGAAAAATAAGATCGCCTAAGGCCCACTCACCTTCCTCCCTCAACATCTGCCTGTTGGTTTTGGAGGAGGGTCAGAGTATGCTAGGATTTGTCTAAATCATTTATAGCCTTTTGAATATAGAACGAAAGGAAACAGATGGCAGTGACATGATTACACTGTGAGACATTGATGCTAACTCCTGCCACTTTCCCTTCCCAAGTTCTGGGAATTCCCTGGGTGGAGGGGGTAAGATAATTAATGGTAATTAAGACTTAGTATGTATGGATTACTATACTAGGAGCTTTACGTGCATTACTTTACTAGATCCTCTTTCCAGCTATTCATTCATTCATCCACTTGACAAATGCTTACTGCTCTTCTACTATGTGTCAGGCACTGTTCTACACCCTGGGATTAACGATGAATGCAACAGATGTGTCCTTTCTCTCCGGGAGATTGCAGCCTAGGGGGAGGAAGACATTAACCAGATAACCCCACATGTAAATGTAAATGTGCTACTGTGAGAAGCTTAAGAAGGGGAGATTTGTGGCTCTAGGAGAGCTCATTAACAGAAAGTTTGACTGATATCAGAAAAGGCTTCCTTGAAGAAGTTACACTACAGCTGAAATGTGAAGAATGAGTATAAGTTAAGTAGGTGAGGAGGAGAAAGTTTTCCAAGAACAGACAACAGAGTGTGCAAAGAATCTGTGGCAAGAGGGGCATGGTAAGTACAAAGATGGGAAAAGGCCATGATGGCTGGAGTTGGGAGAGTAAAAGAGCAGTGGAAAACCACTGAGCATTTACAACCAGGTAGCGGTGGTGACCATGGGAGGGATTAATCAGAATTGCAGTATGGAGAATGCATTGGGAGGGGTAGAGTGGATTCTGGTTAAGTTAGGAGATTGTTATCTTCATTCTGATGAGAGACGGATAATAGGGGCTAGAGTGGAGTGTTGGTAGTGGAGATAGGAAAGGAATGGGTCAAGCCATATTTAGAAGGTAAAAATCCACCCGACTTGGTGCTGGATTAGTCATGGGGAGGATCACGATGAGGAAGAGGGGTATTAAAGCTAACTTGATGTCTGGCTTGCCCAAAGGAATGGAGGATCCACTAAAATGTCCACTCCATGAGAGTGTCTGTTTTGGTCACAGCTCTGTCTCCTGTGCCTGGCACAGAGTTGGTGTTCAATAAATATTTATTGAATGGCAGTGTTGACAATTAATGGAGAGACTATGAAAAGAGGCCTAGACTTGGAGAGGAAGATCATGAGTTCAGCTTTGTACCTGTTGAGTTTCAGATGCCTTTAAACAACCAAGAAGAGTTGTCATGGACATCAGAGTAAAGGTTGGTGCTAACAATATTAAAACTTGGGAGTCATTTGTTATAAGTGGTCATTAAAACTAGGGCATCAGGCTGGGCCTGGTGGCTCACGCTTGTAATCCCAGCACTTTGAGAGGCCAAGGCTGGTGGATCACCTGAGGTCAGGCAAGACCAGCCTGACCAATATGGTGAAACTCCATCTCTACTAAAAATACATAAATTAGCTGGGCGTGGTGGTGGGCACCTGTAGTCCCAGCTACTCAGGAGGTTGAGATAGGAGAATTGCTTGAACCCAGGAGGCAGAGGTTGCAGTGAGCCAAGATCATGCCATTGCACTCCAGCCTGGGCAACAAAAGTGAGACTTGGTCTCAAAAAAAAAAAAAAACAAAGCAAAAAAAAGGCATGGAGGAGATGCATTCATTCCAAGCACTACGTGAAAAAAACAAAGTCCTTGCCCTCATGAAGCTTATAGTCTAAAGGAGGAAGACAAAATAAATAGCAAATGAATAATAAACTTTTTAGCTATAGCACTCATGACCACCTGACAGTTCTTGATTAAAATATCTAAGAAGGGTTGAGAAGTCTGATTTTCCAAGAAATGGGTTGGTCTAAAAATATTAATGCCAGGGCCCTCTGTGTATGGGGAATATAAGAGTTGGAATGGGGTTGCTTTTTTATGTAGACTTCTCTGTGAAATCCATACTAATTAGGTACCATTTGAGTAGAGATTTGAAGGAAATGAAGGGGTAATCCATGTGGCTCTGTTAGGGAGGAGTGTTCTAGGCAGAGAGAACAACAGGTGCAAAGGTCCTGAGGTGGGACCACACTGGGCATGGTGGAGGAACAGTGGGAAGCCCGTGTGCCAGGGGCACAATGAGAGGAGGGTGATTAGGAAAGGAGGTCAGCAAGCTATGCCTGGCATTGGGGACAAATCTTGTAGGACTTTCTCAGCCATGAAAGAACTTTGGCTTTTACTGTGAATGAGGAGAGCCATTGGAGAAGGGCAGTGACATGTTGTGACTTAGATTTTAAAATATGACTTTGGCTGCTGGGTTGAGAATAGATTGTGGAGAGGAAGCGGGAGAAACAGAGTCCAATTAGGAGGCTTGGGCTGAGATGCACCTTGGGGGAGAGGTGGTGAGAAGTGGTCAGCTTGTTGCTCGACAGTATTTTGAAGGTGGTGCTGGCAGGATTTGCGAAGACTTGGCTGTGGGAAGTGAGAGGAAGAAAGGAGTCGAAGATGACACCAGGGTCCTATTCTGAGGACTAGAAGGACAGAGGCCCCATTCACTGAAATGATGAAAACTAAAGGAAGAGCAGGTTTCAGGGGAAAATCAGGAGGTTAGCTTCAGACACATTTGGTATTGAATATCCAATTGGAGATGATGAGGTTGACTATAGAAAGATTATAGAGGGAGAAGAGCAGAGAAGAAGGGCTTGGACTAAGCCCCGTGGTCAAGTAACAGGATATGAGCCTGCAAAGAAAACAGAGAGGAAGTGACCAGACAAGTAGGAGAAAAGCAGGAGAATGTTGACACGTGGCTCAAGTAACGAAGTTTCAAGAAAAAGAGTCAGAGATCTGAACTATACACTGAGAACTGAAAATTATTGGTTAGATATAGCAACATAGAGGCTGTTGGTGACCTTAGCCACAGGTGTTCAGGGGAGTGCAGGTACCAGAAACTAGACAAAAGTGGGTGCAGCAAGATGATGAAGAGGAGAGACAGCAGTAAATGCTCTCAAGACTTCTGGGTAGGAAGCTATGAAAGAACTGTGCAAGGTAGTTACAATTATTCCCAGTTTTTAGTTTAGAAACTGAGGCCCAGAGGATTCCCTTGCCCAAGGTCATACAGATAATAACGGGTGAAACTGGGATTTGAAATCAGGGCAGTGTGATTCCCACATCCCATGCTTTTTTCCATGCCATGGCAGATGTCATTGGTTCCTGTGAACCCAAGAGGATGAGAGAAGACAGATTAAAAATATCACAGAGGTGGAGAAGGGATCTCTGGCACAAGTGAACAAGAATAGGAGAAACCTACACTAGCCAACATGTCCAGATGCCAGGAAGAGCATGTGGTTTTTCCTGAAGGTTGGGGCTCTCCAGCTGGCTTCCCAGGGAGACCCCGGGAGCACATTGCCAGCAGTCTCTGACTACAGCACCATCACAGTTTTGCAAATACTGTGCTCTCAAATATGTCATTTCTCCTTAATCCCCATCCCTGCAATCCCAAAATAATCTATAACAATTTTCATATTTACTGTTCTGTGGGCACATACAGTGAAATGAGCAACAGGGTTTGCAAATGCTTATTTTGTAAGGCCTTCCCTTAAGTTTCGACTTCTGTTCCAATTCAACAAAGATGTATTGTGCAATGCATGGCAATGCACTTTGGGAATTATAGAGATGAATAATTACAGTTCATCCATAAAATGGAATAGTGTGCAGCCACTAAAGATCATGCTTTGGAAGAACAGCAGTGTGGGGAAGTGCTCGTGCTCCACATACTATGTGATCCAAAAGGAGAGAGCAGAAAGAAGGAGTGAAAGAGAGGGAGAAAGGGAAAGAGATACCTTGAAGGTGGATAGTAAAAGGATATACTAAAATATCAACAGAGGCTAGCTCTGGAAGGTTGCATCCCTGGTAACTTATTTTTCTTTTATATAGCTCTCTATATTCCCTATGTTTCCTACAAGGTATATGTATTACTTCCATAATTTAAATGGTAATAAATGATGTTTTGAAGCAGAAGCATGAGGCATCATGTTGGTCCTCTGGGGGCTCAAAATCTACTAGGGGAGATAAACATAGAAACAAGCAACTAGAATAAAGGGCAAACTGTGATACCTGCTTTTTTGTGGCCACCTTTGCAGAATGGACTGGCTCCTAAACCTGCAAACTCCTTTACTTCCTGCCTTGTTGCTGCTGTACTGAAATCTAAGCGGCCTGCTAAGTATTGCTTCATGTCTCTCTTTCCTCTTCCACTACCTTGCAAGCTCCTGAGGCTTCTGTGGGTCCCCACAGTCTGGCATCATGGCTAGTTTATGTGTTCAGCTGGTTGCTGTAGTAATGAATGGGTCACCCCCTTCCATATCTTGCTCCCCCTCTCCATAGCTCTGATGTGAATTACCTCATTGAAGAAGCTGCCAAAATGAAGAAGATCAAGTTTCAGCACATCGTGTCTATCTACGGGGTGTGCAAGCAGCCCCTGGGTATTGTGATGGAGTTTATGGCCAACGGCTCCCTGGAGAAGGTGCTGTCCACCCACAGCCTCTGCTGGAAGCTCAGGTTCCGCATCATCCATGAGACCAGCTTGGCCATGAACTTCCTGCACAGCATTAAGCCGCCTCTGCTCCACCTGGACCTCAAGCCGGGCAACATACTCCTGGACAGCAACATGCATGTCAAAGTAAGGGCTCTGGCCAATCCTCCGCTCCCTTTCACTTGAGGGTTGCCTCCAGGTGAGCAGAATTATCCACCTGCCTGACCGGCCTGTCAAGGGTTTTAAGCAGTTCCCTTCATGGACAAATTCTAAAGGCAGGGATCACACTGCAATAGAGATGGCTAAGCAGTGAAATTTGGGGCATAAGGCTGGGTATCAGGATGCCTATAATAACCCTCTTTGGACTCAGTTTCCCATTTCTAAATTGGATAGAATAATCTCTATTTCCCTGCACTTTCTTTTATTTGGATGGAGACGTGTGTAAATGAGACAATCCCTAAGAAAGGTTGTAATGGACATTCTTTCACTTCCTAAAACTCTTTTTTGCCCCAGGACCTTTGCAGCTTCTGTTTCCCCACTCCCCTCTATTTACCTAGCGAAGGTCTACTCACTATTCAGCTTAACCATCACCTCCTCAGGGAGCTCTTCCCTGATCTACTCCAGTAGGTCCCCATTATATGCCTTCACTGTACCTCTGATTCTCCATATTACTAACCCCAACATAGGTATATAATCATTAGTGAAACACTTTCATTAATGACTGGACCCCCTATTTGAATAAGTATTTACGAGGATATGGAGTGTGTGTGTTGGCAGGGGGTGTCTCATTTTTCTTATCTGCTGCCCAGTCCTTGGTCCACAGCCTTCCTGGCCCTCAATGCATGGCCAACTTGACAAGTGAATGACTCAGTGGATGGGAGCAAAGGGAAGATAAATGTCCATGGTGTGTTTCAGGGCCCCCGGAGGTGCAATGAATAGCTTACCGAAGGTGGCAACTTCATTCATAGTCTCTGGATAATAACACCTACCACATCCTAACTACATGCCAGGCACTGTTTAAGTGCTTTTTGCATGGCACCTCATTTAGTGCTCACAATAGCACTGTGAGTTAAATGGTCATATTACTTCTACTTTACAGGTGAAGAAACTGAGGCTCTGAGAAGATAAGTAATTTGGCCAAGACCATCCAGATAGTAAGTGGTAGTGCTAGGAGGGAGTGTCATAGAAAACCACTACTCTACCCTGGAACAGGCAGATAGCAGGAGGGGTGAGAAGCCATAGCCGTTTTCTGGTCATGAGGCTCTATCACGGCTTTATCTCTGCCCCTGCCTTCTCCCAGATTTCAGACTTCGGCCTGTCCAAGTGGATGGAACAGTCCACCCGGATGCAGTACATCGAGAGGTCGGCTCTGCGGGGCATGCTCAGCTACATCCCCCCTGAGATGTTCCTGGAGAGTAACAAGGCCCCAGGACCTAAATATGATGTGTACAGGTGAGAAGGAGGCCTGGCGTGATGCCACACACCCAGCAGGCAGTTTGCTGCCACCACCCTGCCTGGCCTCTATGGCCCAAAGGGCAGGGCAGTGCGGGCATGAGGTCTGGCCCAAGGCGGAGGACTCTGGCTGGAGAGGCAGAGGGCTGGGGAGTACTTTGGCCGGTGAGGCTTGCCTGGGACTGTGTGAACTGTAGCCCCCCGACCCTGCCACCCCGGGCTGGGGTGATCTTGGATGTTCAACTAAGTCATTCAGAAAGGGTTCTCTGCATCCACAGCTTTGCAATTGTCATCTGGGAGCTACTCACTCAGAAGAAACCATACTCAGGTAAGCAGGCGGCTGTGGCTCTGTGTTGGGGGCAGGAGGACCCCTGGGATGGGCTCCTGGAAGGGGCTGTGGGAGGACTGAGGGTTGGGGGGGGTCAAGTTGCAGGTTTGTGTGGAACTGTATTCTCTTCAGGGATTCCTCTCCTCACCCTCCTTCCTTCCTGCCTCTATTTCTAGAGCTCACGTCACAGCTAAAGGAAAGGAAAGGTCAGCCCAGCCCCCAGCCCATGCTTGGTGGCTCTAACTTCCTTGCTTCTAAAGTGCCCTTTCTGCCTTCTCACACCCCTGCCCCCTGCCACCTAGATGCCAGGTAAAGAGACTGCAGGAAACTTGGGCAACCTTGCAACCTTGAGAGTCAGAGCCTTTACCTAGGCCTGCCCATCAGCTGCCTGTCCTGCTGCCTTTGGACAGCACAGACCTGCAATGTGGGGTCATGTCTAGTCTTGACCTGGGAGGCAGCTGGAGCCAGACCAGAGAGACTTGGCTGCTCAACACAGAACCTCAAGTTGGTTGAAAGTCTAGCTGTTTACTCACCAAGCATTTGTGGAGCCCCCACTGCGTGCATGCCCTGTTGGGATCCTCAGAGCCCCCGCCTTCCTCCCCAGCTCCCCTCCAGCCCTACCTCTCAGCACCCACATAGCCTGAGCCTCCCTTTGCAGGGTTCAACATGATGATGATTATTATCCGAGTGGCGGCAGGCATGCGGCCCTCCCTACAGCCTGTCTCTGACCAATGGCCAAGCGAGGCCCAGCAGATGGTGGACCTGATGAAACGCTGCTGGGACCAGGACCCCAAGAAGAGGCCATGCTTTCTAGGTGCTTATCCAGTGCCCCCTACCCAGGGACTGGGAGCTGGGTGGGGCCGGGAGGGGAGATGACTGGGCACTCCTGGGAGCTATGCAGAGAGACACTTTTGGTACTACGGCCTAGAAGGACTTTTTTTTTTTTTTTTTCAGAGACACGGTCTCTCTGGTCCAGGCTGGAGTGTGGTGGTGTGATCATACTTCACCATAAGCTCAAACTCCTGGGCTCAAGATATCCTCCCGCCTCAGCCTCCTGAGTAGCCAGAACAACAAGCACACCACCATGCCTGGCTAATTTTTAGATTTTTTTTAAGAGATGGGGGTCTCGCTATGTTATTCAGGCTGTTCTCAAACTCCTGGCCTCAAGTGATCCTCCAGCCTCATCCTCCCAAAGTGCTGGGATTACAGGTATGAACCACTGTACCTGGCCTAGAAGGACTTTTTGAGGCAGGATCTGCATCACGGGGCTGGGAAGGCAGCACTGGGAGCCAGGAGTAGCTGAGGATGGGGTCTGGGCTCTGTGTGTGTTAATGCATGTCCCTGTGGGAGGTGGAGTAGAAAACCCTCGGTGCCAAAAGGCAGAAGCCACAGCATCTGGGCCTGGCCCTGTCACCAAGCTCTCCAGCCAGCCTTGAGTCCTTTCAGAGCTACTGTTTCCTCATTTGTAAAATGTTTCCAGGCCATGAGATCACAGGCTGAGGATGGCCCATGAGCTCATCCAGTCCTTTGGGGACTGTGAAAATGCACCTGTGTGTAAGTGTGAGCATCTTAGAGATTGCCTGAACTTGCCCCCTCATTCTGTGGGAAAGGACCCTGATAACTCAGAGGGTCAGTGACTTGCTGAAGGTGCCCCACCATGACCCAGGTTTCCTGCCTTCTCGTGCATTTATATGAACATATGTGAGCCCAGGAATGGATTTTGGGAGACAGGAATGTTAGGGTATCTAAAACAGGGAGGGTACTGTGGGCCAGCCCGTTGCTTCCTTTCCTGTCTTTCTCCCACTCATGGAGCAGACATTACCATCGAGACAGACATACTGCTGTCACTGCTGCAGAGTCGTGTGGCAGTCCCAGAGAGCAAGGCCCTGGCCAGGAAGGTGTCCTGCAAGCTGTCGCTGCGCCAGCCCGGGGAGGTGAGTGTGTGGGCTGGGCAGTCCTTATGGTCATGCTAAGCTGGAGCCCGCTGTGTGGACTGTTGTGATCTCTGGCCAGACACTGAGCACTCATGCACAGCCCAGCTTGGGGCCACCTCCATCCAGAGGGGACACATTTCCCTAATTTGCATGAAGGTACTCCAAGGGATAGTGGTGGCTAGAGCACAGGGCCCCTGGGAAGGATATACCTTCTCTCTCATGTTTGGGACCAAACTGACTCCTGTCCTGCAGAGGAAGGCCCGGCTCTCCCAAGCTTTCATGCTGTGGGTGTCAACATCATCCCCCTGCTCTTCTGTCCCTATTCTTAACACGGGAACCAGCCATGAGTTAACATGGGGCTCCCCCAGCTGAACTCACAGATCCACCCTGAAGTTCACATGGCCCAAGGGGAAGGCAAGGCCCTGAGCTGCCTCTTTCTGGAGGGTTTCTCCAGCTCAGTGTTTTCCTCTAGACAGCTGGGGATAGTCATGGCAAAGGATAAAGGTTTCCCAGGATAGGGTGGGATGTGAGTCCTGACAGTGACCGGGAAGGTTGGAGAGAGGGAAGGAGGGGAGGAGGGCACAGGCTAGAACTGCGCCACTGATCTCCACCCTGCCTGCTGGTTATGCCTCCCCAGGTTAATGAGGACATCAGCCAGGAACTGATGGACAGTGGTGAGTCTGGGTGCCACGGGCGGGACCAGAGAACTCACAGCAGAGAAAATGGAGTCAAACCACACCCTTTCCCCATCCCCCTGGCCTCCCCCTCATCCCCAGGCCTATCACACATCCAGGGTTTAGGTGCCCTTTTCCAGCACCCAGCTGCATGTTCAGAAAGCACATGCCCTCAGGGAGCCTGGCTGCCTCCCTTTCAAGTCTGTGTCCTTGCAAGACGGAATTTTCCCTTTCCTGACCTGAAAGGTGGAGCATTGGTTCTCAAGGCTGGCTGCATGTTAGAATTGCTCGGGAAATTAAAAAAAAAAAAAAAAAAAAGCTTTGCCTTGGGCACACCCTAGACTAATTAAACCAGAATCTGTGAGGGTTAGGCCTGGGTAGTGATCATTTTTGTCATTTTAATTCTCATACTCCACTGGGTAGAGCAGAAGGATGTTGATCCTTAAGACCTCAGAGGGGAGTTTAGATCATAGAACTCCAACCACAAGTTTATTTCCAACTTAGAATTGCTTACTTTCCCTCAGGTCCTCCACTGAAAGTTTTTACCTATATAATTTGTCCTTCCAATGGTAGAATGAACTGATCATTGTTTGTCCCCTCTTCCATATCTGATCCAGATATGGAAGCTCAAAGAGGCAGTGAATTGGCTAAGGTCGGGGGATGCTGAGGAGTGAAATCAGGATTTGCACTCGGGCCTCCTGAGCCCACTGCTCTTTCTGCCTCACCTGTGAGGAAAGGACTGCAGGACTCAGCTCTCCAGGACGACCGAGCCTGAACTTGAATAGTAACATTTATGGCTGTGTAGAGAGCCATGCTTAGGAAAGGCATTGCCCTTACTGCTCTAGCCTCTGTTCCTGGATGGTACTTCCAGGAGGCAGGGGGATGGCCATGATGACCTCTGGACGGGTCACAGGTCTTTTTTTTCAACCCCATCTTTCTCCCAGCAGACTCAGGAAACTACCTGAAGCGGGCCCTTCAGCTCTCCGACCGTAAGAATTTGGTCCCGAGAGATGAGGAACTGTGTATCTATGAGAACAAGGTCACCCCCCTCCACTTCCTGGTGGCCCAGGGCAGTGTGGAGCAGGTGAGGTTGCTGCTGGCCCACGAGGTAGACGTGGACTGCCAGACGGCCTCTGGATACACGCCCCTCCTGATCGCCGCCCAGGACCAGCAACCCGACCTCTGTGCCCTGCTTTTGGCACATGGTGCTGATGCCAACCGAGTGGATGAGGATGGCTGGGCCCCACTGCACTTTGCAGCCCAGAATGGGGATGACGGCACTGCGCGCCTGCTCCTGGACCACGGGGCCTGTGTGGATGCCCAGGAACGTGAAGGGTGGACCCCTCTTCACCTGGCTGCACAGAATAACTTTGAGAATGTGGCACGGCTTCTGGTCTCCCGTCAGGCTGACCCCAACCTGCATGAGGCTGAGGGCAAGACCCCCCTCCATGTGGCCGCCTACTTTGGCCATGTTAGCCTGGTCAAGCTGCTGACCAGCCAGGGGGCTGAGTTGGATGCTCAGCAGAGAAACCTGAGAACACCACTGCACCTGGCAGTAGAGCGGGGCAAAGTGAGGGCCATCCAACACCTGCTGAAGAGTGGAGCGGTCCCTGATGCCCTTGACCAGAGCGGCTACGGCCCACTGCACACTGCAGCTGCCAGGGGCAAATACCTGATCTGCAAGATGCTGCTCAGGTACGGAGCCAGCCTTGAGCTGCCCACCCACCAGGGCTGGACACCCCTGCATCTAGCAGCCTACAAGGGCCACCTGGAGATCATCCATCTGCTGGCAGAGAGCCACGCAAACATGGGTGCTCTTGGAGCTGTGAACTGGACTCCCCTGCACCTAGCTGCACGCCACGGGGAGGAGGCGGTGGTGTCAGCACTGCTGCAGTGTGGGGCTGACCCCAATGCTGCAGAGCAGTCAGGCTGGACACCCCTCCACCTGGCGGTCCAGAGGAGCACCTTCCTGAGTGTCATCAACCTCCTAGAACATCACGCAAATGTCCACGCCCGCAACAAGGTGGGCTGGACACCCGCCCACCTGGCCGCCCTCAAGGGCAACACAGCCATCCTCAAAGTGCTGGTCGAGGCAGGCGCCCAGCTGGACGTCCAGGATGGAGTGAGCTGCACACCCCTGCAACTGGCCCTCCGCAGCCGAAAGCAGGGCATCATGTCCTTCCTAGAGGGCAAGGAGCCGTCAGTGGCCACTCTGGGTGGTTCTAAGCCAGGAGCCGAGATGGAAATTTAGACAACTTGGCCAGCCGTGGTGGCTCACGTCTGTAATCCCAGCACTTTGGGAGGCTGAGGCAGGCAGATCACCTGATATCAAGAGTTTGAGGCCAGCCTGGCCAACATGGCAAAACCCTGTCTCTGCTAAAAATACAAAATTTAGCTGGGTATGGTGGCACGTGCCTGTAATCCCAACTACCAGGGAGGCTGAGGCAGGAGAATTCCTTGAACCCAGGAGGCAGAGGTTGCAGTGAGCCGAGATCGCACCACTGCACTCCAGCCTGGGCAACAGAGCGAGACTCCATATAAAAAAGAAAGAAAGAAAGAAATTTAGACTACTTGGGGCCTCTCGCCTGGATGGAGTAGGAACTGGTGAAAGTGCAGCTGGGCTTCTGGCAGGGCATCTTCCCTGTCTGCAGTCTTCACCTGCCCCTTCCACCTTGAGAGGAGACAGGAACCTGGGTGATGGGGGCATGGGGAGAGGTATCACTGTGGCTGTAGCTGAGGAAGGGGCTCTGGCTTGGAGAGCTGCCTTCAACACATCCTCCAGTCACTTCCAACAGACCCCAGGCCTCCTCCTCCTCCTTTATGGGGATGCAAGCTCCCCAAATGAATACCCTCTCCAATCCAAGACACCTACCACCTTTTGCCACTCGCTTCTGAGTTCACAGGGGCCCTTGCATCCTAGCAGACCCCCTCTGGAGATGGAGGGAGGCACAGCGGTGAGGGAAGCAGGATCCTCCCATCTCACGTCTTGGGCTCTTGGCTCCTTACCTCAGGCTGGGGCGGGAGAGCCAGACACGTGTGCTTTGCTCAAGGGGCAGAAGCTAAAAGTTCAAAGGAGGTTTCTGCTCACTAAAGTCCCAGCCAGCCATCTGTTGCCACACTGACCACACCTGTCCAGTGCCCCTGGTCCCAATGCCTGGGTCTCCCTCATGGCATTTTGAGGATATAGGAAGGGTGCACTCCAACTGTGGATAAGTCACCCTATGTGAGATGTGAGGTCCCTGGTCCCCAGCACCACCCTTCATCCTACATCGTGTCCAGTTTTACAGCCAGATTTCAAACTCTGAAGTCAAGAAAGCTGAGGCTCTGAGGCTCCTGTTTAGAGATGGATTGGCCTGTGGAACCAAGTTGCATATAGAGGCCAGCAGCGTTAGTATGGTGTGCTTGTGTGTGTATGCGATTTGTCTAATGTAGGGTATATGTGTGTTCATATGTGTGTGTGAGTTCACATAAAGACAGGAGGCAGAGGCAGCAGAGGGAGTTGGAGGGGGTGATGATGGTGAGGGGTGGGTTGTCTGGACTCAGTATGGAGCTTGCAGGGCTCACTTTTGTGACCACACCCAGGCCACCCATCAGCTGTCCTGTCCTGTCCTGCTGGTTGTGGCTGGAGCTGTTCACACTAACTTTATGTGACCAGGGCCCTAGTTCAGCTTCCAGGAGAGCAGCCAACAATTTGGAGGGAGTAGGGACAGGATGAGTTTCCTGGGGTCCTATCCTGCTCCTTCTGTCTCCCTACACTGCTGGTCAGCATAGTAGAAGCAGCTCCTCCCACTCAAGGATGTTTTGCAATTGTCAGAGAAAAGGAATCATCTGTCCCAACTATTGGCCAGCTCTCAGCCAAGCTGATTGGCAGGCCCACCTCTGCGTGTCATTCTCCTGGGCTGGGCACTCCAGTCTGGGCATGGGGCCAGCAGCTAGCAGCCTGGCATCAGCATGGGGTGAGAGAGGTGGGGCAGAGGAAATGTGTTGCCCACGTGCAATCCTGTTGAATTAACAAGTCCCTTTCAGTAGAGCTAGCAGCTTTGTGTCCTCCATCCTTTGGCCTCTGGACCACAGCTCCAGCCTGTTGGGCCCTGGGCCCTTTACCACCACCTTGCCATAGCTTATGGCCACCATGGAAAGTCAGATGTGAGCCCAGGAAGCTGGAGTGTGTCCTAGAGCCATGGTTGTAAACCGAGCCTGCACGTTAAAATCTCCTGGGCAAGGGGCTTTTAAAATATACCAACGCCTGGCCCTACCCTCAACCAATTAAACCAGAACCTCCAGGGTAGGACCTTGGTGTGAGCATCATTAACAATTCCCAAGTGATTCTGAAGAGCACCCAGGGCTGAGAAGCACTGGAGCATCCCATGGTTTCTCTCTGTGCCCTTCCTTAGCATAACCTTGCAGACATCAGTGGCCAGCAGCTTGGGTGTCAGAGGTCTTTTTCTCTTCCATTTGGACTCCTGACGACTGGGTTCAGGGGACACTCAGCTGACTGTTCCATCTTCCTACTCCCTGCTAGCTGCCCAGCTCAATCTCTTTAGTCTCACTGAGACTAAGCCTTAGGCAAAACTTGTAGTTAAAGATTCCCCTAGGAGTTCTAGCTTTCCCAGAACATGCGGGAGCAAGAGGAGGGAAGTGGAGGAGGCACAGGGCTGTTTGCTTCTCTTTGCACTCTGAAGTCTCCCACCAGTGTCTGCCAGGATCCTATCTGCCCTTCCAGATCTAACTCCAAATCTAGGACTCTATGAGAGCCAGAGAAGGCTCTGGGGCTACATACTTCCAGCCAAGGGTGCTCAGATCCATCAGTGGGAGTGATCAGGAGGGAACCAAAGAGGGAGAAGAGTGGCTGGCTGATCCTATTGGAAAGAGCTGAGAACTGAGAAAAGGCCTTGAAAAAAAGAGTTAGAAAAAGTAGATGAACCTTTTGCACCTAGTGTCCAATGAATGGCAGGGATGCTGTGGAGATGTGGACAGGACTGTCCCTGGGAATCATTTCAGCTCTGGTGATCCTGAGTCTAGGCAGAGATTCTCACACCCCTGCTTCCTCCACTTCCTTCCTCTAAGAGATAACTCTTAGAGGTGACTTCAGGCCAGCCCTGGACAACATGGCCCTTCATTGCCTACCAGTGTCTTCTTCTGCCCTATCAAGCCACTCCTAGCCAGACACAGACACACACACAAACACACACGGTATCCACCTTGAGTCCCATTTCAACACAGCTGCCTTCTAGAGCTTCCCTAGGGATGTTTAAAATTGGGTTTGAATGAGGCCCTTGAAATTCCCAAGGAGAGGGTCTCCAGTAGAAGTTCAAGCCCTATTTAGGGGAGATTGGGGATCGGGGGGAAAGAGCTCCCCAATTTCTTACTGGGCATCTCCACTTGGAGGGAGAAGGGAATGCTCAGTTTGGGACACTTTGAGTTGAAGGGGTCTACAGGAGTAGACCTTCAACTCAAAGTGTCCCAAACTGAGCATTCCCTTCTCCCTCCACAAGCCTGACTTCACCCTTTATACCCTATTTTAGTTGAAGGTATCCAAACTCCTAACTTAGGAGCCATTCTGGATCAGCACTGGGAGGATGGAAGCCTTCTACATCCACACTGCTCAGTAGGATAGCCGCCAGCCACAGATGCTCCTGAGCACTTGAAATGTGGCTAGTGTAACCAAGGAATCAAGTTTTTTTATTTCAATAAATTAAATGTGGGTATCTAGCCACATGGGGACAGTGGACAGCACAGTCTATACCTGTCTTGCCTCCGCCAGGCAGTTGCCATGTTGCGTGGGGTCGATCAGGAAAGATTTTCCTGGAAGATGCATATGTTGAATGAGGACAAGGACAGAGCAGAAGAGGAGCAAAGCCTGGACTGGATAGAAGGGGAGAGGATTGGCTGGGGAATGTGAAAGAGACACAGCTGCTATGGGGAGCAGAGAGTGGCCAGCTGAAGGAGGGACAGTGCTGTTGAGGTGCAGGTGTGGGAGGTGCGTATTCAATGGAGAGACCTTAATGTTCATTCTGATTTGGGAGCTCCCACGCAGGATGAGGGACAGTTGGGAGCTGCTGTCAGTTTCCCAGCAGAAGGAGGATGCAATCAGAACACGCCATGCATCCTAAAGACCTCTTCAGCTGTGTGCAGGATGAGGAAATGGGGGACAGTGGTGGGAGATGGGGACCCTGCCCTATGGGGCTTCAGAGCAAGGCACACCTGGCTTGGCATCCCAATTCTGCCTTTTGCTAGCTGTGGACTTTACCCAGACTTTCCAGATTTCGGCATCTGTATTTATAACAGATTTGTTATCTTGGGGATGCAATTAGATCACGCCTATCTCCAGCACACATTGGTACTCACCATCACTTCTCTCCTCTTCCAGCTTTCTGTTCCTGTCCTTTCTCACCAGTGTTACTCAGGTAACCCCTTCATTACCCTTTACTCATATGACAGCCTCCTTTCCCATCCTAAACTGTGCTTGATCCAATCCAGCCCACCTCAAGGAGGACATTCCTGGGTCCTGGGAGATGGCATCCCCTAGCCTAGCCATCCCCAGAGATGCAGATAGCTGAGATTGTTCCACCTGGATCCCTTCTTGTGCTGGGAGATGGAAGCTGTTGGTGGAACCCTCCAGTTATGAGGCTGGGAATCCTAAAGGAGCAGGGAGGCTTGGCAAGCTGTCTCCACAGCAAAGTGTAGGGCAGAGGCCTAAACGGGCTGCCGCGACTGTCTTGAAGGGAGGCAGGACTGCAGGGATCAGCAGAAAACTCCTCACGGCTGAAAAGGCCTACGGGAAATGAGGAGACTGGGGAGACCGTGTCCCTCTCCAAAGCCAACCTGAGGGCACTGAGCTCCAGGAAGAGAATGATAATGGGCAGGGCTGAGAAGGGGAGGAAACAGGGCTCCAGGCCTGTGGCAAGAAGGAGAGGAAGGAGGGAGCCCCAGGACTTCCTGAACACACAGATGGCAGCTCCAAGGTGATCTTGTGTTCAGGAACATTCCTTTCCTGATGCCCCCTGTGCTTACCTATAGAACACATCTCACCAATAAGTGAGGGCCTCCAGTGAGTTAGGGCTCCAGCCCACTCTGAAACCCAGCCAGCATTGCTGCAGCACCCACCAACCCCAGGCCCTTCTTCCTGCTAATGCTGTGTCCTCTTCTTCCACCGGTGCCTGCCGGGATCCGATCTGCCCTTCCAGATCCAACTTGCCTGTTCCTGCCCACGAAGACGTCTCTGCTTGCCCCCTGGAGATGCTCACTCCTTCCTCAGGGGCATTCTGTCCCGATGCCCAGTGCAGTGAGGTTGACAGAGCTTCTCTTGGGTCCACCTTCCTTGCTCATTGCATGCCACATCACCACGCCCTACTTGTTTCTGTGTTCCATCCAGTCCTCTCTTAGTGCCCTGGTGTCTGGAGCTCAGAGGGTGCTTCCTCCCTGCTTGCTGAATCGGATTACAGGCAGCAGGGGTTTTTGCTGTAAGGTAATGTTAGGGACAGAGGGCAGGAACCAGGCTGGGCTGAGGTCGGGGAGGGAAACTGTGGGTGGCTGGGTCTAGTGGACTCGGGCAGGCAGACCTGGGTGCATGTCTTCGCTGAGCCATTTACTAGTTGCAGATCTCAGGTTGCTAAAACTATCTTAGCTTGATGGTATCATCTAGCAGCAATAATGTTTATCTCTGGGTCATTGTAAGAATTAAACCTGATGCCCTGCCAGTCAGAGGGCAAGGCAGTTAATAAGCACTCAACACATTCATTTCTTGCAGTTCCTCCTAAATCAGAGGAATGTTTCTCTTGCAATAAGACATAGACAGCCCATCCCTTGGGAGCCTTTTGCAAGGATGCTCTTAGAAGCCTCTGCCCATTTTTCTTTGCCGATACATTCAGGAAAGGAAAGGGAGACTCTCCTTCAGTGCCTTGGTGTAGGCTGAGACACCGAGGCCCCCTGGGAAACACCTACGGATCAGGTCAGTTATAGGGCAAAGGCTAGCCCCACTAGCCAGTCATGCCTCCTCTACCCAGAGCCTGGGTCAGGTCTGTGCTGTCAGCCCTGGGAGAAAACCAACAAGGGACTTGTCTTCTCCAGGGCAGTGTCCTGCCTCTCTTGCCCCTCCCATGCTTTCCCCTGCCCTGGACGCAGCACAGAGCCTGGCCCCCAAATGACCCTCCCAACTTACACACTCCTGGGGGCAACAGGACAGAGTGTTTGGAGTTGGGCCTGATCAGGAAAATCCAGAAGGTATGGATGGCCCAGCTTTGTCTCTGCACAGTCGGTGGCCCCAGGCCCTGCCCCTCCCATTCCTGGAATGGCACCACCTCACCCCCTTCCTGATAGCATTCCTTCACTTCCTGTGCAGCTCTGACACCCCTGGCCCTGGGGTGCCAGGGAGGTGGCCCCCTCTCCCTGGCCTCACACGCAGCTCTGGGTGTCAGAAGCCAGATGTGAAAGTGGGAGAAAGCCACATGCAAGTGGAGCGGTCACACAGCACTTCCTATGAACTTGGGGTTGTCTCTGGCTCCAGCTGTGAGTGAAAGGTCTCTCCACATCCCTCCTTGCCATTCCCTCTCCTGCGCCTCTCTGGGCCTCTGCTCCAATGAGGCCTTATTTGCCAAGTAGCAGAACTGTGATGAGAGAGGAAGCAGGAAGCTGTTCCTACCAGGTACCCCCTTCCCACGTCCCCTCTAACCCCACAAAGCCAGGATAGGTCTCCCTACTCCAAAGATGGTCCACTCTCCCCCCACCAGCTTCCTGCTTCCCCTGCACCCCCAGAAACTAGTGTAGCAGAGCCAGGTCCACCTGGTTGGCAGGAGAGGACCCTCTGGCACACCGATGCCCAGACTGGCCCTCTCACTCCTGAAGCCCCACTAATAACTGCTCTGCCCCCACCACCTACCCACTTGCTCCCTGGAGAGGCCCAAGTTCTGTTTACATGCACCCCAGGCTGTTACCCTACAGGTCTGGTCCAAAACAAGTATTCTTTCTCTTTTAAAAAAAATCTTCTGACCATCCTAGCCTCTTTCAGCTGCACTCACGCTGGTCAGAAGCCAGGGCTGGAATGGACACTATAAGAGGTAAAATCAGAAGATTTAGCCTGAAAGGGAAACTACCCTTTCTGTATGAGAGGCTTCTCTTCTGTAAGTGGAGACGATAAGAATGCCCCTCACTCCAGTGGGTTAGGAGAAGAACATGCCATCAGGGAGGGCAAAGCCCGCAGAGAGGGCCCTGTGCAGATGGAAGCTAAAGTTGCACACTCAGCCCAGGTCCTGGGACCCAGGAGGGCAGGGAGCCAGTGGCACACAGAGAGGGCTGGGCCACCAGGTGAAAGGAGCTATGCAGTCCCTGGGGACAGGGATGTTTTGGGAAGAGATTCCAGATAGGAGGGGATGCTGGAAATGCCCCCAAAGCAGGCCGGGCTTCAGTGTTCTTAGTTGCAGGCAACTGGCTGTGCCTGTGGTGAGACCACCTGGAAAGCAGGATCTGTAGCTGCTTCTTTCAGGGCCTCCTGCCCCAGCCACGCAGGAAGTAGTGGTCCATGCTGTCAGTCTTCCTGCCCCTACTGGTGCCCTACCTAATTGTTCAAGGCCAAGGCACACCAGGGCTGCTGTGTCACACGTCATCTAGGAGAAAGGTGCCTTGGAAGTGCGCAGCATGTGCCTGTGCTGTGTCTGCCGTCCCTGGGCTCTGCCTTGGGGGAAGCAGAGTCTCACTTTGTTGTGATCCCACTAGACTGGACTCACGAAGGCAGGGCCGGTGACCATTGTTGACTGTTTTAATCCCAGCACCTCACCCAGGGCCTGGAGCACAAGAATTGCTCAATAAATATTCCCTAAGGAAGACAGCAGATGGGTGGACGAAGCAATGCAACTTCTTAGTCTGCTAGACAACTCGTCTTCTAATTCCCAGGAACTTTCCCCAGCCCAGGGCCACCTGAGAGTCCTTCAGGACCCAGGAGGAAGAACGAGGGCCTGAAGCCTTGAAGACTTGCAGTTACCTCTGGGTCTGCTCCTTTGTGACTGTGTGATTTCCATTCCCATCTAAGACGACATATGCAAAGTGCCCCACTGTGCCTGGCCCTTAGGTGGTGATCCTGGGCTGTGCTCTAGGAAAGGGCAGGGCAGGGGACAAGGGTGCAGACTCTACCTGCTGTAAAGGCAAATGAATGATCCTTTGATTAAAAGGCACTCTACAGAGCGGCACAGGCACAGACAGAAACCTAGGGAAAGGCAAAGAGGAGTGAAAACTGGAGGCTTCCTTTCCATCCTGTCGTCAAGAGCAAGAGACCATCGTCAGGACCTCTCTGGAGAGAGTCAGAGCCTGGGCCACCCCCTTCCACCTTGTGTTCCCGTGTCGTGTCGGGTCCTACTCCTCCCATTTCTTTGCCCCTGAAGTGCTGAGAGGGGGAGAGGGTGGAGCCCAGCCCTCCCCCTGCCCACTCTAGCTGTCAATCTGCTGTCTGGCAGAAAGACATGAAGCCTCGTGACAACTGTGGGCAACTTTCCCCTGCCCCGCCTCCCGCCCCTGCCCTGCCCTCTTCCCCTCTGCTCCCTGTCAATGCTCTTCTCACTCTGCTCTGGGTCTCCCTTCCGTCCCTCCCTCTCTCCCTCCCTCCCTTCCTTCTTCTTTCCTCTGCTTCTCTTTGTCATCTCTTCCAATCCTCACATCTGATAAGCCTGTATACCCTCATAAGATTCCTAATTGTGGGATATGCTTTTAAGCGTCCATCCAGGCCAAGATCTTTCACAGACTTTGAGCATGGTATGTGTGCAATGGGGATGGGTTGGGTCCCTGGGGCTTCTAGACCCCTTGGGGACCTGATGCTTTCCAGAGGAGATGGTCACTGGGTCCTTGGTGTTATGACCCAGTCCGAGTTAGACTAGGGGCCTGTTTTGCTCACTTTCCAGAATCAGGGTGCTCCTGGGGACAGGAGCCTCTCCCAGGGCTTAGTGCTACCTTTAGGTTTAAGGAGAAGATCAAAGTCCATAATTAACTGTTCAGGGCAAGTTAAGTGCTCCAAACTTTGGTGCTAAAAATATTGTATTTAGCATGCAAATTACGCCCTGACAGCTCCCCAGCGCCTGAGCCCGTGGGTGCTGGCACCTTGTTTGTCATCACTGCGGTTATTCTCAAGGTGGTAAGAATATTCCTCCCTCACTGGGTTGATTTACGCTTCATTTGTAGAAAGCCAAGTTTCTGTTGTCGGGGCAGTACCAAGTTTTTGCCCCGGAAGGCTTGGAGCTTGGGACCGGCCTGGAAGCTGAGAGGAGGGAGAACTGTCCAGGCCGCAGTGGTCAGGGCCTTCCCTGCTTCTCCCAGCCTGCCCTAGAGGAAGGGGATCCTGACATGGGACAGAAGACAGGGCAAGGGACATAGGCAGACACAGGCAATGCCAGTGCATCCAAGGCCACCTTTTCCACAGAGCCTTCTCTGCCCTGGTGGGTAAGAGGGCAAAGGATGAGTCCTTCAGAGGAAGCAGGAGCTGCAACAGGGGAGGTGGAGCAGTGGGGGCAACCTGGCTTCCCTTGGGTTAGACCCTGCAGACACAGGGGTCTTGCTATACTTGAATGCCAAGCACAGAAGTGGCACTGCTGCCTTCTACCCAGGGGTCCTGGAAGGTGACTCGTCAAAGTTTTATTAGTTTGGTGCATGGATAGTGATGTTACAGAGTCTAGGCCCCAGGGGCTCTCCCAAGCTGCAGCTTCCCCTCCTTCCTCAGGGCAGGGCCAGGCCAGGCCAGATGGTTTTCAGCAGCCTCTTAGCCGTGGGCTCCTCTAAGGCAGAGGCAGTGGAAGGGAAGGGAAACAGGAGAGAGGAAAGGCCAGAAGGAATAGAAAAGGAAAGTGGTTTTGCGTCAGAGTGTGGCAGAGGCAGTCCCTCAAAGAACCTCTGATGTCCCCTAGCCCAGGCCCAGATAGAGTTCCAGGGCCTGACCTCCCTGCCAGGCCCCAGGCTGGCCAGCATGTGCTGTGAGAAGGGATACATTGCAGGGCCGTCAGAAGGCAGCAGGGTGGGCTAGGCCAAGGAGTTCCTCTCCCCATAGACCCTCCTGGGCCCTTCAAGATGAGGGCTCCTCTTCTCAGAGCATGTGGAAACCACTTGGGGAGCTGTAACGGGGTGAGGTGGGTCCGGACTAGCCTGGAAAGTAGAGGTCCACATCGGGGTGCGGGAGGGAGCTAAGGTTTTTGGCTTGGGAATCTCTGGGGTCCAACCTGCAGTCTGGTATTTACATGGGTCTCCCAGGACTGAAGTTGCCTGGCTCCTCGGCAAGAGAGCTTGCTTGCCTCCTGTGGGCCTTGCAGGGTGTGAACTGTCCATCTCTCCCCACCGCCTGCTCCACGCCAAGCCCCACAAAGAGAAAACTCAGCCTCTGGGCCCTGACTCAGGCTCCAGCAACCCTAGAGCCCCAGAGGAAGGTCAAGGAAGGCGGCTGCATCTTTGGTGCCAAGGATAGGGGGACTGGAGGTGGGAGGGGGGACTCTATGAGCTGCCCCTGAGCTGGGGGGCCCAGCCCCAGGGCTGGTACCATGCCCAGCTCACTAGCACTGCCCTGGCAGAGTGAGGGTGTGCGGGCAGTGAGGAGCATGGAGCCAAGCGAACACTGCAGGGCCTGCCGGGGTGAAGAGGAGGCCGATCCACCCAGGCCTTCCTGCTCACGGTTCGCAAGGGTGAGGCTGGCCGGCCTGGGCAGGGAGGTGGGAAGCAGGCTGCTGTGCGGGCAGGCAGCAGAGTCAGCAGTGGAGGATCTTCAGGAAGGCCTTGCGGAACTCAATGTTGAAGGTGGTGTAGATGATGGGGTTCACGGCGCTGTTGACATAGCCCAGCCACGTGAAGGCGCTGTACAGGACAGGCGGGATGTTGCAGTCACAGTGTATGTTCAGGATGTGTGTGATGAAGAAGGGCAGCCAGCAGATGATGAACACGCCTGGGGGAGAGGGCATGGTCAGGCTGGTCCCCAGAGCCGGGGAGGCACGGCTGGGAACACCCACACCCAGTGCGCCCTGGCTCGTATGCCAAGACGGTGGGCTGTAGCCACAGAAGCACTGTAGGAGGAGTCCAGGTCTTGGATCCTAGACCTGCCTCTGACACCCATTTGCAGTGAAGTATCCCTTCAGCTCCTTCAGCCTCACTTCCCTCATTTGTCCCTTTCCCACCTCCTAGAAAAGGGTACATGGTTTAACAATAAATCCAAAAGGTTACCATTCTGACCCAGGTTAGCCAGTAGAAATGGAAATATCTACTCTACTTCCAGGTCATCTTTGAGGGCTATAGACCCATGCCACTTAGTTCTTATAGCATCCTCATAAGGTACATAAGAAAAACACTCACAACAGCTCTGCAATATACCCAAGGTCATTCACTCTTGAGCAGCGAGGCTGAGAGCTGAACTCCGGTCTATCCAGGTCCCCAGATGATCTCGCTCTAGCCTTCCCCCAATTTCCCCAGTCTTGGTGGGTACACCCTTGCTAGTCCCTGCCTTGAACCATGCCCTCTCACCCAGGGCAGCCACCTACCTGCTCTGCTCACCTAACTCAGGTGCACTTTTTCCAGGACCTCCTGCACAGGTGTGATATTTATCCTGGAAGCAATGTGTACATGGAATGCCCTACAGGCACAGGAGGCATCCCTGGAGACTGAATGGTGTCTGGGAAGAGTAGGGCCACAGAGCTGAGCCCCTATGGACTGCAGCAGAGGGCCTGGCTCCAATCCTAGCCTACCATATCCCAGTCCCATGATCGTGAGTAGTCCCATGGGATCAAGTGCTCTCATTCATAAAAGAAGGGAGGTAACAGCTGCCCCACTCACGCCCCAGGATCATCCGGCAGTCAAAGGGGATTCAGGTGCTTCCTGGAAGACAGAGTCACAGGGGACCCTCCTTTTCCCAGCCACCCATATCAGTCCACCTTTTGGGTTTTGACCTTTACTATGTGGTTTTCTAGACTTCTATTGAAAAATCCTGCTTTATGGACAGGGATGCTTTTCATTTAGATTGGGGGCCACTCCCCAACATCTCATTTATTTTTCACAGCTCTGGTCCCATGGAGTCTTGTTTGAGTGCAAGTGAACTGAATTTCCCAATTCCTCAAAAAGAGCAATAGTAATAAAAACCATAATAGTGACACTTACATATGGATAGTGCTTTGTAGTTTAGAAAATGCTTTCACCAACTGATTGCCATGACAGCCCTGAGAAGTAACCTACTCTACAGATGAGGAGCCTAGAGAGAGAAAGTGACTTTCCTGGGCACATAGGCCCATGAGGTTCTGGTGCCAGCATAATAGACTAGTCAAATTTCCAGACTCTGGAGTCAGACTGCCTGAGTTCAAACCATGGGTCCTCTTGGTCAGGTTTTATAACCACTCTAAAACTCTGTTTGCCCATCTGTAAAGTGAGCACAATTACAGAATCTACCTAATAGGGCTGTCTGTATGTCAATGGGCTTGGCCTGTGCCTGAGGAAATGCTAGCCCCATGATCCTGCAGCCATGGTTAGGAAGGACATGGCAGGGAATGGGACCTTTCACAGACCGGGCTGTGGCCAGCAGCCAGGGCCGACTCACCGAGAACAATGGCGAGCATCTGAGTGGCTTTCTTCTCCTTCTGCTGGGAGAGCTTCCTACGGCTCATGGTCTTGAGGGAGGTCCGGGTTTTGCCATTGGGCATGGTCTGGATCTCAAAGATCTTGGCAATCTTGGGGTGGTCTTTGGCATGCCCATTCTTCTCTGGTTTGGCGGGGCTGTCGGGAGTGCTGTGGAGACCATGGTGGGACGGGTCGGGGAGAGTCAGCTGGTGGTGGCTGGGTGGGATGGGGCTGTACCGGGTCCTCTCGGGTGGGCTGGTGCTGGAGAGCATCTCCATCTCCAGCTCCTGGGCTCGCCGGGCAGCCTCCTGCACCAGAGGCAGAGGGCTCTGGGTAAAGCCGGACAAGTTCCCAGGCATCAGCCACCCATCTCACTGGCCCCTCCCTTTCCCCCTCTGAAGACTCCTGCAAACACCACAGGGTCACCCTGCCAGGGAGGCAAGGATGTCACTGAGGCATGGGACCCAGGACCCATGGCAGCCCCTGCAGGATTGCCCCTGTCCTTTTTCCCATGGCAATCCTCATGCAGCCTCAATACCCCACTTCTGTTCTGCCAGGGCTGAATACCAGGGACTTGTCTCTCATGGCCTGAGCAACACTTACTGTTAGCAAAGTGCCAGGTGCCACAGTGGCTGCTGGGGTCAAGAGCTGATGATGTTTGGCCCTGCCTCCAGAAACTCATGTTCCGACTGCAAAGAGGGTGCCCACCCCTGTTCTCCCTGTCAAACAAGGGGCCCAGTGCTCCCACTTCATGGGTACCTGCACCTGCGTACACACGTGGGCTCCATATTCTCCTGGATAGACTAATCTAGGTGCCAAAAGGCTGACCCCTGGGGCCCCACATCTTCCCTGCTGGGGTGACCTAGAGAGCCCTGGCATGGATCCACTCATGGCCTCCTGGGTTCTTCCATAGGTTCTCTTGTTTGAGGCCTTGGAGGTGTTAGTCTGAACTTCTAAAGTGCAGCCTCACTATGTGCCTAGGTGGCATGACTGGGCTGCTGCCTTGGCCCTGACTCTGAGGCTCTGTTTTGGCACCTGCCTCATAAACAGCTTCTTAGAGTCCTGCCCTTGCAGTGCAGGTGAAGGCAGGACACCAGACCTGGATTTTGTATGCGGCCCTCTGTGGGTTCTCTGGCCCTGTTCTCCATCCCTCTGGAGGATGGAATGCCTGCTGCTTGCATGTTGGTACAGCTACCACCTGGCAGAGGCTGGGGTCTGCTGTGCTTCCGCACCTGAGGGCTCTATGTACACAAACTGCTCCGCCACCAGTCCCCGCAGCTGCTCTGCTGCGTCCTACCCCAGAACCTGCCCATCCATAAGGCAGCTCATGTCAGTGGAAAGAACACAGGTGTGGATTTCAGAGTCACACAGGTCTGGGCTTAGTGTCACCAACTCTTGAGACGGGTGAGTTGCCTAATCTTTCTGAGCCTGTTTCCTCTTCTGTCAACTGAAGATCGGTTCGATCAAAGAGACTTACCTCCCGGGGTCGTGGTGAGGATTTGATGAGATAATAGGGATATGGTAGATGTTTGAGAAATGTGAATAGCCATTATTATCATTTTTATTACGTTGGTATGGCCAACCATTTTCTCGTACACATCCATGCCTTGCAGAACCGAGGTGTCTCACTTCATGCCTGCTTGGAGGTGTGCACGGTGAGTCTGCCTTCAGCTGAGGCAAGGTGGGGGTTTCTGGGGTGCTTCTCCCATTGGCCAGCTTCTGAGGTCTCAGAACCATGGCCAGTGGGCTTCCCTAGGGGCAGAAAGACCTGGCTCTGGGTCCCTGGCCTGAGCACTTACCACTCTCCGCCTGTTCACTGGGAAACTCCCATTAGACTTCATGATAACGGTGCAGAGTTTCATGTCCTCGGGGTGAGTACAGTTGCCCTGTGGAGTGAGCCAGCACATGGGTCACACAAAGTGGTGGGGATGGAGGGGGGACAGAAACCCAAAGTGCAGCAGTCCATGGAACTCAGACTGGGCAGAAGGGCTCAGAGATCAGGAGGGTGGGGGCCAGAGGAGGCAGTTGGGGCAAGGGGGAAGGCTGGAATGAGACAAAAAGTGGTGGGTATGACGAGGAACACAAGGACCTGGTTTTTTATGGAGCACCTGCTAAGGGCCTGGCACTGTGCTAGGCACACTCACGTCCCTTCTCACGTGGAATCCTCAAGACCACCCTGTGAGGCTGGTATTTTGATTCCCATTTAACAGATGAGGAAACAGGCTCATAGAAGGTAAGCAACTTGCCTAAGGTCACTCAGCAAAAAAAGTGTCAGTGACAGGATCTGAACCTGATGCGTCTAGCCCAAGAGCTCTTGTTCCTTCTGTGCCCACACACTGTCTTCCTTGTGAAGGACTGAGTGAAGGGGAGAATTCACAAGACATCAGGGGGGAAATGAAAGAGAAGCACAGGAGAGACATAGTGGAGAGGAAGTCAGGAAAAGTGATGTGTGTTTGGAGGGGAGGACAGAGAGTACGGAAGGTAAAGGAAAGAGGATGGAGGAGTCAGAGGGAGCTAAAGTGAGACAGAGAAACCAGAAAAGAGGAAGAGAGGAGCCCACGGGGGTACCAAGCAAGAGTTGCCGCCTTCAGTCACAAAGATCTCCAAGCAAAGACTTCCCCTTGTTATTTAGTGTCATGGACCCTGCCTCCCTCTCCTGGAGACTCAGATTGCTCCACTGAGGTCCATGCCTTCAAAATCTGCCCTTGCCCGGCTCCTGGGAATTCCTTTAGCCTAGACCTAACCCTTGCTGAGGTTTCCCAAGCCCCCACCTGAGCATAAGATGAGCCCTCTTGGTAATGGTTAGGTGGGGACCCTTGGAGTTGGTTGGGGGGTGTCTTGAGACCTTTAGTGGAGCCCTCAGGTGGGCCCTGAAAGCTCGGCTGCTGCGTTTGGTGTTGACTCGCTTGCGGCGTCTGCGGAGGACAATGTAGATCTTGATGTAGACCAGCAGGGTGACAATGAAGGGCACGTAGAAGGAGACGATGGAGGAGTAGACCACGAAGGCCGGGTTGGCAATGATGCACTCGTTCTGGTCTGGGGGAGGGAGAGCCCGGGCAGGCAGGGAGTCAGCGGGCCCACCGGCCATAATTCCACAAGAGCCCATTCATGTCCTTCCAGGAACAAGGAGCGATTTTACAGAGAATATGAACGCAACTAGATGTTTAAGGCTGCCTGGTCATCTTAGATATACACAAACGCACAGCAGATACCAGAGTATTAAAAACACGGTTGTGAGCAAAAAGTTAAGCTGTGATGATGGACTGCTCCCAAGTCTTTCCATTACTATTCCCTCATTACTTGGTCATTAGTTTTGCCATGTCTGGGCATAACAAGTGAAGCCGATGTATCCAGAAAGAATGACACAAGAAAACTTTTAAAAGAGTAAACCATCTTTTTAGTCTGACCTGTGTATTGGGAGAGGTTGGCCACCTTTTAATGTTTGCAGCAAGATAACTTGGCTCTGTCTGTTGAACTCACTTGTGTTCCTATGTGTTTCATATGTTTGCGTGCCCTTCTAGGTCTACCAGACGCCTGTCCTCTATCTCAGGGCCTTGTGCATTAATCCAAGTATGTTTAGTGTTATTCCCACTTAGAATTCCTGTGATGCTTATAATAGATACCGAACCACACATTTTCAAGGCTTCACTGTATCTTTTGTTGTTACGATCTCCAGAGGTGCACACCTGCCATCGCTCTTGCCTCCCTGATGAGAGGAAGTTCCACGCTGGCGGGGGCTTTGTGTTGCCTCTGTCTGAGACACTCCTGACTCTGCCTCCCACAGAAATGGGCATGTGGTCAGCTTACCTCCTATTCACTTCTAGCTTTCCTGCTCCAGGTGGCTAAGGCCTGACCTGGGTTTAGCAGGCCCTGAGGGCTGCAGCTTCATTACAAAAATACTATTGTCAGGAGTGGATGGAAGCCCAGTAGCCTCCGCCATCCCATGTTCATGTGCACATATACACACATGCAGTTTGTGAAGCACGTCTTGCCTCTTCAACTTAATAACCAAAGTTGAAAATTCCCAGACATACCCCTGAACCATTATCCCCACTCCTCATCCAACTCCGTTGTGTCCTGGGCCACTGTTTCCTCTCTGCCAACCTAGAACAACTCTTGAGTGGGGCTTGGCCCAGGACACGTAGCCTGGACTCAGTCCAGGGTAGTGATAGGCCTCCATTGGGCCTCCACCCATATCTGTGCCAGGGACTCTGCTCCCTCAGGGCCCTTCGAGGGAGCAGGGGCCCAGGGCCAGCTGAGCCTCAGGCAAACAAAAGCAGAATGTACCTGCGTTATTGAGTCCGAAGAGGAGTGGGCAGGAGATGGTGAAGGACAGGACCCAGACGATGGAGATCATGACGGTGACCCGGCGCTTGGAGCTGTAGCGCGTATTGTACAGCATGGGCATGGCCACAGCTGTGTACCTGCAAGGGCGGGGGACCCTGAATCTGGGGTGCAGGCCCAGGGACCCCTCACTCCACAATATGCACACACCAGAGACACCCTCACTCCTTGGGGCTAAACAGTTGACACACCTCTATGAAGCTTGCCTGAGATGCTAACTCAACCCTCCCTCCTGTCCCCAAACTCAGATGGCGAGGACAGTTGGCAAAGCCCAAACACTTAATCACTGGTGAGCTATTGTTTACTCTTAGCTCATATCTATTATTCTAACCGGCCCCACCTGGATTTCAGGCTTTTCGAAGAACCATGGCCTGCATCTTTGCACTTTTGAAACTGTACCCACTGCACTTGTGTTGAGCCCATAAGGTGGAAATGTTTGTTGATAAATTGTTAGCCAGGCCCCTCAGAGCAAGATTTAAGCCTTAGTTAGCAGGAAATAACAATGGCAATTGTCTACAATCCTTCATCACATTTTTTTTTTTACCCAGCCCTTCTCATTCATTAACTTATTTCATCTTCCAAGAATGGTGTGAGGGAGGTAGGGTCATATCTGTGCAAATTAGTGGAAGGCTCCAAGGATGCAGCTTAGCAAGGTGTGCATGGCCTGGGACCCTTGGCCATGTGCCAAGGACATAAAATGCATAACCAGATACTGCAGCTCCAGGCCACAGGTGTCATCAATGTAGGTTTCTAGAAAATGAAACTGAGAGCTCTGAAAACGTCCATCATCTGCCCAAGGTCACATGAGTAAGATGTGCTAGAGCTAGGGCTTCCGTCAGAATCACAATCTTTCCCCTTTTGTACCAGTCACTGTCTGAGTATGCTTGGCAGCATCACTGTCCATAGATGGCTTCTCTTTAGGGAGTGTGTGCTCTCCTAGCCAAACATACACACATGCACACCCATACACACAAACACATGGACCCCCATGCACACAGCCAGCTGCACAGCATCACAGACACGAGACACAGCCTGGCTTTGAGAAAAGCTGGGGCAGCCAGAATGGTGAGTGGCCAGAGCAACCTCTTCCACCCTGGCTGGGCTCACCTGTCGATGCTGATGGCACACAAGTTCAGGATGCTCGCCGTGCACATCATGACGTCCAGAGTGACGAAGATGTCACAGTGAATCCTGCTGAATTTCCACTCACCTACCACCTGGGGACAAAGCAACATAATGGATGGACAGCAGGAGTGGGAGATTAGCTTAGGTCCTGTAGCCTGGTACTCCTGGAGCCGATGAGGCCACAGACTCAGGAGGCAGCTGCAAGTCTTGTGGGCATCCAGCTGGGGTGTGGGGAGTGATGCCCATGGGTGTCTGAGGCCCTTGCCCCTCGCTTATCTTCTCCCAGATACATAAGACCACTTATTGCCAATTACTGTGCTAGAAGAAAGACAGCCAACTTATACGGAGGGCCTCAACTTTAAACCTTAATCTCTGCAACCTTTGTTAACCCCATGTGTTTTCTTAGATTCTGTATTTGTGTATTTGGCACCCATTCATCACAGAGACACCTATATTGACTATATTTTTCTATCTTCTCTGATCCTGATATTCTGGCACTTGGGAGCCTCACAGACCCAGAGAGAGACTTACTGTCCCAGAGCTAGTTAATTCCTGAAGACAGAAAATGACTGACTTGGAAGGATGCCTCTCAAATGCAAGCCAGCCACCCCGTTTCTCTAATTCACACACACACCAAGACAATATTTCCCCTGTCCCAAATTATCTCAGGTACCAGAGAGACAACTAGAGATCACCCCTGTAGCCCAAAGCCTGCCAGGATGTTGAGACTAGCCAACCCTAGGTTGCTTAATCTGCCCTGCCTTGCACTTCCTGTGGGAGCCCCAACAGGGCTGTAGCCTGGGCTTTCCCTCACCCCTGATTCTGACTCTTGACCCAAGCCTGCTGCTTCCCCCTGCACCCCACATGGCGGGCTGAGCATCTGGTTTCTAGGGACATTGTGTATCACGTTAAACTCTTCCCAATGGCACTGGCTTCCCTGTGTTATCACTCAGCCATACCTCTGTAAATTAGATTCCAGGTAAAATTTTAGAATGCCCGTGAGGAAACTGAGAACCAATGAGGAAACCAAGCCTCCAAAAAGTGCAGTGATTTCCCCAAGGCCTGTGGGCTCAGTTCCTAGTCCTGCTCTGGCCCAGGCTCTGGCTGAGCCAGGCAAGCCCTTCAGTGGTTGGCCCAGTACATGGCAGAGTCGGGGCCCCAAAATGATCTGTTAAGAATAATGGTGAAGATGAAGACTCGCCATGAAACAGAGAAGAAATTTCTGCTCCTTCTTATACCCAGAGAACGAAAGAAGGCAGATCTGGGCTAGTGCTCGAGGAACACCCGAGTGGGCTGGGGTAGGCGGAGGGGTTGCTGTGATGAGCTGTGTCCTTGGTAGGATGGGAAATGAAGAGTCTAGCTCCTGGCAGGAGCACGTTTCTCATACACACATGCACACAGGCACACACACACACACACACACACACATGAACGCACCGCCCTCCCCCCTCCCCACGTAACACCCATTCACACACAGGCACACACTCATGGCAGATTACGCAGGCACACACTCACGGCAGCTGTCCCTAGCGCTCTGGAAGCTTGGAGCAGCCCCAGTTCCCTGAGGATGGAGTCAGGACAGGGAGATGCACCTTTGGCTTCTACCAATAGGAGCAGAGAGGAGCGTGAAAGCCCCCTCCCGCAACCCGGAGTAGGGCAGACTTCGTGTCACCGTGTAGCTTGGCAGCAGGGCTAATTATAACCTTGCTCATTCTGATCACTGCCCTCTCTTCTGCTCCTAGGCATCCAACCAAATGCTGGCATTTAAGCTCAATGATGGGCAATGCAGCTGCTGTCATCCTGTGTGGCAGAAACAGCAGCTTGCCCCAGAACACAGCAAGCCTCTCATGCGGCACTGTCTTCCTGGGAGCTCACATGGGGGCCCCGTACCAGGGCCTCTCTCCCAGCTCCCTGTGCTGCTGCGCTGACCAGTTTGGCAGGAGCTAACAGCTGGATGCCCATTTTGCGGGTGGAGGCAGGAGGGTACGTAAAGGGCTTTCCTGGCATAAACAGAGTGTGCCTTTAGGGTACCACTGGGCAGAAAACCAGCACTACCTGATTTACATCCCACTTTGAAGCCCCTCCTGGGACCAGTACTTGGGAGCCACTGGGGATCTAGGTTGAGATATCAGGGCCTTCCTCCCTGTCTTCCTCCTCTCCTTCCCTCCTTTCTGCCATCCCTTCTTTCCTACAAACACTTATTGAGCAAATTACTGTGTTCCAGCCTCTATCCTAGGCTCCTGGACACAGTTGTGAGCAATTCAGACACAGTCCTGCCTTCATGGACATCTTAAATCTCTCCTTGCACTGGCCTATCTGGAGCCCAGAATAACAAAGAGATTTCCTCTGTGGTCCCAGGGGAAGCTGCCTTGGAGAGTAGTTAGGGCTGCTAACTTAAAGACTCAAGAAAATGCATTGGTGGCCACTGTCCATAAGACATCTACTGTGGGCATTGCACTTTATCTCATGTATCGTTCTTAAAACTTTTACAAGAAGGGCTTGCTTATCCCACTCATAGGTGAGGGAACTGAAGCCCAGAGAGGCCATGTAACGTGGCCAAGTTCACCTGGCAGGTGTGCAGCAGAGCTGGAATCTGAAACATCACATCCCATGCTCTCTACTAAGCTGCCCTGGAAGGGACCATCTAGCTTATCAAGAGAGGAGATAATTAGGTGACAAGTACTTGGTAAGCATGAAATGTGAAAAGGAAAGATGATTATTTCAAGGGTGGACAAAACTAGGGAGGGTCAGAGAAGAAAACAGAACAAGATCACTTGGTGATTTAGTAGCAGAGGAAGGAGTGGCCCCAGGTTCCCTAGTCGAACCCAAGGCTCTTTTCTTCACACCCCCAGGCATCCAGGCATCATTCCTTAATGCTCTTGCTCACATAAAGCTGAGACCTGCAGTACAGGCCCTGAGCTGGCTCAGCTAAGTCCTAATAACTGTAATAATACTAAGGACTTACCATGTGTCAGGCACTGTTCCAAACACTTGATGCTTATATCTTAGAATGCAGACAGTAAGCCTCAGAGGCAAATGACATAACCACCTCTCCTCCATACCTCCAGCCAGCTACTCCCTCTCCCTGCTGGGTGGCTTTCTTGAGAATGCAAGTGTCTCCCTCCCTCTCCTGCATAATTTTTCCGAAAGCATCATTTCTCCCTGAAAGTCTTCCCTGACACCCTCATGCTGGGCCTTATGCCCCACACCTCCTATGGGGACTGCTCCACTGTCACCGGCAGCAGACTGCACTGTAGGGGCCCTGTCAACCTCTGCATCCCCAGCAGGTCAGTGCCTTAGCCCATTGCACAAGGATTGGGGTAAGACCTCGGAGTGCTCAGTCAGTGCTGACTGAGTGAATGAATAACTCTGAGATATTTGTTCATCTTCTCAATCTCCTCATCTAGAAAATAAATGCACACAGGAAGCCGCTCCTTAAAGGGTTGTGAGGCTGACATGGAATGGCACATGTGGACATCAGGAACTCTTCCAATAGCATCTAGATGGAAAGGAATGGAGCTGGGAATTGAACCTGGTCCTCTCACTCCAAAACCAGCGTGCTTTTCATACACTTAGCAAGATAAATAACGCACACTTAGTCCTAAGCCAGACAGATGTTGGCATGGCATTGCTGGAAATGGAACAGGAGGAAAAAATCTGGATGACAAGAGCATGTATTAGAGAGGGGACAGTGCGTGGTTGTGAGGGTGCGCTGATAGGACATCAGGGCAGGGTGAGACGTCACCTGGGACGTTCTCTAGGGACAACAAATCGCTGAGATAATGTCCATTAAACAAGGCTCAGTGCCCAGCTCTAGTTTGATGAGATGCTGTGGGGAAGTCTGAGCCCTGCCCTCTGAGAATGGCTTCTGCACCCTCCTCCCCTGACACACTCAGCTTCACCTTTAAAATAAGGTGAACAAGCATGTTTAAAGGATCTGTTCGAAAGACTTACAGATTCCTGGGAACCCCCTATAGCCCATGTATGGATTTGTCCCTACCCAAGTGCCTGGGTAGGGACAGGGGGTCTGGAAGCTAACAGAAGCCATGCCCAGAGCCCTGGGTAGAACACACGTTCCTCTGGGAAGAGGGTACCTACTTGCCTGGGGCGAACATAGGGAGTACTCTCTCCTTCCTCTTTATCCCAAGGGGGCGGTGAATAGGAAAGACAGAGTCCTCCCTATGTGGAGCAGTGCTGGATGTCTATTGTCATCTTCATCTTTATCATCATCGCCATGGCTGACATTTACACAGTGCTCACTGTGAGCCATGTATCATTCTAATCACTTTTCATACATCAACTAATTCGATCCTCAACAATGCTATGATGTATGATACTATTATTATCTGCATTTTCCAGATGAGGAAACTGAGGCACAGAGAGTTTGTTTGCTCTACCATTTTTCCCTATGGTCTGAGACCTAGGACCCTCCTTTGGAAGAGGGAAGAAGGAGGGGATCAAGCGTAAGAATTAAGAAGGCATGGACAGAGTCTAGGGGCCCTCATAAACATGGATCCAGGGGGAATTGGACTCCTGGCCTGTGTCAACTGAATATTTTTATGTGGTTTTGTATTTGTGTTTCCTTTTGGTTCTTCCTTAATATCCAGTCAGGTCATTTTGGAAGTTGCAGCCTGCATTGGCTGTAGTAAAGGAAGCCAAGGGGTGATGGATCAGAGCTCCCTTGGGCCCGGGGTGGTGGTGAGAACAGTAAGCGCACGAGCCCCTTGGGGGCCCAGGGACAGGGAGGTGTGCCACTTTCCACCAGTCTCGCCTCCTCACCTGAGCGTCCTCATCTAGATTTCTCCCCTGTTTAAACCTACAAAGCTTTCTCATTTTCTTTCAACAACCCCTTCCCTCTCAGGCAGGGATGGCCTCAGAGGCACTGGTCAATTCCTCTCCTGCTCAGGGAAGGAAGGTAACGGTTCAGTGGGCAGAGCACCGGCACTTTCCTAAATGCCTGATCCCATGCCTTCCCATGCACCTAGACTCCCAGATTGCTTGAGTCCTGGACATGCCATCCTAGAAAGCTGGGCAGAGAAAGGGGCAGGATCCAGCTTGTGCCCACCGATGATCCCTAAATGCTCCCACATCTGCTCGCTGGCTCTGAAGGTGTCTTCCTGGAGAATAATATCTGCTTTGGGATTTCTCCATCAGCATTTCTCCCTGTGACCTGGGTGAAGAAAGGCAACTTCTCCAAAGCTTCTATTTCCTATTTTGTTTTTGTTTTAATTTAATTTTATTTTTTTTTTGAGACAGAGTCTTGCTCTGTCGCCCAGGCTGGAGTGCAATGGTATGATCTCAGCTCACTGCAACCTCTGCCTCCCAGATTCAAGCAATTCTCCTGCCTCAGCCTCCCAAGTATCTGGGATTACAGGCATATGCCACCACACCTGGCTAATTGTTGCATTTTTAGTAGAGATGGGGTTTCACCATGTTGGCCAGGCTGGTCTTGAACTCCTGGCCTCGTGATCTGCCTGCCTCGGCCTCCCAAAGTGCTAGGATTACAGGCGTGAGCCACCGTGCTCGGCCTGTTTCCTATTTTGTAAAGTGAGAAGAGTAGCATGGACTCCCAGGGTTACCAAGAGTATTCACTGGGTCTGTGTCAGCAATGCACCAGGCACAGTGTCTAGACTGTGCTGCCTACTCCCCATTTTGAGGTGCAGAGCTGGGCCAAGAAATGAGTGACTACACAATTCTTCCTAACAAAAGGGCTACAGCACAGTCCATGGCAGCCTCTACCTGCAGGTCCTGGACAGGGCCCCAGGATAAGCTGTGGGAAGGAGAGGGGATATGGGGAGCATAAAGCAGCAGACCCATTTCTGAAGTGGGGAGATGGGAGTGAAGGTTTCAGGGGCCTGGGAGCATAAACATGCCCCTCCTTGGGGATCCTTGCCGGTTACTCCTATTTCCAATATGACCTAAGGAACTAACTCTGAGGCCAGAATTCCAGCTTGGACTTGCCAGCCGTGTGATGCTGCAGCAGTTACTTAACATCTCTGACCACCTGGTTTATCAACTGCAAAATGGTGGCAATAATGCCAGCCTCTAAGCTGCTGTGAGGGTTATATAGGAAAATGCTATATTTAAAGTCCCTACGTGAGGCCCAGCACTTAGTAAGCACTTTACAAATGGTAGTTGGGATTATTAAGGAAACAATCTACCCATTTCGTAAGGAGAAAAAGTAAGCCCAGAGTGAAGGAAAAACCACCTGGGGAAGCACCAGGAAACTCATTGGTAAAAGCCAGTGGGGAGCTAGAGTCCCCAGTGTCCAGTGCAGGGCCCTGCTGGAGAAAGTGCTGGAGCAAGCAGGGGGCCCACCTACCTCCAGGTAGACAACCCAGGGCATGACCAGTGTGGCGACGAGGAGGTCGGCCACTGCGAGGCTGACGATCAGGTAGTTGGTGGTGGTCTGCAGCGCCTTCTCGCGGGACACAGCCATGCACACCAGCACGTTGCCGAAGACGATGACAGCGATGAGCAGGGTGAGCAGTGTGGCATAGTAGTTGTAGTGGGGTCTGTCCGCCTTCCCGTCTGACCCGTTGAAGGGCCGGCTCCAGTTCTGCCTCTCCAGATCATCATCATACCAGGACAGATTCAGTGGATCCATCAGGGCGGTGGAGCCACTGGGTGGCCAGGCTCTGGCCAGGAAAAATGGACACAAGGTGTCAGTGAGAGGGCCTCTTGCAGAGGTCTCCAGGAAGAAGACCAACTCCTGGCATTTAATAATGAGAATTTTCCAACTCGGGATTTTAAGGTTTACGGCTAAGAATTTTCTAAAAATGTTGGGCCTTCTGCCACTCTTTTGCTAGCAAGTTTTTACAGCTGGTAGGACAAATGAGCAAACACAATTTTTTAAAAATGCATAATAAGATGAGCTTGAACAGAGCTGATCCATCATTTATTTATTCATTCAACAAACACTTCTTAAGCACGACCCATGCACCACACACTTCAGTTAACCAGGCTTGCTACCTTCTAGTCATCGAAACAGAAATGGGTATTCATTCATTCTTGATTCTATAAATATTTATTAAGCATTGTTCTATATAGTTCTAGAAATATAGGCAGGAACAAAATATACATGGTTCTGTAGCTCACATTCTAGGAGAAACAACAGCCAATTAATCAAGCAATTACATCTAAGGGTGATAGGGAGTAGGAAATGGAACAGGGAGAGAGATACATAACCTAGTTCAGGTATTCAGGGAAGGCTTTCTAGAGGAAGTGATGTTCAACAGACAAACAACTGAAGGATGTGTAGGAATTAGCCAGGTAAAGAACTAGGAGTCAGCAGAAGGTCTAGACATTGGAAGCAGTATATGCAAAGCACAGAGGTAGAGAGGTAGACAGCAGGTGGAGGGCCTCAAAGAGATTCTGGATAGCTGATGCAGAGGGACCTGGCAAGGGTTGAGTCTGGGGAGGTTGCAATAGGCAAGATCATAGAGGGCCTTAAAAGTCATGCTAGGAGTTTATACATGATCCTAAGGGCAGCAGGAACCACATGATCAGATTCGCCTTTCGAATAGGTGATTCTGACAGCACTGTGGAGAACGGAGAGGAGGGGCCCAGAGTGGAAGCGGGACACCAACTGGGAGGCTGTAGCAGGAATCCAGGTAAGAGATGATGAGGTTTGGCAGGATGCAGGGAGTGAAAGCCCTGCAGAATGGGCATCTCATCCCACAGAAGGGAAAGACTTCCTGAAGTGGGTATCATCTGGGATGAAGTAGAAGGAGGACTTAGCCTGCTAAATGAGAGGGGTGGGGGGATGTTCCAGACAGACAATATGACATGGTATCAAATCATCAAACAGCAAACAATTCTGTTTGGCCAAAAATGTAGGGTATGGCAGTAACGTTGAGGATAATTAAACTGCAGGGACATTTACAGGCCAGATTGTGTCTTGTCAGCTGGAGAGTCCCTGAGAGGTTGGGCCCAGAGACATGACCCTATTGGACTGGTGTTCTAGAAAGTGTATGGTGTAGAAGAGAGCTCAGAGGAGAGTGATGTTTTGGCTGTAATTTAGGTT
Organism: Homo sapiens; assembly: GCF_000001405.40. Classification (NCBI taxonomy): domain Eukaryota; kingdom Metazoa; phylum Chordata; class Mammalia; order Primates; family Hominidae; genus Homo; species Homo sapiens. Next base: position 113,426,071 of record NC_000011.10, read on the forward strand.
AGAAATTGTGGTCATCTGAACGAAGATAGTGGAAACGAGGATGGAGAGACCTGTTCAGAATTAGGAGCTAAACTGCAAGTCAATTTCATGGTCCTTGGTCCTTGGATAGGTGTGGGGCAAAAGTGGGTATGGGACAAGCAGGGAGATAAGGAGTTGAGGGTAATGCTAGGATTTCTGCGTGGGGCTCTGGGAGGCTGGTGTCGCATATTCACAGAGAAAAGGGACCAGAGGGGCTCAGGAGCAGACTTGGGAGGCATCAGGAGTTGATGAACTTGACAGCCGGAGTTTTGGTTGTGACTGAAGCATAATGCATGGATAATATAGTTGGCTTTTCAGCTAACAAAAGTCTTCCTCTTTTACAGAATAGAATTAAACTTATCAGCATTCCAAGGTGTTTCATACAAAGCACATGACTTCCAGGTACTTTGCTACTGCAAATTGAAAACCACCAATTGATGCCATTTGGGATGAATGTGGTGCCATGTCCAATCAATGAACAGGGCACACCTCCAGCAATGGGTCAGAGAGGATGGTGGAAGAGGGTCTGCCCAATCTCCACACTCTCATCCCTGTCTGACACACCCACTCTTCCAGCTTTAGTAGAAGAATATGGATCATGTCCTACCAACCACCATCACTCTGGAGCCTCGGGGAAAAGCAAAGTGCCTAATTCCATGTGGGGTGACATGGAATGCCACCACGCAGCAAATCTTCCTGTTCTAAGGTAATGAAGCATATGTCATATTGATGCTGTATTCTGCAAAACCAACTGAGCCCTCTTCCCATTTGGAGCCCACAGCGGGAGGCCTGCATGTATGTATTGATCAGGTGCCTGGGGCTGCTTCTGACATTCATTTACTCAATCGGCATTTATTGAACCTGCTGGGCATAAAGCACTGTGCAAAGCAGTGTCAGGGGCCTGAGGCGTGTGAGGCACACTTACTGCCCCCATCCTGACCATCGCTCTCTTCTTCTCCCCCCACTCCCTGCTGCTGATGATAGCATCATATACTTGTAAAGGGTTTGATAGTTTGCTAAGTTTTTTGGATATACTGTCTCATTTATCCTCAAAACAACCCTCGGAGGCTTTTAATTATTATCCCTGTCTATGGCCATACTACCTGGAACATGCTTGATCTTGTCTAATTATTATCCCTACTTTAATAAGAAAGGGATTTGGAAAACTCTTCTGTTCACTTCCCTTCCCTCTGCTTTTCCAGTCCCTATGCATCCTTCAAAGTGAGTCTTGCCTAGAATCCTCCTGTCTTAGAATCCACCCATATCCTCCTGCCTGAGCCATCACCCACCCTCCTCAGGGTCCTGCAGCACTGAAACACACCCCAGTGCTGCAGGAGACACCTGTTTAGGAGTCTCTTTTTTTCACTGGGGTGTAGACATCACAAGAGTTACAACATGTCTTGCTCATTCCTCCTCTTGTTCTTGGAATGAACAAATAAAAACCATACTATCTTGTTCTTTCCCAACTCTTGACTCTGGTTTGTGGGCAGTACGTATTCAACAGATGTTTGCTGAACTGAATCAAAGGCTCTGTTAGTGCAACTGGGAAGAAAACCCCTTCCCACTTGAAAGGCACCTGCTAACATAGGCTACCAGATTAACAAGTGATGAAAAAGTAAGGCACCCCAAGGGTGCCATAGGTGCTGCATGTTGGGTCCTGTTACAGTCTGCACTATGCTCTTCCCCCAACCCACAAAATGTATATGTTGAAGTCCTAACCCCCAGTACCTCAGAATGTGACTGTATTAGGATACAGGGCCTTTAAAGAGTTGATTATGTTAAAATGAGACGCTTAGGGTGGGCCCTAACCCAATCTGACTGGAGTCCTTATAAGAGGAGCTTTGGACATAAAAAGAGACATCAGGGATGCGCGCACAGAGGAGAGACCAAGTGGGAATGCAGCAAGAAGGCGGCCATCTGCTAGCCATGGAGAGAGGCCTTAAGCAAAATCAGCCCTGTTGACACCTTGATCTGGGACGTCCCAGCCTCCAGAACTATGAGGAAACAGATTTCTGTTGTTCAATCCACCCAATCTGTGGAATTTTGTCATAGCAGCCAGAGCAGACTAATACAGGTCCCTAGAAGTAGACTCTGAAGAGGAAATCAGCCTGCAGGAAATGTACAGGGGAATGCTCTCAGGATCAAGATGTGCAAAGAAGTGAGGAAGCAGGACAGGCCAGAGGGAGAAGTCACAAGAAAGGCATCAGGTGACCCCACAGGGCACCCTGCCAGTTGCCTAAATGAGGGCAACAGGGTAGGGCCTTTAATCCCCTCTCATAGATGTCACAGCTTCTGGCTGTCCCAGGGAAAGCAGCGAGGCCTTGAAAGAGGCATCTCTCCTCAGCAGTGGGCAATTGCCAAAAACTGTCAGTTGCCAACACTCCCAGTAGATGGGGATGAGGGCTGTGGTCCTGCAGGGGGATCTGGGTGGCACTCCACCGTGTCCACTACAGTTGATGTTCAGGAGCATATGCACATGTGTGTGGCTGGGGCGTTTGTGGAGAACTTCCTGGAGGAGGGAGGATGTAAACTGGGATTTAATTTTTTTTTAATAGAGACAGAATCCCACTTTGCCACCCAGGCTGGAGTGCAGTGGCACAATCATAGCTCACTGCAGCCTCAACTCCTGGCCTCAAGTGATCCTACCACCTCAGCCTCCTGAGTAGCTGGAAATACAGGCATGTGCCACCATGCCTGGCTAATTTTTAAAAATGTTTTGTAGAGATGGGGGTCTCACTATGTTGCCCAGGCTGGTCTCACACTCCTGGCCTCAAGAGATACTCCTGCCTTGGCCTCCCAAAGTGCTGGGATTACAGGCACTAGTCTAGGATTTAAAATTATGAGTACAATGTAGATGGCAAATGTGAGCACTGCAGGTCAGGTGGGGTTGAGGGTGAGCATTCATTCTCTGGAGTGCTGGTTACTTCTGCAGGGTAAGGGAGAGTCCCTGTACCCAAGTTCTGAGAAAGGCCTCACACATTTGATTTTCTAATCTATTATTTATTATTGGTTGTTCTCGTTGCTTTTTGTTGCTAATACAAACGTAGTATATTTACACCATAGGAAAAAAAAGGGAAAACATGGCAAATGCCTAAATACCTGTAACCCCTATAAGTACCTTGGTACAGGGCTATCTTTTTGTCTGTTTGCTTGTTTGGGGGTTTTTTTGTTATTGAGATGGAGTCTTGCTCTGTCACCCGGGCTGGAGTGCAGTGGGGCTATCTCGGCTCACTGCAAGCTCCGCCTCCTGGATTCACGCCATTCTCCTGCCTCAGCCTCCCGAGTAGCCAGGACTACAGGTGCCCGCCACCATGTCCAGCTAATTTTTTTGTATTTTTAGTAGAGACGGGGTTTCACCGTGTTAGTCAGGATGGTCTCGATCTCCTGACCTCATTATCTGCCTGCCTCGGCCTCCCAGAGTGCTGGGATTACAGGCGTGAGCCACCGCACCCGGCCAGTACAGGGCTATCTTTTAACACCTGGTGTCAGTCCTGGTTTCTATCGTGTCTTCAGCACCTTATCTACTTGGGGCTTTCACCTCTCACAAGCAGGGGCAGCCTAGCTGGCTCTCACCATGTAAACATCAAGCTGAGCAGGAATTCAGACATCAGCAAATCCACTGCCACAGAGAAGGTACTCTAGCCTGAGAGGTGCTAGTATAACATTCGAGTTGAGGACTAAAAAACCTGGGTTCAAGTCCCAACTCTACCATTTACTAACTTTGGGGCCTCAGCCAGATTATTTGGCTTTCCTGAGCCCAGTTTTCCCATACACAAAATAGAGATAACAACAATTGTGAGTATTAAGTAAGATGACTCATGGCCATGTGCCAGGCACAGGTAAGCCCTTGAGAATGTCAACTTTAAAAATCAAACCAAGCAAAAGAATGAAATGAAACAAGCAATCAGACCACAAGCCAACGGCTCAGCAAGATGAAGTGACTGTTGCTGTTCAAATGCAGCTCACTAGGGTCTGAGGTCCTCCTGGGCCCACTGCCTCCTATGGCCCATCCTGAAAAATAGGTGGCTAGATGAAGGGAGATGGATTTCAAGATGCAGCCACCAACTCCTTGGGAGGAAGTAAAGGAAGGAAAAGACAAAGCCTGTCCCTGGGCCCTGGCTGTAGGACAAACTCAAGTGACCCTTGAGATGAGGTAGCAGCTGGCCTGGAAGATACAGCTCTCCCAGCCCAGCTGCTATAGCCGATGACTGTCATACTAATCACCACATTTCATAGACTCTAAGACAAAATCGAATGAAGATGCACCACTATTTTATATATCACTAGGAAAGAAAAAAATGCCATCCAACCCCAGTAGAGCTCCAAGATGTCATCCATTGTAAAATGCATTCTGATTTCAGAGACATTAAAATGGTGGGGGCAGGGGGAAGTGCATTGTAGAGTGGATAGCAATACAGGGCCTTCCCAGCATTTCTAAGCTGGTATTTTCTCAAGGGGCCTGAGAAAACCTGCTGGTCCCCAGGCTTCCCTGCTGCAGCTCCAGCCCATCCCTCCCTTTTGTCCTTCTGTCTCCGGGCTGCACAGATTGTTGGGCTCCAAGGGGCATCCCAAAAGAATACACAAGTGAGTAGCTTCTCCATCCTGGCTGGAGCTTGTGTTCATGGTAGCGGAGTGAGGAAAGGTTCTCAGTGCTGCTCCAGTTACGCTGGGCTGGTTCTGGCTCCAAAGAAGCCTGGTGAGTTCTTTGTCCACTCTGGAGCTTGTTGAGGGAAAATGCAAAGCCACATAACACATGGCACCTTGTATTTGCCATGATGGTCCCAATTTCTTGTTCTTTTTTTAAAATGGAGATTGGCTAAATATATAACCCAAGGTGCATTATTCTTACATGAGAAATTTTTTTGAGACAAATAAAGTGGCACAGTATATTTAAAAATCTATTGTTATCAAAACAAGCATTTTGATTTTTGATTGTGAAAATATGATCAACTTGCTCACCACCCTCCAAATGTCATCTCCATCTTTCTCCCAGGTGGCCCCTGGGCATGCATAAAAGCTTACAAAACTCCAAATCACAATCCCCAGTCAACAAGAACTTAGTGAGCACCAAATACATGCATGGACACTGTTATTTTCCAGCTGTTACAGGTTGAGCTACTTGACAGTGTTTCCTGGGTGGAGGATGAACAATCTAATCCTGTAGCTGCCAGGCCTCACTCCAGGGGTGGCTGCCTCTCCCCTAAGGCACCTTTCTGTGCAGGAAAGTGGGGGTAATTGCTGCTCCTCATTCCACCCTCACCATGCAGATGCTTGCAGACAAGGTTCCATGGGTCCTCTGAGGCCTCCTAGGCTTTTCTTTCTCAGCTGCCCTGGTGGAAGCCAGGAGAAAGAGAAGACTGCATTTGTGTGGTGACCTGCAAGCTACTGGTCATCAAAGAGCCAAAGATCTCCTCATCTGTCTCCAGGACTCTTTGCTCTGCCCTAGCTCAGAAGGGCAAAGATCTACAGAAATATCTTTCAGAGTCATCCATTCTAGTGCTCAGGACCCCTGCCTGTCAAGTTCTTCCTAACATCTAGCCTAACTCCAGCCTTCTATAATAGTGGCTCTCTTCAGAAGCTTCAGAGTGGAACTTCCCCAATCAGAGGTCTAGAATGCATCAAGGTGCATAGAAATATTAGGTCAGTTGGGATGTAGAGGCAGGCACTTCCAACCTCAGCAGCTTCTGCTATTCACCCTATATGCCTTACAAATGCTACTATTTTCTGTGCGTGCCCTAATTTGGAAATTAGCTAGCTCTCAAGTTGAGAAGTACTGGAAGAGCCCAGATACCCGGGGCTAAGCTAGCCCACCCAGGCTGCCCCAGGCAGGCCACCCTGCTCAGGCCACCCACTGCACTGCCCCCCAGGAGTAGAGGAGGGGACAGGGAGTGGGCAGGCCTTCTGGGGTATAGATGAGGTATGGAAGGGGCTGCTTTCCCAGTCACGCCCCAAAACTGGCAGGCGCCCCAACCTATAAAGTGTATTGGAAGGGAAAAAAGCTCCTTTAAGGCTCAGCAGTTTGAGGCTGACACCCAAACCTGACATTTTCTCTCAGGAGAAACTTGGAAGGTGTAGCAACACTTAGTCCCCAGGCTGATGGAGTGGGGTGAAAAGGGTCAATCTGTTAGGACAGCCTGGGATCCAGGAAGAAAGCTGGCAGGTCCTGGGAGAACAGAGAGGATTTTCTCTGATCCTCTCTTTCTCTCTCTCTCTCTCTCTCTCTCTCTCTCTCTCTCTCCCTCCCTCTATCCCCACCACCTCATTTCTATTTCATCTGGGGCACAGAGCTAGAAAGGTGGGGGACAGAAGCCCTGGATGCAGCATAAACCCCAGCAACGTGTTTCCTATGCTTCCGTCTCAGCTTAAGTCTTGGTGCTGCCTTCCCTGAAAGTTCGGCACTTGAAGGAATCAAATTGTCTAATTAAAATTTAACAATTCCTTATCAGGCTTGATGGCGGGTGAGACACTCCTGTCTTAAACACATCATTTTTTCCTCTTTTCTGAGATGCAAAGCATTTCAATGAAAAAGTAGAGGGGGAGAAGAAAGCATTTTGTATTTGCATCTCAAAAGCAGCCTACTGGAGTGACTTGAGTTGGATAGGAATTGGGAGTGAGTGGGTAAGAGGTTCCTTTCCAGGACCCTGGCGATATAGGCCACCTGCCCCTACCCCTCCAGGCAAAGGCCAGGCTCTCACTTGGGGTTGGACCTTCTTTTAGCATCTCTTGCAACTTCAAAAAGGCAGCATGGAAATGGAAGAGGGAGGAAAGGTGGTGCGCCCGTTCCTTCCCACATCCAAGGGAAAAGGAGAGAGTTACTGAATAACACTTTTATGTTCTCTGGCCGAGGAGGCAACCTCAGCAGATGGCAGAGGAAATGGAGACCTCATTCCCAAAGCCCTAGGCCAGGCGGCTGCAGACCTTGGGTTGCCGAGGGTGGGAGTGGGTAGATGGACAGGCACAGTCACTGTCTGGAGGGCAAAGCCTCTAAGCCCTGGAGCTGGGGTGTGGAGGGTCTGTGGCGAGGAAAAAAAGGAGGGGGAGGAGAAACAGAAAGGACTGTGGGGACAAAGAGGAACCTGGAGCAATGGACGATGGCAACCTCCTGGGCTCACTGGGAACGGTTTTTCCTGCATCCCAGGCCCGAGTGCACAGGGGAGTGGGGTGTGAGGCTGTGGGTCTGGCCCCGGTGTCAGCAGTCACTCCTGAGGGAAGAAATGCAGATTGCTCTTTCCCTGTTAAGGGGAAGGGCTCCTCCTTCTTGAGCCCCTGGACTCCCCCACAAACCACAGCCTCAGCACTACTGTGGGGGAACAGGTCTGGACTAGAGACCTAGGCTGGGGGATACCCGTTAGTGGAAGCCCAGGGAGTGGCCTGGACTACCATTTGGGGGTGGCAGAGGCTGCTGTGGGAGACAGGGGGAGGCCACACACTAATACCCCATTTGCCCCTTCTCCCCCGGCATGGGGAGCCTCCCTGGAACCTGGAGTTCTTCAGAGGCAGCGAGGCAGCAGAGCTCAGGGACCGCGCAGCAGCTCTTGGCTATGTTATCTGCAGGGAACATTGTCTAGGTTTCTTTAGAAGGCGTGGAACAGCCTGGATGAATCTCTCCACTGGTGGTCTCTGGCTGTGTCTGGCCCTATGCAGCTGGAGCCAGAGAGTGGCTACAATCTCGAGGGCCTTCTGTGGCCCAGCTTGAGGTTGGCAACCCGGGTCGCCTGCTCCAAGCTTCTCCCCCTGCTCCCTGGAATTAAACCTGGCCAGCAGTTCCCAGTCTTACCTCCCACCTCACAGTAAAAATAGAAGCTAGCCTTCGGCACTTTCTCAATTTCCTGTCACCAAATCCATAAACTTACAGGCACAGGCAGCCACATGCACCCTCCTTGAGTCCCAACTCCTAACCCTAAGCCCCTTCCTGCCACTTGGGCTCAGCATAGCACACCCTGGCTGGCCTCCTCCTCCTTCTCACCCTTCAGGACTATCTTTCCAGCCCCTTCTCCAAGGAAGCCTTCCTGCCACTCCAGCTCAGAGCCCGTCTTCTCACTTAATGCTTTCACAACACGTGTGCTCCTCGGTGACACCCAGCACAGGTGTAATGAAGTCAGTATTTGTCTAGAGATTTGTTTGATGTCTGTTCTTCTTGCTAAACTGTGTGCAAGGCTCACATGTGTCTTGTCTCTCCTGGTCTTCTCCCTCCCCAGCACAGCCTTGGCAATAGCACATGCTCCACACGTTTGAGAGACGTCCATGGAGATAGCATCTCATTCAAGGGTGAAGGGGCCAGTCCCTAGGTCTTTTCCTACCCTGCAGTCATTTCTCCTCCCAGATCCTTCGTGAAGGGTACAATAGCCTCTTCTGAGATCTCCTGTTGACCCTCTGGGTCCCAGTCACAGTGGTAGCTGGGGTTGGGTGCCCAGCTGGTTCGGGTCCTTGCAGGGTGTTTCCCAGGTGGGCATCACTGTGGCACAAAGGTGTTATAAGGCATTGGAAAAAGAAGAAGAGGCACACAGATGAAAGTGAGTGTGGGGATGTGGGGAGGTGGGGAGAGGTCATAGCCAACACACAGTCTGTGGAAAGAAAAGCACAGAGCTGGTAGAGATGGCTTCTGGGCTTCTGGAAGGCCCAGGGCTTCAGAGTGTCCAGGTTGGCAGCACCCTGTGGGAGGGAAGTCACAGCAGGCCAAGGGAGCCATCCCCCCCCATCAGCACCAGCCAGAGACTACCAAGCATCCACAGTGAGTGAGCTGAGTGCAGCTGAGACTCAGTTCTCTATGGAGCACAAGGGTGGGGTGGGGGTGTCCCCAGGGGGAGGCTGGAGCACGCACAGTTCCTTGCCCAGCTATCGAAAGGGCCCCTGTGTGAGACTTTGTCTAGGAGCAGAGGAGACCACAGCTGAGCATGACCAGGCCTCCCCTTCTCCAGGGCTCTCATCCCAGACAACCCCGCTCTCTGCTTCTTCCCAAGGTGGCCAGGTGGCCCTGGGCCTGCTCAGGTGTCCCTGGGAGTGTGGCATCTCTGAGAGGCCTGAGCAGCAGCAGAATTTGAGTCTTCCCAGCCTTACCTTGTTGCAGGCCTCCAGGGTCTGCAGCGGGGTGAGGCAGGGTCTGGGAGATGCAGTGAATGCAGGAAGGGGTGTCTGCCTGACAGCCCCATCCCTGCAGATTTTGATGGCTCCGTAAAAATGTCTCCTCATAAACTGTCAAAGTGTCACAAATTAATTAACTGTTAGCTAGAGTGACTCAGTGTGGGGGGGGGTGGGGGAGAATGGCTCAGTGATGCTGAGCGGGGTGGTGGCGGTGCTGTTCTCTGCGTGTGCTGCCTTTTGATTAAAAATCCTCACCGCTCCGATACTGTGTGAGGGAAGGGGCAGATCCCTGGGGCAGCTCACGTGCACTGCAGAAGACTGGTGGGTGGGAGGCAGGTGGAGGTGTGGGGCTGGGGCCCCCTCCCTGAGAAGGGAACACAGTGGGGAGAATGAAGCCTCTAGAAATTGCCCAGGAGATCTAAATTCAGAATGGAGCCCACAGACTGGCACTGTATTCCTCCCCCCGCCCCCCCACTTTCCCTTCCTCCTCAATTTGCCCCCACAAAGAAAAAAATCTGGGAAGTTGAGCTTGGTTTGCCCCAGGGGCTACACAGGGTCACCTGAGCCAAGGACATACTTAGCTACCAAACTCCTGCCAGCCAGAGCCCAGAGAGGAGGAAGGGCTGGGTCTTAGACCAGCCTCCTTGACCTTTACTTTAATTTCAGGAAAGAATTGAGAAAACATGCTCTTGAAAGTCAATTGGGAGACAAATCCTGAACCTTATTGCTCCAGATGGAGGAAAAACAATCCTGCCTATTTGGCAGAAAATTGTTCTTCTTTATTAAAAGACATTCCTGTTCATAAAAACAGAGAGAAGGCCCAGTCCAAATAATAGCACAACCCACGATCACACTGCTGGAAACCTCCGGAAGCCCTTGTCCCCACGTTTCTCATCCTTCGGCTCCAGCAGGCTGACACCGGGGACCTTTCTTTCCCATTTGGCAAAGGCGATGGGAGGCCTTCTTGCAATGGAGGGGTGGGCAGGCAAGATGGGACTTGAGGACTCCCACACAAATACTGTTTTGGTGTCAAGACCTCAAAGACGAATTGAAGGTAAAATTTCACCACAGGAATGCAATCAGTAAAATCCAGATTGCAGAAAATACAATAGGACAAATGACCCAGTTTCTTCCAAAAATAAATTGCAAAGAAAAAAAAGAGAGATGGAGTGGGGAGAGCCTCTAGAATAAAATAAACTTTAAAGCCATCTTCACCAATTGCAATGTGTGGGCCTTAGTTGGATGCTGATTCAAAGAAACCAATTTTTTAAAATCCCTGAAATTTAGGGGACAATTGAAAATCTAAACAGTAGATTTTTTATGATATTCAGAATTATTGATATTATGGCATTCTGGTGAATTTTTTTAGAGTCCTTATCCTTTAGAGATACACACTGAAATATTTACAGATGAAATTATATGCTGTCTGGGAATTATATGAAAATAGCATAGGGGTAGAAGCATAGATGGAAGAAAATTGGCCATAATTTGATCGTGGTTAAAGGTGGGTGATAGATACATTGAGGTTCATGACGCTATTCTTTTTAATTTTGTATATGTTTGAAATTTTCTATAACAAAATGTTTTAAAATATCTAATCTGCTCCTTAACCCTCACCCCAGCGCCCATCCCTAAGAAAACAGATGGGTGCAAGCCAGGCTTCAAGGTATCTTTCTGATCAAGTTCTCTTATTATGAACACTGGCTTCCTTTTCTGCCAGTCTGGCTGCCAGACTCTCCCTCTGTTTTGATCACTCCATTGCCCTGTCCAGGACAGATGGAGCCCTGGGGACGAGCCCTGGCAACCCTTTCTATGGCCTGGGATCCTTTCTCATGACATAACAGCTTTGGCCTAATAAGTCATGTCCTCTCTTTCACAGCAGGTGGCGGCTCAGCTGGTAGGGATGGAGGTGGGAGGGTAAAGCCCACTTTAATGACAAATAGAACAGCTACTGAGCACCTATTGCAGGCCAGGCACCACGTGAAGTGCTGGGCACCTACTATTTCATTTACTCCGCATAGCAGCCCTGTGAGATTAGATATGATCCCCATGCTACAGACAAAGAAACAGGCAGTGGGTTGTGAACATCAGTGGATCTGCCTGCAGAACCCAGACTCTTCCTTACACCAGGAGTTGAGTATGGATCTAGGGTACGAAGAAGTAAGGTTTTCACAGTCCTGTGTCCGAGGCACATCTACACGGTTCCTTCATGGGGATGGGCAGGGTCTCACCCCTCCAGGCTGGTAGGTGTCAGACTGGTGTCCACAGAGCCCCCAAAGGAACTTCTCATATAATTATATGAGGGAAGAATTATATGAGCCTTATAAAGAGGGAAGTTGAGGTCCAGGCCATAGCCAAGTTTCCTCAGAATTCTAAGTGACTTAGGCAACCTCATGTTTTCCAGAAATGACACTCTTAGTGTCTCCAGGACATGGGGCTACTCTGACAAGGGAGCTCCGAGGAGCACAGGGCACGCTGGAGTCCAGGTGGAGCCAAGGAGCACAGGGCATGCTCGAGTCTGGGTGGAGCCGAGGAGTGTGGGCAAGAGCTGGGGTCCCTCATCCTCTCTCAGCTCCTGGGGCTGCCTCTGGGTCCATCTGGCAGGCCAGGCTCCTCCCCAATGCTCCCTTTCATTCCACAGGGTGTGCGTCCACCACCAAGGGTGGCACTGTAGGTCTGGGCATCTTGCTTTGCCTGGTCTTCTGCTACCTCCCTCAGAGGAGGGGCAACATGGGCACAACAGGGAAGAGAGCAGAGAGGCAGTCTCCTCATCCCGACAACAGACTGGGGGGTGCAGAGGAGCCCCCAGCTGCCTCTCCCAGTTGATGGAAGCAGGTTGGAAGAGCAGCCACAGTGCTGGGCACCATCCTGAAAACAGGCTGTGCACCCACTGCTGCTGCATACCACTCCACATCCTGGGGCCAACATTGAGGCCTTCCTAAGCAGTGATGCCCAGGATACAGAGGAGTCACTTCCTCTGTCCCTGGAATTGAAGAAGGTGTGTCAATGCGTCCTATTTTTATTGTTTTTTTTTTAATCAGACAGACAACAGCTAGATCTGGGTTCCAGTCCCACTTGGTAGCAGTATGGCCTTGACAATGAAATTGTTCTGGGCCTCAGTCTTCTCATCTGTAACATGGGGGCAATAACATCCTCCTCATGGGAGTGGTTGCAAAATTGACTTAGAAAATGTGAATAAAGGGGCCAGTAAGTGGTAGGTGCCCAATAAGTGGCAGCTAATGTCATTACAAGGTTGCAACAGCTGCCGGAAAGGAGCTGAGCTGTGTGAGGGTCACAGGCAAAAGACTCAAGCTGGAATGAGGGGCCCAAGGGAAAGAAACTCCCCATTTCTCTGTGACCCCCAATTTTCTGCATGCTTCAGAGAGATTCCAGCCATGCCTACCATGTTGTTCCCACTACTCACCCCTGAACTAAAAGCCCTAAAATATCAGGGCACCTGGCAGGTGACCTTGGTTAAAGTCCTTTTGGGGTGTGTCATGCAGATTTGCAACAACCCTGAGCCTTCCCTCTAAATCTTTGAGAAAAAAGAAGTCCTACCTGGCCTGTAACCTTCCTGGTAAATCTAAGGATGCAACAGCTATGAGACATCTCTGCTACTCAGGACAGAAGTAGGACCAGCATGAGATGTGATAAGGCTTGGCAGACTCTATCAGGTATCATGCAATCATCAGCACTGCATTATTATTGTCTCACTGTGTGGATGTCTGACATGCAGAAGGAAAATCCAGTTCCCTTGGATGAGCCACTTCTCTAATTCTCAACTTAATAGTTAATAATTTAATGATGAGAGCTGTCAGACCTAATTTCAGAGAGTGATAGATGAATCAAGTAAAATGATATATTCCAAAGTGTCTTGCAAACTCTAAAGTCCCATAAAAATGTGAATGTAGTGTATTATTATCGTCTCACTCAGGAGCATGTAGTTGGTGGTATTTCTTTGCCATGCACAGGTTCTTCGGTACCTACATTGCTCTGCATCTGTCCTTTCTGTCTGATGCATCTGTGAGCCTTAATGGGCAGAGTTTGTCTTAAACCTATGTGTATCTTTAGCATCTCCTAGGAAGGCTACCAGTTTTGTAAGTGCTTCCTGGATGTTTGTTATGCTGGAGGAAGCTGACAGTGACGGTGCTCCTTTGAACAGCCTAAAACAGGACGAGACTCCCTTCTTCGTGGGGTTATCATAAAGATTAAACAAGACACATCAAGCCACTAGCACAGTCTCTGAGAGAGAGAAGGCACTCAGTTGTTCCTATTTTAATGGTAGCTAACCTGGAAAAATATAGAATATTGACTTTTACTGCTGGAAGAAGCCTTAGAGAATATTTAATCTAATCTCTTCATTTTACAGATTAAAAAACTAAGACCAGGGCTGGGCATGGTAGCTCACACCTGTAATCCCAGCACTTCGAGAGGCTGAGGCAGCTAGATCACTTGAGGTCAGGAGTTCGAGACCAGCCTGGCCAACATGGTGAAGCCCCATCTCTACTAAAAATACAAAAATTAGCCTGGGTGGAGGTGGGCACCTGTAATCCCAGCTATTCAGGAGGCTGAGGTAGGAGAATCGCCTGAACCCGGAAGGTAGAGGTTGCAGTGAGCCCAGATCACACCACTGCACTCCAGCCTGGGTGACAGAGGGAGGCTCTGTCTCAAAAAAAAAAAAAAAAAAAAAAAAAAAAAAAAAAAAGCTAAGAGTAAGACCAGGAAAGTGAAATGACTCACCCAGGTTCATAGAGCCTATTGCTTTCAGAACCAGGATTGCAATTAAGGTCTCTAGACAGGTCCCCTGCTTTATCCTACAGGGCTCTCTGACTCCTGGAAAGGGCTCAATCCTTGTCACTACCATCCTGGTCACTGTAGGATCATCATCATCTGCATCTTCAAGGAAATGAACTTAAGGAGAGTAATTCTGGAGCCTCCATGAGTGCCTCTCCTGAGTCCAACTTACCTTTATGCAACTTCTGTGTATGCTCGCCTCGCCCAGATACCTATCCTCAGCAGAGACAGGCTCAAGTGGCACTCAGGAACAATGCATACATAGAAAGTCCCACCTAGCCAGTTCTTTTCCAGGCCATAAACTTTTCTTTTAACCTTTCTTTGCAAGGGCTGTTTTCCAAGCACTCCCTCTCTTTCTGTCCTCTGGATATTGATAAAGGCATGCACTTACAGGAATGTGCTCAAAGATGATTCCCCCCAGACTTTCAGGGAGAAGCTCAGGGCCATGGGGCCTGTTAGGTTTCTCTGCGAAATGCTACTTCTTGAAACTATTTCTTTGGGAGGTTTTCTGTCCCATTCTGTCCCAGGAGCCTGGGAAAAAGGCTGCGCCTTTGGATGTTTTGCTCAGCAGCTTGACATGGGCCATGATGGGGATAATGGCAGAGGCAAATAATGCAAATCCCAAGTGCTTCATTAGATATGAAGATGAAAGGGCATTCCCAGGCATGAGAGCTACTCTGCCACCCAGGATGATGGGATGCAACCAGGGACCCTGCTCACACCAGTACCTCTTTGGATAAGAAATCGAGATATTTTACTCCAGAGATCCACTTATGAGGGGGCAGAAAGGAGAGAAATGGAGAGGGCACCCCATTGGGAACACCCCAGACTAGAGCCACCATGCTGGTTTCTGATCTTGAGAATTTCAGAGGCAGAATATAAACACTTCGGTCTTACCTTGGGGCTCCTGGGACACAGATGAGCTAAGTTTTCTGAGCCTGTCATGGCAAACAACATAATGTTGCTAATCAAACTTCCTGTGCGCCCACCCAATTTGATAAATCAGCCTTTTGATGCACTAAGTGAAGATGAATTAGCAGTAATGAGGCTGTGACAGCTCCCTGAGGCACAGGTTGACAGAGAGAGCTTTGATGGCTGTGGCAAGAAGGAGGAGAAGCTCTTCTCAGGGATCAGTTCAAGCTGCCAAGTTTGTGCAAATAACCCTCCAATGGATGCTGAAGTCATCTGAGAACCAGATGTTTGCTGTCTTCCTACAATGAGCCACATGCCATAAGCCCCAACTTATGGGCAGACCATAACATGGAATCAACCCATTCTGTTATGTGGGAAATGGAGGCTGGCAATGGCAGCCTGCTAAAACCTTTTTCCTTTGCAAGGCTGCCTACTACACAGCTAGTCTCCAACAGCCCAGCAATGGAGAGTTGGTACTGGTTAGCTAATCTCCTTCATGCCCAGGGACTGCAAACTGGTAGCCTATGGACCACATTTAGCTTGCATACAGGATTTGTTGGGCTCACATAGCATTGTTGAAAAACTGGCATTTTATTGCCAATATTTACAATTGGACATTTCACATTAAAATACAGATATCTAGCTTCTTTTACAAGAAGAATCATAAAATCTTGGAAACACTGGGTCAGCATTCTTGCATGGCAACAACAAGCTGGGGTCGTCCAGATAGTCCCCTTTATACAAGGCACACACCGATTGAAGAAAGCAGAGGACAGCCCGGCTCATGAGGAATGGACTGTCTCCACACTCCAAGGATGGAAAAAGAAGCTACACCTTGGTGGCTCACGCCTGTGATCCCAGTACTTCAGGAGGCCGAGGTGGAAGGATCACAAGGTCAGGAGATCAAGACCATCCTGGCTAACACAGTGAAACCCCATCTCTACTAAAAATATAAAAAATTACCCTGGAGGCTGAGGCAAGATAATCACTTGAACCAGGGCGGTGGAGGTTGCAGTGAGCTGAGATCGCACCACTGCACTCCAGGCTGGGTGACAGAGTGAGACTCTGTCTCCAAAAAAAAAAAAAAAGCTACACCTCCACGCTTGTTCCCCACATCCCCCGTATATGGTGAATTTTTTCAGAGTCCTTATCCTTTAAAGATAACGCACTGAAATATTTACAGATGAAATTATATGCTATCTGGGAATTATATGAAAACAGCATGGGTGTAGGGGCATAGATGAAAGAAAATTGGCCATAATTGCCTTAGCTTGGAAGTGGCCAGACCCCAAGGCTTTGGCAGAAGCCAAGGCAGAGATCCCTCCCTCCAGTCATTATGTCCAGTTCCACACATGCTCTCAAGTTTACCACAATCCCCAGCCATCCTTACAGCCCTGCACCCAGCTGGTTTCACTCAGTTTACATTAACTACCAGGTCCCAGAATGTATCTAAGTTTGTGCCCCGTGTTTTATAATAGTTAGCAGGGGTAACTGAGTTGCTATTATGTTGCTGAGCTACAAAGGCTGTGTCTGAATGATGCTCTCAGATCCTCTCACCTAATCCTCCCCATCAAGGGGTAGCGGCAGGAGGAGGAGCACTCTTGAGGCTAAGGAGGCTTGAGGCAACACTGGTGGCTTTTGAGCAAAGTGTTGATTTTCTCACCTCCCCAGCCCTGCCTGGAGACTTCAGCCCTGTGTCTGGAGGCCCCTGTTTCTTCAGAAACACAGCTCCTTTAGGTTCCTTTTCTTCCCTGCTGATATTCCATGGGACACAGCAAACACAAATCTCTCTCCCTAAAGGTTCCATTTGCTTTAGACTTTCTACGATTGATCATCTAATTACCTTTGCAGCCCAGGAAGCGCTAATCTCTTCAGCAACTGAGGTGCGTGTCACAGATTGAAACAAAACATTCCATCTTCCTGGCATGAGGCAAATCGAGGTCTGGACTCTACCGCATGCATCAGCTTGATAGGCAGGGCTGCTGGTGACCTGGGAGAGGGGCCTGCCCATTACCTTTGTGCCTTTTTTCCTCCATGCAGTGCTGGGCTCCCCGAGGGAAGGCTGGTTCTGTCCCCCTCTTTTCTTATCTGTAAGCCTAACAAATATGCTAGGGTTTGCGTGATGGGGGAGAGGAGGATTCTGGTCCCCTTCACGACCAATGCTGATGACAGTGAACAAGTGGATCCAGCTGCTACTGGTCCTTTCAACTTCTATTTCAGAAAACACCAGCATCTCTGTTACCAGGCTTATTTGTATGCTTGGGTTGTTTGAGATGATGAGGCTCAGTGGTCTCAGCCTCTTGCAAATTCCTTTCTCACCATGGCCTCTATTGCTCATCTGAGGCCACCTCCTCCGAGAAGCCTTCTGTGATCTATTTTTGGGCAAATTATTTATTCCTCTTCAATTTCATAGTACACTATTGGCTCTTCTTGGCACTTGTGGTACCAAAATCTGCAAGTCTGTCTCTCTCCTCTCCTATGCTCTTTAAGAACAAGGCTTGTATCTTATTCATCTTTTGCTCCTGGGGTATCCAGCGCATTTTAGCACAGTGTGGCGCTCAGCAAGGACAACTAACTTGAGAGGAAAGATACATATTAGAAGCTCTCTAGTGACCTCCAAGTTTTGGGCAGATTGGATTAACCATCGCTCTCCAATCACTGTTTTGGGAAAGGACGCTGACGGATGTGCACCGCACACCATATGTTCCCTTCCAGGACCCTGTGCTCTATCTGTCCTCCTAGCATACCAGGAGAGCTGTCAGCTCGCCAGGCAGTTAGTCCTCTGCCAAACCTGTGTACACCAGTTCTTGTCATTGTCATTAGTTTAGCTCACTATTTCATAAACAATGAAATATGGATGCCAAGTCAAAATATTGATCCATGAAAACTAAGTGGAATGCATTGGGAAAAATTTTGATAAAGAAAAATTGCTAAAAACAAACAAACAAAAAACCTAACTAGTTATCTAATATGCAAATGAGATAACTGAAAATTCTTAAAATCTAAGCGTCTACACTATATCATTTTGTAAGTTTAAGTCTTTGCTGTGCTTTAAAAAATAAAACTAAAAAAAACTGGAAGCTGTAAGTAAAGTACTATGGGCACACTTAAGCAAATAGGGTGAGGCAAGACTCCAGTTGATGAATTTGTTTTTGTTGTTGTTGTTGTTTGTGTTTTTGTTTTTCTTTCTCACTCTGTGGCCCAGGCTGGAGTGCAGTGGCACAATTTCGGCTGACTGCAACCTCCGCCTCCCGGGTTCAAGCGATTCTACTGCCTCAGCCTCCAGAATAGCTGAGATCACAGGCATGCACCACCACACCCAACTAATTTTTATGTTTTTTAGTAGAGACAGGGTTTCACCATGTTGACCAGGCTGGTCTCAAACTCCTGACCTCCAGTGATCTGCGTGCCTCAGCCTCCCAAAGTGCTGGGAGTATAGGCATGAGCCACACCCAGCTGGTGTATTTGTACTCAAAGAAATGACCCAAGATATGAACAGAACGTTTGGTAAATGAATGTACATGAATGCCCTAAGGTAAAATGAAATGATTGGAGTATCATTTTTAAATGAATTCCCTGTTTAAAGAACTTTTGAAATCAGTCAATCCACCATACTGAATATGAGGGCTTCTGCTGTACTGACTGGCCAGCATATCAGCTTTTTCTATCTATGTTCAGTCTCTAACGGGGCTGTATGTTCCTTGAGGAAATTACATGGCTTACACATCCACAACCTGAATGACTGTCTTTTACACTCCATGGGCCATCTATAAATGGTGGCTGATGATGACGGTGATTGCTCCTTTATTCACCACACATTTGCTGAGCCCCTATTATATGCAGTGCTGATTAGGGACTAAGGGTACAACGTTGAACAAGAGAGGCAAGCTCCATTGTCCTCACGGAGGCCACCATCTGGATAGAGGTACTAGCTCGACAGCTGGGGCTCTGATATGAGCACAAGCCAGACCAGTGAGTAGGAAAGAGGGTGCACATTTTGCAGAGAGGGTAACGTGGCTAATGTCACACACTAAACAGATGAACTTCCTGCCACTTTTGTAGCTGCATGGGATCTTTCACTGCACGGGACAGATTTTTGGCAGAAGCAAAGGCTCTGGGAGTCTAGCAAAAATAAGACAGCAGAAAAATATTAAAGCAAGACTGCAAAACTCAGTGCTGCACACTCCATCACAAGTGTGAAAATAGCTCCACATTCTGAAAACACCTGACCAGCACTCTTCAAAAATCTCAAGGTCATGAAAGACAAGGAAAGACTGAGGAGCTGTCACAGATTACAGGAGACTCAGATGTGACAACCAAACCATGTGGGATCCTGGATTCGATCCTGGGCCAGGAAAAGGACATTAGTGGAAAAACTGGCAAAATGCAAATAAAATCTGTCATTTAGTTAATAATATTGAGCCAATGTTATTTTCTTAGTTTTGATCATCACTCTGTGGTTATATAAAACGTTCACTTTAGGGGAAGCTGAGTGAAGGGTATAGGGGAACTCTCTGCACTACTTTGCTACTCTTCTGCAAGTCTAAAATTATCTCGAATGGAAAACAGGCATTCACACAGGCACCTCCGATACCCAGGTATCTGTGTGAAGGGGCTGTCCAGGCCTTCCTGAGGCATCGTATCCTCCTCCCACCTGCAGGCAAGGATGCAGAAACTTTTTCCAGGCAAAGGGGAGGGTCCTCTTCTCCTTCACCCTTGGATGGAGCAAATATCAAGTATCTGTCCCACATGGTGCTGACTGCGCATGCAAGGGGCAGGAGGCAGAGAAGCAGAAAAGGAGGAGAGGGGAATTAATATCTGTCAATTGATCCATTTTTCGTAGCCATCATTTTAAGCACCTACTGTGTTCCAGGCATAGCAACCCTCCTTATACATGTGCTCTCCATGAATCCTCATCACGTCTCCATTTCCCAGGAGACGGAAGCCCAGAGAACTTCAAAAATTTATCCACAGTTCTAGCTGCTAGGTGATAGAGGCAGGACTCTAACAAGCTCAGCCTGTCTCCAGAGCCACTGCTGGCTACAGAGATGCTGGGGGTGGCCTGGCCTTGGAGGCATTTTCCAGCCTGTTCTGGAGCATTTCCAGGGGCCTGGGTCCGTGAGTTCCAGTGAGTTGCCTGTTGTCCTGGCCCAGTAAGTTTTTCTCTGTGTCTGACCTGCAATTGTCCCCTTGCTTCCTGCCAGACCTCAGCGGCATGTTTCACTCCTCCTGGGACACATGGACCCCACTTCATGCATGGGAAGTACATGGAGGGTCTTCAGCTCCCCCTTCCCACTCGCCCCTTTCCAGAAGCCCTGATGACAGATCTGATACAGTCACCCCACCTCCATGGATCCCACCCTAGTTCCCCAGGCACTCTCTTCATCCAAACTCCTTAGAGTCACGTCTGCTGAAAAGACCAGTTTCTACCCCCGGCGCTGAGTCAGACACAGAGTTGCTGTCAGAACTGGAGAAAACACAGCAGTCATAGTAACGGTAGCTCCTGTTTATTGACTGTTCACCGTATACTGGACACTGTCTTGCACACTGTACACACCTTTGTCCTAATTCTAAAAGCAACCTTAAAAGGGAAACATTACTAATCCTTTTTCACAGATAATGCCAATGGGGCCAAGGGAGTTCCTTTAATAACCTATGTCAACTAGGAAGTGGCAGTGGAGGATGGAAGACTGGGTTTGTCTAGTTGCAAAACCTCTGTTTCCACAGTGGCAATGAGGCACCCCCTACTAACATTAACATACTGCAAATGCAAGATGGGATATTTGGAAATAGTTTACCCATGTTGCTGCTAAGCCTCATAATAATCCTGTAAATTCAATCCCATGTCCCCACTGTACAGTACACATTGATGCAAGTAGTTGTGAAAATGAGAAACAGAGAGAAGTCCTGTGGAGGCACGTGGCTGTAAGAGCACCATTTAGGAACTCAGTGTTGGTGGCGAGTGAGGATGAGGCCAACACTGACAGTAAGGCATATTCCCTGTGTTTCCAAAGTGGGAGGGGTCTTCAAGGAACCATCACACCATTGCCACAGGAGCTGATGGCTGATAGGACAGAATTCCTAACTTGCTGCTGTGGGCTTCATCTGCAGTCTTGACTCCTAAGCAGCACTCACACCAGACAAGAAGAGGGCTGCACAAATGCTGAACAAACTCAGATCTGTGTAGATGCCCTCAGGGAACTTGGGATCCTCTAGCATGTCATAGCCCTTGCAAGTCCAAACCTGCCCACTTCTGCTCCAGCCTCCAAAGACAGCAGCCCCACCCTCCCCGGGGCCTGGGGTAAAGTCGGGAGGCCCGCTGGGCTGCACGGCCACACTCTGTTCTGTTGTGCCCATGTCTGTCCCTGCTGCTGCTGCCCTGGAATTGCTCAGGCTCCGTGATGTTGTTCTTTAAATCATAAAATCCTCTCCCCGCTCCTGTGCCTTTCCTGGGGGAGCTCTCTCGGGCTTTTAATTGAATTTGCAGTTTCTGGCACACCCCTGTTACACAGAATGCTTGGTATGGGCAGATGGAAGTGCCCATGAGAATCAAAACAAGGAAACTTTGACAGGATTCAAGGCTTCCATACCACCCTCTGAAAAAAAAAAAAAAAGGAGAGAAAGAAAGAAAAGAAAGTGCTGCTTGTTCCAGCACCTGCAGAGGATGCGAGCCAGCCAGCAAATTCACTACTCACCTTGCATATGAACGAACAAACACACACGGGTTTGGTGGGCAACAGAGAAGGCAGGCGGAACTCTGGGGTGTGAGTGGTCCATGAAGCAAGACAGACAGACATGGGGCGGGGTGTGTAGGGACTGAATTCTGACAGGCAGTCAGCATCTGGCTTCTGGCCCCTGCTCTGCCCCACATTTCCAACCATGTGACCTCAAGCAAGTGGCTTCCCTCTTCTGGCCCTGGATGTCCTTTTGTAACAAACATGTGTGGCCACATCAGAGGACACACAAGGCTTCCTCCCACCAGTCCTAAGATTCTAATCTGCCATGATGCGATCTCCAGCCTTGTCCATGTTGAGGGGCCAGTAGCTGAAGGAGGGAGCTCAGGGTGCCCAGGCCCTCCCTGCTTGTCAGTCTGGGGACAACTGTCTATTGTGGTTAAAGCAGGTGTCTGAGGCCATGATGAAGGTAAGATCCCACAAAGGGATACTGAGGGGGCTCTAGATGGTGTCTGGCAGCAGAGAATGTAGTCAGAGGACCTTCAGGCTAGGAAGTCATCATCACTCTGCGAGATGGAACCACGAAACAGGGAGTGAGTGAGTCACCAGAGATAATGAGCTCCGAGGCAGGAAGATGCAGGAGTCTAATGACGTTCTTTTCCTGTCCTGATGAGATCTCTTGTCCATAGGCCAGTAGAGCACCCAAGCCCAGAGCAATGGGTAAGGGGGTCTGACTTCAACCTGGGGCAGCCGCTCCTTGGAAGGAACCAGGCAGCAACTGTGATTCCAGCATCCCAGCCCAGCCCAGATGCACGGTGGCTGAAAACCACGCCTCAAGCTCCGGGGGAACTCCCTGGCTATTCTTGGAAACACAGAGACTCCTGGCTCCCTGTCAGAGCTGCTCCCCACTCTAAAAAGCCCAGGAGTCACTGCTACAATATTTTTCCTTCTGAAGGAGGTGGCATCTCAGTAATTGCAACGTGATGCTCTCTTGACAGCAGTATTAATCACCTGTCTTCATCTCAGCCCCAGCCATGAGAGAGGAACAGGAGGAAGACAGAGCCAGAGGGCCTGGTGTTGTTCACTGTCCTCATCCAAGGGCACGGGTACAGCAGTCTATTCTGTCTCTTCCTCAAGCTCATTGTCACTTCCGAGAGGGGACTGGGGTCAGGCCTCATTCGGGTTCCCTAGAGTGGAAAGGATTGGTAAGGAGCTGGGTAGCTCTCCTTGGCCACCTCTAAAGGAGCTGCACCACACTGGGCCTGCGAAGAGGAGACCAGGCCCACAGACCCAGGCAGGATGGAGGAGATGGGAGGGGTCAGCAGGGGGCCAAATTCAAGAGTTTCTTCTCAACCCTACCTTTAGCCTGCCTTCCTGACCATCCTGCACATGCCCACCAAGTCCACCTCCCAAAGCCATGGCTTCAGGCTCATGTCACCGCCTCGCTCAAAATATCTTCTATGACTCCCCTGAAGGGAAAAGTCCAGATTCTTTAGCTCTCTGTCTTTGATCTTCCCACATTACCTGCTGGCCCCTCCTGTGGACAGGCTAGACTGCAGCTGGCGTTGATCTAGTCTGTGACTTTTGTACCCCTCGCTTCCCCTCATCCTCCTTTGAATGCTGCCATTTCTCCACCTGCCTCCCCATTCCCAACTGTCCAAATCCTTCCAACTCTTCAAAGGGAAAAGCCCACCTCCTAGAATAGCCTTCCCTGAACCCTCTGAGCTCATCAAGACTTCTTCCTGCTGTGCTCCCATAGAGTCTGATATGGGAGGCTCTGCCAAGGTAATATTGTAAAGTTGAGGCATGTCCCAGACCCCTGGGGGAGGAGGGAAACTGAGATGCCCTGGGAAATTGGGCAGGTGAGACAGGAAGGCCTTGGCATTCATGACGTTTGGACATGTCAAGCACCTGTGCTACACAAGTGAGTTGGGAACTGTAGGCGTCCTTCCAACATGAGCAGATCATGTGAGCCAAGGGCAGGCTTGGAAAAGCATAATGCTGCTTCCCCCTGAGCACATGCCATCATAGGTGCACAGTAAAACTTCTAGATGAATAAATGCTGGGCTAGCAGAGTGACGGCCATAACACGGAGCTGCTCCCACCAAGACGGTGTCAGCCATGGGAGGACTGTTAGCCAGTTAAGCTGTGATTTTAAGCTGGAGTAACAGTTGAAGAGAGTGCAGAAATGGTCTGAATACCTAGCAAGTGGATATACTCAGACAAGCCGGATGGGTCTTCCAAGAATTGGAGCCAGAGAGAGACTACCAGAGAAGCGAAAATTCACCCCAAAGTCAGAGCAAAATGGCTGAGAGCCAAGAAAGAAATCAGGGGGCGGTGTTTAGTGAGCAGTTGTGGGTAGAACTGATTGCTCCCTGAGCTACCGTTCAGATTAGCACCAGCCCTGCTGTTCCACTTGTCTCGCTGTGCAGTTCATATCTCTTCCATTTTGTATGCACTTATTCCCAGCATCCAGAGCTGCACCTGCCACCCTCCACGAATGCAATGTTCACAAGTGAAGTAGTGGGAGGTGGCTGGTAAACTGGAGAGAATGGGATCCTTAGTCTATTGTTGCCATTTGAGAATGGAAACAATATTTCAAAAGAAGACAGAAATTGGAACTTTTATTTGAAATCTCCCTATCATGAAATCCCGGCAACTAACTCATCACACTAGCTGAGCCAAAGCACTTCCAGCTTGCATCCTCTACTCACACCATCTAAAACACCAATGCCAAACAAGCAACCAGAGCTAACAACATTGTTGTGCTTTTTGAAGGCCTCGAAACAGCCCTCTGACCAAGCAGGGCAGGGTTATTACTCCCTCTTTAGGAGTTGAAGAAGCTGGCCCAGAGAGGCTTCTCTATTTGCACAAGATTACTCAGCTAGTTAGTAGCAAAGGCAGGATCAGAACTCACATCTCAACATTCTGCCTCAAAGGCTCCTCTCCCAAACCCCACCTTGTCTCCACAGCCTAATGGACAGCAGAGCCAAAGCAGTTAATAAAATAGTCTGAGACCAACAGTGTTGGCTAGGTGATCATGGTATCCTTAGCAGAGAAATAGATAGGCAGTCTACTACATTCTCACTCAATCTCTTTAAGTAGAAGAGTTCTATATCAAGTGATCAGAAGTCTAACTTTCTTCACCAAAACAGAGAGTTATGGCCCCTGATTAATTCCCAGATTTGAGCCAATTGACAGATGCAGAACCCGTAAATGAAGGAGAGATTTGGTCCTCTTGAGGAAGACCCCTGCCAAAAATTTACATTGTTAATATTTCTCCCAGCTTTCTCCAAACGGACCACTCCTTACCAGGGTAACTATGCATTGGGAAAATAAAATAGACTTTTGGAGGATTACTAGATTAGGTGAGGGCTCTGACCAGGCTCTAATGACACTAATTCCTGGAGACCCAAAACATCACTGTAGCCCCCAGTCAAAGGTGGGACTTCTGGAGGTCAGGCAATCAATGGAGATTTAGCTCAGTTCCTTCTCACAGTGGGTCCAGTGGGTCTGTGAACCCACCCTGTAGTTACCTCTCTGGTTCCAGAACACATAATTGGAATAGGCATATTCAGCAACTTGCAGAATCGCCACTGCACAGGACTGGCTAGATTCTTTTAAGCTGTTAAGAATATGTATCCAAAACTTGTTAATAAGGCAGCAAGCCCACCTCAGGCTTTGATTCTCCAGGAGAATCTGTTTTGTTTGTTTACTATTTACCATCCACAAAGGGCCTAAACCTATGAGATAGATGCTAACAGTTAGAAAAGATGGTAACATGTGAGTGATTTCCATCCAGTAGAGAAGATTGTCCAAAGCCTTATGATTTTGTTGCCCTGTGAGACATTAAGTTTTGCATCTAATTTAGCAATCTTATTCCAGATTTCTTCCACGTATATATGTATATATATAATTTTTCCTGTATCCTCTTTTATTTATTATTTATTTATTTATTTTGAGATGGAATCTTGCTCTGTCACCCAGGCTGGAGTGCAGTGGCACAATCTTGGCTCACTGCTACCTCTGCTTCCGGGTTCAAGTGATTCTCCTGCCTCAGCCTCCCAAGTAACTGGGATTACAGGCACCTGCTACCACGCCCGGCTAATTTTGTATTTTTAGTAGAGATGGGGTTTTACCATGTCGGCCAGGCTGGTCTCAAACTCCTGACCTTAAGTGATCCACTGGCCTCAGCCTCCCAAAGTGCTGGGATTATAGGCCTGTATCCTCTCTTAAACCCAGCTTTGTCATTCTGCTAGTTGTCTCATTCATGAGTTAAATGAATCTTTGACATGTAATTGTTTGAGAAACAGATTTTTAATCTTTTGAAAAATATTACTTTAACAGTGTACATGACTCAAAAAAATAAACATTCACAGGAAAATTCCATAGCTGGGATGGATTAGGAAGCTGAGTGAGCTCCATTGTCCCATTTCTTCTCCCCTCCTCTGGCCCCCTCCAGCCCAACACATTCAACTCACACCCCAGCCTGCCTGCCAGCAGCCCAAGAGGCCTGCAGGAAAGCCTGCACGCTTCTTCTTTTAATGGGGATCTGTGCGTCAAGTTCGGCCGTTGTGGTTGTAGTACTTACTGCTTGCAAAGTAAGAGGTGGCTGACCCCAAATCATATTGGGACACAGGCATGTTTCAGGTAATTGAGAGCATGACAACCTCTCCAGGAGTCAGATAAAAGCCAGGAGAAAGGGCAATGTTGTCTGACAGCCAAGGGGCCGGTGGATCCTTTATGTAAATAACTTGAAAAATAAATACACAAGAAAAGCAGCAACTGTGAAGCTGTGGTTTCCAGAAGATGGGGAAAGCTTGTCTGAAGTTTAGCCCTTGCTTTCCATGTTGAGGAGCAAGGGCTAGGGCCACTGGTGTGCATGCGTGTGTGTGTGTGTGTGTGTGTGTGTGTGTGTGTGCGCGCGCGCGCGCGCGCACATTGGGGGACAGGAAATGAGACACTGCTGATTCAGATCCACCCTCACCTCCCCAGGGTCCTACTCAAACCACACATCTTCTGGAATTCTTCCCTGACCACTGACCACTGACCACTGGATATCCCAGTAGTATGGCCCTTCTCTGAACCAGTCCCCATCTTTTTTTTTTTTTTTTCTGAGATAAGGTCTTGCTTTGTTATCCAGGCTGGAGTGCAGTGGTGCAATCTCAGCTCACTGCTACCTCCTCCTCCTGGGTTCAAGCAATTCTCCTGCCTCAGCCTCTTGAGTAGCTGGGATCACAGGTTTCTGCCACCATGTCCAGCTAATTTTTGTATTTTTTTTTAGTAGAGACGGGGTTTCACCATGTTGGCCAGGCTGGTCTCAAACTCCTGAACTCAGGTGATCTACCCGCCTCGGCCTCCCAAAGCGCTAGGATTTCAGGTGTGAGCCACCCTGCCCAGCCACTATCCCTTTTTGCCTATAGTACTTCACACCATACTTTACTTTATGCTCTTTATTTTATTAGGAGTTAGCAGGCCTGTATTTTAGTCCTGGGGTTCTGCATCTTGTTAGCTGAGTGACTTTGGGCAAGTTACTTAATCTCCATCTCCCTCTCTAAGCCACAGTTTTATCACCTATCAAATGAGTACGTAAGAAAGTTTCCTACTTTCTCTACTCCATGGGGCAGTAAACATCAAGTCCTAGGTTCACATCCTGGCTCCATGCATACAATATCAACAACAAAAAATACTGAAAAACCCACTTAACTGCTGCTGCTCATTTTATTCATCTAGGAAGTGGGGGTGATGATAACAGTATCTACCCCATTGGGGTAGTTGTACAGATTGAGTTGTTGTAAATTTTCAATGAGATAATGTATGTTGAGTGAGGATACTGATGCCTGGTATACCATACGCACTCAGTCCGTGTTAACTATTTTAACTGAGAAAGCTTTGAAGTAGTAAGATGCCTATCAAATGAGAAGTTTTAGAATTACGATTGCCTGTTTTCTTGTATTCTTCTCTGTCTTGGATTTGTTAGTTATGCCTTCTTAGGTAGATTTCAAGTTCGTAAAATAATTCGACAACTATTTATTGAATACTTTAGAAATGCTAAGCAATGTAGATAACAAAATAAGCAAGATAGAGTCATTATCTTCCAGGAGACCACAGTGCAGGGAGAGAAACAAGTCCACAGATGATTAACACGTTCCATGACGGAGATGCCGGCACACGGAAGGGGTTGTCCCCCCAGGCTGGACTCCCTAAAGACAGGGCTGGGTCACATGATTTTTTAAAAGTCCCCTCCTTATTCCTCTGCACCTTTTACTCTACTCCTAGGACAGAGCTTTGTATGTGATAGAAGGTCAATGTATATTAGTCAAATAAATGTGTAGAATTGAGCAATCATTCTTATTATCTAGGTTACCCAGAGTCCTTTTGATGGGGGGCTGGGGGGAGGATGGAACTAATATTAGGAAGGAAACTAGTATTAACAGAGAACCTGGCACATCCCAAATACTGGGAAAGACATTTTATATATGGACAGTGGTGTGCTGGGGCTGGTGGGTGGCTCACTCTTCCTCACTCTACATTTAAAGAAGGCAGGTTGGTGGCTTCAAATCAGCTACAGTTTGAGTCTTTACACAATAAAATCATTAAATGCTTCAAATTAGAGCATTATTATTTTTGGAGAGCTAGTTGTTAAAATATTTACCAGCGGACACTATATGGTCCTCTTGCAATAATCTAGTTACAGGTGAAGGAATTAGGATTCACGCTTGAACCTGGGAGGTGGAGATTTCAGTGAGCTGAGGTCACCCCACTGCACTCCAGCCTGGGCAATAGAGTGAGACTCCGTCATGGAAAAATAATAATTATTATATATATACATATATATATGAATTAGGATTCAGAGAGGTTGAGTAATTTGCTCCAGGTCACACAGATCATAGAAGGCAGACTTGGGACTTAAACTCATCTGATTCCAAAGCCCTGGCTTTTCCCTCTGTAACTTGTGACCCACCCATCCCCCTTGTGTCCCAGTGGGCTTGATCAGGAACAGATTAGTGCATTGTCTGTACTTCGTCCTGGCTGAAGGGCAGAACAGAAAAGCTTCACTCTCTACTCAGTCTCCTTGTAAAAGTCAGAGCTCCCTGGACCAGGCACACCCATGTTCACTGCAGCATTATTCATAATAGCAGAAGTGGAAGCAACCTAAGTGTCTACTAATGGATGAGTAGATAGAGAAAACGTGGTATCCACATACAATGGGATATTATTCAGCCTTAAGAGAAGGAAATCCTAATGGAATCAGATAGAGATCCAAGAAGTAAACCCATGCATCTATAGTCAATCAATTCTCAACAAAAAGGCCAAGAACACACAGTGAGAAAAGGGCAGTCTCTTCAATGAGAGGTGTTGGGAAAACTGGCTGTCCACATGCTGAAGAATGAAATTGTACGCTTGTCTCACCCTTTATAAAAGAATCAACTTAAAATAAATACTTAAATGTAACACTTGAAACTGTAAAACTACTAGAAGAAAATATAGGGGAAAAGCTATAAGATGTTGATCTGGGCCGGGCACGGTGGCTCATGCATGTAATCTCAGCACTTTGGGAGGCCGAAGTGGATGGATCACGAGGTCAGGAGTTCGAGACCATCTTGGCCAACATGGTGAGACCCCGTCTCTACTAAAAAAATTAAATAAAATAATACAAAAAATTAGCCAGGCGTGGTGGCAGACGCCTGTAGTCCCAGCTACTTGGGAGGCTGAGGCAGAGAATTGCTTGAACCTGGGAGGTGGAGGTTGCGGTGAGCTGAGATCACACCACAGCACTCCAGCCTGGGTGACAGAGCAAGACTCCATCTCAAAAAAATAATAATAAATAAAAAAGATGTCGATTTGGCAATTATTTTTTGCATATGACCCCAAAATCACAGTCTACAAAAGAAAAATCAACAAACTGAATTACATCAAACTAAAATGTTTCTACGTAGTGAAGGAAACAATAAATTGAGAGAAAATATTTGCAAATCATACATCAGATAAGGAGCTCATATACAAAACATATAAGGAACTCAAACTACTCAATACCAAGACAAAAAATAACCCTGTTTAAGAATGTGCAAAGGACCTGAATAGGCATTTGTCAAAAAAAAGACATGCAAAAGGTCAACATATATTTTTTAAAAATGCTCAACATCACTATTCGTCAGGGAGATGCAAAATAAAACCACAATGAGATGTCACCTCATGCTGGATAGAATGGCTATTATCAAAAATATGGTAGACCACAAATGGTAACAAGGATGTAGAGAAAAGGGAACACTTATAAACCGTTGGTGGAAATATAAATTAACATAGCCATTTTGGAGAATAATATGCAGGTTCCTCAAAAAACTAAAAATAGCATTACCATATAATCCAGCAATCTTACATCTGGGTGTGTCTCCAAAGGAACTAAGATCAGCACATTGAAGAGATATCTGTATCCTCATGTTTATGGTGGCATTATTCACAATAGCCAAGATTTGGAAACAACCTAAGTGCCCATCAACAGATAAAGATTGAAAAAAACAACGTGATCTATATATCCACAATGGAATACAATCCAGCCTTTACAAAGAATGAAATTCTGTCATTTATGACAACTTGGGTGAATCTAGGGGACATTACACTAAATGAAATAAGCCAAGCACAGAAAGACATTGTATGATCTTGCTTATATGTGGAATCTACGAATTTGAACTCATAGAAGTAGAAGGTAAAATGGTGGTTACCAGAGCCTATTGGCAGAATGAGGGTTGACTAAGTTTTAATTAGGCAACAGGAATAAGTTTTGGTGATCCATTGCATTGCAACATGACTATAGTTAGTAATGACAAGTTGTCTATTTCAAAATTGCTAAAAGAATGAATTTTGAATGTTCTCACCACAAAAAAATGATAAGTATGTGAGGTGATGGGTACGTTAATTAGCCTCATTTGCTCGTTCCACAATACATACATGTATTGAAGCATTACATTGTACCCTATAAACACATTCAATTATTATTTTTCAATAAAAATACAATTTTTTTTAAAAAAAGAAGAAAATCCTGTCACATGCTACAACATGGATGAACCTTGAAGACAGCATGCTAAGGGAAATAGGCCAGGCAGAAAAAGACAAATACTGCATTATGTGAGGTATCTAAAGGAGTCAAATTCATAGAGACAGAAGGTAAAATGGTGGTGGCCAGAGGCTGCAGAGAGAGTAACATGGAGAATTCGTGTTGAATGAGTATAGAGCTTCAGTGTTTCAAGACGAGAAAGTTCTGGAGATCTATTTTACAATAACATAAATATTCTTAACATTATCAAACTGTACACGTCAAAATTATTAAGATGGTAAATTTCACATCATGTATTTTTTTAACCACAGTAAAAGAAAATAAACTGTGATCCCCAATGGAATTCACATGCACACATCCGACCTGCAGCAAAAAGGAATGAATGGACCCCTGGGCTCACCGTGGGCCTCCATGTGCAGCATTTGAGAGGCAGCCACCACCATAGGAGCCACCAGGCTGGGAGACTGACACCAGGAGACCCAAGCAGCTCCGGAGGCAATGGGAGAGACAGATGACAGTACGTAGGTAGCGGCCGGGAAGACAGACCTGCATTTGAATCCTGACTGTGCCGCTTCCCTAGAGGAGTCACTCAACCTCTGTGAGGTGCAGTGGCCACATCAGATGGTCTCTCTCCCTCCAGTGGGTCTGGGTAGTTAAAGAACATATGCCTAGTACAGATGTCACTTTACTCAGTAAATATCCACTCATCCAATTACAGAAAGCTACAAGTAAATAACAAGAAGGGGAGATCTCAGCAATACAAAGCGACCCTGTTCTCTTGTTCAGTGCTGCTTTGTGGACTGTACAGTTCTATTTCTGGGCAGGGCCCTCAAGGATGAATCTACAAAGTTTATAGTACTTCTGCTTCCACCGAGTTGAAAGAGTGCAATAGAACCGGCCTCACTGGCTTCAAGGTCTCCTGCCACCCCTTGCCCCAGGAACTGAGCTCCAGAATCCCCTCTCCATTACCACCCCCCCGACCCCCCACTATTTACATGTAAATGAAAAACGAAGAAAGGGGAGCCTGGGACCCTGTTGACTATGAATGAAAATTTGTCTAAGTTCTCCACCTTCTGCGAGAGCTGCCCCTGAGCTCTGTCCGCACAGCAAAATCCAGACCTCTGAAGTATCTAATTTGGAAATTATGGGCTGTCCGAGTGGCAGCTCTCCAAGCTGTTAGCTTGATGCTTGTCCTGGTCCCTCTGCAGGTAGCAGTTGCAATCAGCGATAGGCTCTGCCACCTTAGCCCTGCTCATTAGAGCCAGGGCCAATTATGTCCCAGCCCTGGAAGCTGAACCTAACAGCAGCCTCTTGTTCCAAGGGCTGTTCCCCAGTGGGTGGGACACAGCAGGCCAGCAGCAGCCTGGGCTGGGGAGGGGCATGGAAGATCTGTGCCCTCCTGGGTGGTAGGGAAGCCAGACTGTTGAAAAGGAATTCAAAGGACAGAACAAGACTTTCTTAGCTCCCCTTGGGCTCCCAGCTAGCTGGTGACACAGCCGAGACCTGCAATTAGAAAAACAACTGCCTGAGGCAACAGCTCTGCTGGTTAAATGGTGCCTAACCTGGGTATTTAGCAATTTTTATATATAAACACACACATCCCTGTAACACACAGTGTATGGGCTTTTGTTTTTAAATTTTAAAATGATTTTCTGCCCTCACCTTTTGATAAATGCTGTTATCAGTAATTTCCTCATTTCGTGCTTTGATTTCCTTTTTTATTGCATATGTAATCTCTGACCCACATGGGTGATATGGGATGCCAGGTGTGGGCCTACAAATATCACCAGAAAAAAAAAAATGAGAGAAAAGGTTGTGTTTACTCTTTCTGAAAACACAGCCCTCTATGGTTTCTGTTGGAGAGGCCACAGGATCACCCTGGCACTGGCATGTGGATATACTCCTTCCTTCAAATGCATCAGCTAAGATTAAAGCACTAATTTATTTGAAAGGCTATGTACCAGTTTTGATCTGGGGGAAAAAATGCTGGTCCACCACAACTTATGCTGTGTGTATATCATCACAAACAAGCTTTGATTATTGTGTGTGTGTGCATGTGTGTGTGTGTACACATTTGCATATAAATTAGGATTTATTGAATGCCCACTATTTTGGCACTGTGGACTATACTTCTATATTTAAAAGCAGTCTCCAACTTACCCAAGTTCTAAAATTTTGGAATATATTCATTCCTTTATTTGTACATCCTCTTTACAAATGTTCAGGGTCTACTATGCACTAAACACCAAGGGCAAGATCTTATGTGAGGTCATTATCGACCTCACATGCTGGGGGCAGCGATGGGGCAGGGGGAAATAAGAGGCAAGCCATCACATATGTTGTGATATATATCATAATGAAAGTGAAGAAGATAAACCTAGCATATGTAGAAAATATGATCTGGGGCAGCATGGAAATATTGTATCAGACAGATCTAGGCTCAAATAACAGCTTCAGTTCTCACCACCTGTGTGGCCTTGATTAACACTTTACTTTCTATCTCTGAGTCTCCGTTTCCTCCTCTGTAAAATGGGAGTAATAATTTCTATCTTTTATGGCTGTCACAGAGATTAAAGCTGATGCATATAAGGAAGATAATATAGTCAGTATTTGAAAGTGGTAGATATTATTCACTTGGATAAATTGAATGTACTGTGGGCAAGAAAGCATCTGCTTGAAAAATGAACACCTTAATAGAATATGTGTTTTAAAGCAAGGTTTGTCACCCCCAATGCAGCTCTGGATGGACAAAGGCAGAAAAGTGCGGGTGTTGTTGGTTATAGTCTGTAAGGGACTTCATCCAATCCAATACCATCATTTTAGAATAAAAAATCAGAGGACAAGAAAAGTTAACTATACCTAAGCTGCCAGTTAGATGACAGAACTGAGACTAGAACCTAAGACTCCTAATTCTAGAGACCTCCATAAAGACCCATCTGAGTCCATTTTCCTTAGAAAGAAAGCCGAGCAGTGAGAACTAAAAAAGGTGGATCTCCTGGAGGCAGAGAATAGTAGTAGTTACCAGAGGCTGGGAAGGGGAGGGGGAGATGGAGAGAGGTTGGTTAATAGATACAAAAATTCAGTTAGATGGACAGAATAAGATCTACCAATAATAGTATAGTACAGTGACTAATTAGCAATAACATATTGTATCATTAAAAATAGATAGAAGAGAAGATTGGAATATTCTCAACATAAAGGAAAGATAAATGTTTGAGGTGACAGATATCCCAGTTTCCCTCATTTGTTCATTACACAGTGCATGCACGTATCAAATTGTCACATGTACCTCCAAAATATGTACAACTATTATGTGTGTACTGCTAATCAGCAAATTAGCAGATTGCCAAATCTTCAAAGAAACTGGGCAGTGGGCCCCAAGGAATAGTGCTGTGGGTCTGGGAAGAAAGAAATCTATGGGATTCCAGCTCTACTTTGCATTTCTTTGCTTTTTGTGTCCATTCTATTACATTTTCCTGGATCTCTGTGTCTGGCAGACAGAAACTCAGCGGCTATGATTAGAGGCACTATCAAATTGACTGTCTTCAGACAAGCTGCTCATTTCAACCATTATTCCAGTTCCCTCAGTGGGGCTGCTCCAGGGTCGAAGCTGCCAGTGGACCCTGCCCTCTCCTGGCTGGCATTGGTGCCCTGCCCTCCCCAGTCACCCCCAGCCCCAGCAGCACTTGTGTGCTGCCACAGGCTGATGGAACAGGGACTGGGCAGGACAGGGAGGGAGGACGTGGGGATACTCAGGTGGGCAGACTTTCCTGAGCCACAGAGAATCTGGGTTCTGCCTCAAGCTGGACTGGCTGTGATCTTGACCTAGGGAGACACTCGAGCTGCCAGCCTCCAAAAGCTTCCTGGGGTCAGAGGCTCCACCTGTTGCTTAAGAGCTCCCTGGCTCCTTTTCTAGACAGAAGAATGTTCAGAGGCACTGCCTGGGGGCCCTCTGCCCTGGCCCCTCCTTGCTGCCAGGCTTTGGGGCAGGCACCCTCCCTGGCCTGTGGGAGCTTGGCTGCTCAGAGGCACATGGACACTGCTGGCCACATGTGCCCCTGTCCCTGCCCTTTGCTCCTCTCCTCCCACCAGGATTATGGACTCCTGTGGCTGTGACGTTACCGTGGAGACAGGGTGTGGGGAGATGCTGCAGAGGGCAGGGAGCTGCCCAGGGATGAAGACGAGATGAAAGCCAGAGAAACTGGGAGGCTCCAGCATCCTGTGCACTCAGGGAGGTAGTGAAGGCCCAATGCCAAGTCCCAGGTGGAGCCTCCAAGGCCTCAAGTCCCAAAGCTGGCCTGAGAACAGCTCCTTGGAAATCCCCTGTACCTCCTTCTCTGATACCTTCCCTCACCTATCACAGTGAAGGAGTTAACTTTTTCTCCAGACTTACTCAAGTCATTCAACAAGTAATTACTAAGCTATGGACCGGGTCATCAGAGACATCCAGATTGGAAAGCCCAAGAGGGCAGGCTCTGAAGGCTCAGACCTGCTGGGAGATATTACAGACAGCACCAAATGTTGCCACCTGTGTGCTAAGACAGGCCTGTTGGAAGATGAATCTGCGAGGCCACAGGATCCTCATTTACAGGGGCCCAGAACACCTTGCTAGCACCATCAGCATCCCCTATGTCCTTACAGACTGGCCAGCTGGGCAAACTTAATGATGGGGCTCCCAGTTTCAGAGAGTGAGTCCCGCTAGTTTTGTCTAAGAGGTCCTTGATCTTCTTCTCTATGGAGAGTACAGGTCCCAGGCCTCCCATCCACCACCCCCAGCAAAGCTGAACTCAATGGCAGGAGTCAGGAAGCCCTCCTTACCCCTGCCTCCACCCCACACATCAGGGAGCAGCAGTAAAATGACTTCTGGAAACACACCCTGGGCACAGTCAAGCAGGGGTTGTTACTATTATTACTATTACCTGGTGGAGATGAGGGATCCCCCAAGGCAGACTGGAGTATATAAGAGAAGAACATTGCTTTGTGTGAGGCATGGTGAGAGTTAAAGACTAGGATTTTAGTCCTGACTCTGCCCCCAAAAGATCCTGGGTAATTCACTTGGCCTACCGGAGTTCAGTGTGCTCATCTGTGAAATTAGAGCATTAGTCTGAGATCCTGGTGTATAGGAGGCATTTAATAAATGCTTGTAGAATGAACATTGAGTAAACAACTTCAAATCCCTGAGTTCCTTATGACTATATAAAGCACTTAATATGCACATCCAGCTGCCCTCACGGGGAGCAATTCCTGAGTTTCTTATGACTATAAAAGGCATTTAACATGCACGCCCAATCACCACCCTCACAGGGCCTGTGCCCAAGTGCCCCAGAAATCCAGGTTCCCATGGGCCTTCCCTTGCTGGAACATTCAAGGGACCCCCTTCCTTCCCCTCTCTTCCTCCAAACTCCCTTTACTTTCCCCCCTTACCAACCATTGTGCCAGCAGGTCAGTGAATCCTTTTTAATCCTGAACTCCCAGTTGTACTAATTGCTTTCTTTCTTGTCCTCATTTGCCTTCTAACTCAGGAGATGAGGCTTCAATTAGATAAGTGGGCAGCTATTCCCAAACAGGTGACTAGGAAGGAAAACAGTCCTACTCTGGAGGAAACAAAAGATGTCTATAAGGAACAGGATCCACCAAGGCAGGAAGCTCCCTTACAGGAGTAAAGAGTGTTCCCCTCCGACCCCCAAGCCCCCAACATCCACCAATTCATGTCCACCCGGAAGCTCAGAAGGTGACCTCATTTGGAAGTGGTCTTTGCAGACATTATTAGTTAAGGATAAGATAGGTTCATTCTGGATTACAGTGGACCCTAAATCAACACCTGGTGTACCCTTATAAGAAGCAGAGAGGAGACAGAGAGCCATGGGGGAGAGACAATCATGTGAAGACAGAGGCAGAGATTGGGGTGATGCTGCCACATGCCAAGGAGCGCCAGGAGCCATGGGGAGCTGGAAGAGACAAGACAGTATCCTCCCCTGCAGGCTTTAGAGGAAGCATGGCCATGCAGGAACAGGTATCATGCTCCATGCAGGAGCAGTGTTTAAGGCATGTGGCTGTGAGCTCTACAGAGGTTCTCCCACCTTCCCTCTCCCTCTGGAGACTTTCTGGATGCCCTGGGTCTCAGGGAGCCCACACAGGTGGGCAGCCAATCTGCTCTACATGCTTCTGAGCAAATCTCAGCCTGCTCTGCAAGAGGAAAATATTCACTCATTCACTCCTTCATCTATGCAACAAGTATTTATTGGCATCCTACTACTTCCCACGCATGTGCTAGATGGAACACCCAGAAACTCCCCCTTCTCCTGCCCCCTCCCTTCTGCCCAGTTCCTAAGATATGACTGATGATGTAGGAGTAATCAGTGGACCTTAGGTGGTTAGTATTATTAAAGACAATAGCACAGCATTCAAGGAGCATATGCACGTCACGTGATACGCTGAGCACTGACTTGCCTAATCTGCTTCCCTGTGAGAAAACGGGAATGTTGGTGGTGCTGTAGCCCCATCACATAAAGTGAACCCCTCAAAATACATAAGTATTTTGGTCCTACTTTTACATTTCACTTATCTCTATTTCCCAGGCAGTGGAGTATAGCTGAATAATAAGGCTCACCAAATCAGCAATTTTGAACCCAGAAATGAGAAGAAAGGACAAGAGGATGATTTTTGGAGCTGGTTAAATTGGGGAAACTTTTAATGTGGCTACCTGCAGCCACAGTGTGGTGCACACCATCTGTGGCCATTGGGCACGGGGTTTGGCATGGTAGGAAGTGGGCCGTGTCAGGGACGGGTCCCAGATCTGGGACTGGTCTGCTTCCAAGCAGCCATGAGACCCTGAACACGTTACTTCCCTCTCCAAGTACAATTTTCTCATTCATGTGTAGAGTTAGTGTAGGTCCCTTTCTTTACAGCCTTGACAATCTGGAATGTCTCGTCTGAATCACTTGCTGGAGGAGCATTCCAGCCTGCCTTAATAATGTGGAGGACTTCAGGGATGAGCAGAGGACAGTGCCTGCTGCTGTCTTATTATGGTGTGCATGCGTGTTTGCGGGGGCGGGGCTCAATGACAGTCCCACTTTGTGCAGTGCAGCAGGCAGGCACCTGGAGCTAGAGAGGTAAGGGCTCCATTCCAGCCTTTGAGGAATTTACCATCTAGGGAAGGAAACAGACCAGTAAATAAGCAATGACAACATAACTCAATACTGTATGCTAGAGAAATACAGAAGAGAGGCCCTTGGCCCAGGTAGGTGAAAGAGTGTAGGAAGGAAAATTGGGGAAGCCTCCCTGGAAGAGGTGATACCTGGGCTCTGTTTTAAAAGCTGAGTAGGAGTTAACCTTATAAGTTAAGGGCTGGAGCATTCTGGCAGAGAAAACAACACAACATGTTAGAAGGTTACAGGTGGCACACTGGGTGCAGAGGAACAATGGATGTCCACAGATCCATTTTCTTTCCTATTCCCTGTAACTTCCACCTATTTCAGCTCTCTCATCCACATCTTTATACCCACTTGCCACCCTGTCTTCACCTTTCTTCTGTTTTTCTTCCATTCTCTGTAGCTATGGAGAGGAATGGGTTCCATGAGCCACGGAGGGAGCGGAAGAGAAAAGCAGGATGAGAAGACCTACACTGGAGGTGTGTACTGCATGGCGGCAGCAGCCCCTCCCCTCCCAGCCTCAACTGAGGGCACCACTTCCGCTGCGGCCCTTCCAGGAAAGTGCTCAGCCCCACATCCCTGTGCCTCATTACCACCTCCCCTACCCTCTCATAAAGACTCTGTTCCTTTCAGGTGCCCACCAACCATTTATGCCCACTCTATCTCTCTTTGTCACTGCCATCCATACATTCCTGGTCACTTCCCCTCCCTCACTGTCTTTGGCACTAGCTCACTGTCTTCAACTCCAGCCCAAGTTGTGCCATGAACTCAGGTGAAATCAACTTCCAACAGCTTGGCCTCTTGATGCCTGGCCTCCTACTCCCCAAGCACACCCTTCACATTAGTCACCTGCTCCTATGAGTGCATTCTGAGCACTGACATCGCCAGGGGTGTTCCTCTCTGAGGTTACAAATTTAGTTACTCCACTGTGTGACCACAATTGCCTCTGCAGCCCAGTTCAAGTGCTCAGTGATTCCAAGTATACCAGTTCTCTGATTTCATCAACACCATCAGTCCACCGATTCTATCAGCCTATCTTCCCTTCCCTTTCAATCCAGCTTAGGTTTCTGGCCCAATATGCATACACTTTTACCGATATCCTTAATTCCCTTGCTTCATTGTTCTTAAATCATCCTTGGCTTCTCTCTTCCCCTCATCCTCCATAGCCCATCAATCACTGAGTTCTGGCGAATTTAAGATATCTTTTCAGGTCTTTCAAGCCTTCCTACCTCCACTGCCCCTCCCTAGATCAGGCTGCCAGCATTGCTGTCCTGAACAACTGCAAACTCTCCTAGGTACTCTGCCTCCAGTCTTGAATCTTCTATAATCAGTTCCCCCACATAGCAGCCTCTGTGATTTTTTTTTTTTTTGAGACAGTCTCACTATGTTGCCTAGGCTGGAGTGCAGTGGCCTGATCTCACTGCACCATCTGCTTCCTGGGTTCAGGTAATTCCCGTGCCTCAGCCACCCCAGTAGCTGGGATTACAGGTGTGAGCCACCACATCCGGCTAAGTTTTGTAGTAGAGATGAGCTTTTGCCATGTTGGCCAGGCTAGTCTCAAACTCCTGGCCTCAAGTGATCTGCCTGTCTTGGCC
Source organism: Homo sapiens (assembly GCF_000001405.40). NCBI lineage: Eukaryota > Metazoa > Chordata > Mammalia > Primates > Hominidae > Homo > Homo sapiens. The sequence continues at coordinate 113,465,351 of NC_000011.10, forward strand.
TCCCAAAATGCTGGGATTACAGGCATGAGCCACCATGCCTGGCCAGTTTTTGTTGTTGTTGTTGTTTGTTTGTTTGTTTGTTTGTTTGTTTGTTTTACTGCAAATTGAATCACTGGAGTTGTCCCTGTGCTTAAAACCCAATCCTTCAAGTTGGCTTCTTTTTTCCCTCAGGATGGAATCCAGTCTCCTACATAAGACTTCAAGGTTCATAGTCAGGCCCCTGCCTAAGCCTTTGGCCTTACCTTGTACCATCTTCACTTCAAATCCCATTCATTAGCCACTGAGTTTCTTCAAAACTCCATGGTCTAACCTGAGCCAGGTGTGGAGGAAAAACCCTGGGCAGAAGTGAGTTCTAGTCCAGCTCTCCTACTTCTCTGCTGTGTAACATTGGGTTCTTTCAAGTATAACACTCTATGCCAATTCATACCTGGTCTAATGTCTTCATCTGCAATGGTGTCTTTCTTCCCTCCAGAAGAGAGAATATAAAATTTGGAGCACAGGTTGGGAAGGGTTCTGTGGACACTTCTCTGCCCACTGATAATTACGATAAGGATAATGATAGTGAATGTTTGCTGAGAGCTTACCATGCATCAGGTACTGAGACAAGCACTTTATGTGCGTGACTCATTTCCTTTGCACAAAACCCAATCAGGTAAGTATATAGTCATCCTGTTTTATGAAGGGATAAAGAACTGCATCTCAAAGGGGTGATAGTAACTTGATAGAGGTCACATAGCTCATGACCGATAGAACAAAGATCTGATCCTGCATTAGCCTGGTTTTTGAGTGCTCTGAACCACTTTGTTTAACTAAATAACTAGAGGGACAGGGGATGCATAGCCCACTTCTTAAAAGTGCTTTGTGGAAAGATAGGTTCAAACTGTTACTGCGTTTGGAGGGTCTTGGGTATAATCATGCTTATCTGTACCTTTTAAAGTAAGGACTAGTCCAATTCCCCAAAGTCTAAACACAGAAATCACCAAAGCACTAATGGCATCCCTCAATAACAGCTCTTTTGTCTTCAGGTCCCCAGGCTGACCTGAACAAACACACCTGTGTATGTTTCCTCAACAGCCCCCCCAGTGCATTTTCTCCATGAGTGTGTCTGATTGAAGTAGGTTCCAACCATTCAATATTCCCCAACTTCCATGCCCTGTGACAACTGCGAAAAATTTCCATCCAACCTATAATGTCTTCATGGCTGAGGGTGGCCAGATAGTGCAGGTTAGGGATGAAAGAGAGAAGGCATGAAGTATGTTGCTGACCTATGAGATACCTCTAGTGGGGGATGCCTCAGACACTGCCACTCTTGTTAAGCTGCAAGTAAAGTAGAGGGAGAGTGTCGCTATGGGGAAGTAAGCTGTCTCTCACCTACCCATCACTTATCCACTCACCCACTCTCACTCAACAATTTAAGTAACTACCAAGTGCCTAGCACCATTTTAGGTTATAATAGATTTTAGAGAAGCATGAGACAAATTCTCTGCTTCAAGGAGCTCATGGTCTGGTGGAGAAGACAAGAAATGCACAATTGAGAGATTAGCATTAAGCATTAAGTTGGCTCCTCACAGAAGACAGGCCACAAGGGAGATTTTGTGTCATTAGTCACAATGTGACTCTAGAGTGATCCCAGACCTTCAACTACACATACTACTAAAGAAAAATAGTGTGTGGAAACATGGATCCACCGTGGTGCGGGGGCAGGCGGTGGGAGGCGGTGCTGACATCCTCTGCCTGGGACCCTGGAAGTTAGTTTCTGCTTGTCAACACATGTCTCTTATTGACCCTGCCATAAATGAGTGAAAGAGTTGAAAGGGCTGAGTCCAAAAAAGGATGAACCAAGGAAGATGACCCAGGAACAGAATACCTACAGTGCCTTCTGAAATATTCTACCATAGCTAAATGGTGAGCATTTGTAGCTGGCCAGAAATAGATGCACATCAATTACAAGAGAGTCCTCCCCAAGAAGGGATTCATAGACCAAGAAAAAGGCCAACAAGAGGGATTATCTTTATGCACTGGGGAATCTCAGGACCAGAAGCTACTGTTTCCATCCTCCTTTCTCAGGCAGGACCATACTTCACCTAAAAACATGATAGCATTTGCTCCTGCCAAGAATGACTCCAGAAGCTGCAGAACACATATTTCTGCCAGCTTTGGGGGTCTGCTCATGTGAAGTTCTTTGGCCCTTTCAATCTGGGAAAAGAAAAAAAGTCACCTTGTCCTTGTACACCAGTACATTCTCCTTGTTTTTTGTTTTTAATAAAAACTGGCCTGTGCCAGAGCAACATACCATGTGACACTGCCAATCAGGGAGGCTCCAACCATGAGGTAGCAGACACAGAGCCCAGGAAACCAGGAAGAAAAATTAGGCCATGAAAAGCTATCACCAGGATAACTTATGCCTCTTCCTAGCTCATGTGGTGTAAGATGGAAATGAATTCAGCTGCACCTAAATCAAAGGGATGACAAGCAATTCAAACCCCTATCTCGCTCAAAATGAGCAAGAGCTGCTGACAGGTGAAAGCCAAAGAATTTTGGTGCAGATAAGTGGAGAGTGTAAGAAAGAAGTATATCCTTGAATTTTGTGAACGTTTTAGAAACATGATTTCAGAAATGTAAAATCAGGTGCTGAATTACTGCAAAAGGACAACAGCTCAAAGTGTTGTTTCTTACTTAAGCATCTTAATAATAACAATAACAATCATTACAGTTAACATTTAAAGAGTACTCACTTTTCCCAGGGACTCTTTCAAATGTCTTGTCTCTATTACCTTAATTAATTACTGTGACCCAATTATGTTGGTATTAACATCCACTTACAGGTGAGAACCCCCAGGTGATAGAGGTTAATTAACTTGCTCATGGTCACATAGCTAGTAAGTGTTAGAGTCAGGATTCAAATCCTGGAAGTCTAATTCCAGAGCCCACAGGTTTAACTACCATATGGTGTTGTTTTTAAAGGGTTTAAATAGGTGACTAAATATTGATATATGTCATTCATAAAACTCATGGTGAGGCTCAACAACAGAGGAGTCTTCTCACTTATTATGAGGTGAACACGATTATTACAGTCCCTTATTTGTGCCTGAAATAACTGATGAGCAGGTTAAGTGCCCTGCCCAGGGACATCCAGGCCTCACCTGCCTCTGTCTATCAGAAAAGCATTGATCAGGGTTTTTTTTGTTTTTTGTTTGTTTGTTTGTTTGTTTTTTGAGATGGAGTCTCGTTCTGCCACCCAGGTTGGAGTGCAGTGGCACGATACTGGCTCACTGCAACCTCTACCTCCCAGGTTCAAGCAATTTTCCTGCCTCAGCCTCCTGAGTAGCTGAGACCACAGGTGCATGCTGCCAGATCCTAATTTTTTTGTGTGTTTTAGTAGAGATGGGGTTTCACTGTGTTGCCCAGGCTGGTTGTGAACTCCTGAGTTCAAGCAATCTGCCCACCTCAGCCTCCCAAAGGGATGGGATTACAGGCGTGAGCCACCGCGTCTGGCTAATCAGCTCATTTTTTAAAGGCAGCTCTCATGAGTCACTCCTGTGTCTGTCCAGGATCCCAGGCCATCCCGCCCTCACATTTCTGTAAAATGTGGAAGCTTAGTCTTGGAGATATAACAAGTTTTCCTTCTATGGTAATAAGAAAGCAAACCCAAAGACCTAATTGTTGGCAGAAGTCTGGCTTTCATCCTTTGGACAGTTCAGTTCACCTCAAAGAGATGTGGGACAGAAGGTAATGTCATCACAGTTCCAGAAGAGCTTGACAAAACATCCGTCTACACCTCCTCCCAGCTCCTCCCCCAGGTTGGAAGGCTTAGTTGACCCTGCCTCCCTCCTGCTCCTGCCGCCCTCCCTCCTGCTCCCACTGCTTGCTGAGGTTTACGCCCAGTGCATTTCATCCAAAGGGACCCAGATCCAGGTACAGAACACTTCCTCGCTGGTTCTCAAATTTAAGAATCCCAAGGAGTTATTTTATTCATCCTTCTCCATCTGCTGTCTCCCTCTTCACTTTCCTGGTATCATACACAAAGATTACTGCCCTTTCATTCACTAAAGAATTATCTTCTTATCCCTATTCTCCTCCTTTTCTTGTTCTTTATGCCACTTACGTATCAGAGAGGGCTATTGCTTTAGCCTTAAACAGTCTGGTTTTGAATCTTTGTCTCACACATGAAACGTGTGACCTTGTGCAAACCACTTACCTTTCTAAGCCTATGCTTCTTCCTCTGCAAAATGGAATAATAAGGGTTACTCTGAGGCAGGAGGATCGTTTGAAGCCAGGAGTTCAAGACCAGACTGGACAACAAAGCAAGGCCCTATATCTACAAAAAATTCTTTAAAAAATTAGTTGGGCATGCTGGCATGCACCTGTACTCCCAGCTGCTCGGGTGGCTGAAGCAGGAGGATCACTTGAGCCCAGGAGTTCAAGGCTGCTGTGAGCTATGATTGCACCACTGCACTCCAGCCTGGGTGACAGAGCAAGACCTCTCTCTAAAAATGAAAATAATAAATAAATAAATAAATAATAAACAAACAAAAAATGTAAAAACAAGGGTTCCTATTTCACAGAGTTGTTGCAGGATTGGGAGTTTAAATGAAGAACCTATGTCAAGTGCTGAGCACAGCGCCCTGCACACAGTAAGTGCACAATAAATGCTGGCCGTTATGATGATGAGGCCAGCAAAGGAGGGTCTGGTGAACAGGACCACTTCTCATTCTAGGGAAGCCTGGTACTAAGCCACTTTCCCATATCAAGAGTTCCTGGGAGTTGCTAGTGATGGTGCTGCCTGGGGTAGCAGGTAGGAGAGGAGGCAATGATGTAGCATGTAACAAAAATAATTTCATTTCTAATGTCTTTCTCCTGCTGGGCCACTTAGAACCCAAACAATAACAACAAGGAGGGGGTGGAAATGAGAAGGGCAGGCACGTTCTGAAGGAGACCAATAACAAATGAACAGGCGCCAGGACTCCCTTTGGCTCCCAGACATCTGCAGGGGATTATCGTTGGGGCCACAGCTGCAGTTCTGTGCTGAGCGACAGCTTCCTGGAAGGCAGGACTGCCCAGGCTAACTGCAGGCCTATTGATGGAGCTCCTGGGAGCCAGGTCTGCCTGACTTCCCTTACCGCCCTCTGTCTGGAAGCAAGCTGACATTACCCAGAGGGCTGCAGGGGAAACCAGAGGTTTTCCCTCCTTCCCCTCCCTGTCCCTTCAGACAGCAAAGAATTCCCTCATCTCCTACTGGAAAAAGTAAAAATCCTTACAGGTGACATCAGATTATGACAAAATTGCCCAAACTACACTAAGCTGATACCTATATTCAATGCATATTTAACATCAGCCTCTTTCAGGGCCTCCTAAGAGTCTACTTCTCCTCTGCTCTCACCTCTGTACACTGTCCCATACTCTCCCAAATGCCCCTAGGAGTTTCCAGGCTTCTGAGTTCAAAGCACTGCAGCAGCACAGTTTCTTCTATCCAGGGGAAGAGGGAGGCCTCAGACCCCAGTGTGTCATCTCTGACTCCTCCCTATACACTAGAGCCACCAGGGTCCTTGGCCCCTCTGCAGTGAAACACTCTCATGTATCCTAGGGAGAGAAGAGGCTGTGCCTTCCAAGGGCATCCCAGCTGCCAAGGGTATTGATTTAACCCATTTACCAGATTAAGGTGAAAGGAAAAAGAAAAGAAAAATCTGCAATTCTGAGGGCAAATTTCTCTCCTTTCTCTGGACCCAAATCAAAGAAAACCAAGTGGCTGAGTCTTATAGTTTTATTACTCCTCCATCCCCATGTGCTGACACTATAATCAAGCTATTTTCCAGGCCTGTACATTTAGATAATATGATTCTATTGTCAAAAAATAAGAAAGTTTTGCATCCATTTAAGTACAGAGGAAAGAAATCTCCAATTACATTGGTCATGGGAACAGGTGAGAGGCAAAAGTATATTAATATTAGATTCCAACACCATTAGAGTAATTTAAAAGGCCAGAGATAACATTAGTCTACTGCTCAAATTGGTAAATAAGCAATTTGTGCATCCTTAGTGGCTCCATGGTATATTCTGGAGAGCAGAAGGGCTTATACCTAATCCCAAGGTCCTTCCAAGGCCACAAAATGCCTTACTGGAGGTGAGAAGAGGGAAAATGGTGCTGGGGTTCAGCTAAGTAAGAGGCTACCTACAAAGGAGGGTGCCTGCTGAGAAGTTGAATCAACCTGTGTCCTTTCTGCTGCCCATGGTTTCCGAGTGTTTCCTATATGCAGGATGCTCCTCTGCTAAGCAGAGTACCTGGTAGGATGGAGAAGCTCCAGTTGCTGAGTCCAGTCCTGGTGTTCAGAAACTGGAAAATTCATTGGAAAAAGTTCTGTTTAGGAGAACTTTAATAAAAGAAGAAAGACCATTGTATTTCTGGACTAAGGAAACAGCTTCCCTGTTTGGAGTCAGGGGCATCTGGCATGACCTCTGAGGAGCCCAAGAAGATAACCTAAGAATCTAAAGTCCTATAAACTATATCCCAGGAAAATGCAAATGACTGGGCTGCTGTTCTAAGCTATTTTCAAGACCTCAACTCTTAGGTAACTGTAGCCTGCTGATATATAACTTGATTCTGGGAGATATTACAAATATGACTTAGGGTTCTGGCATTATAAAACCTCAACTTGATTCTTCTCTCTTCCTAGGTGTTGAGGCACCTTCACTGTTGGAGATTCATAGGTATTAAGCCACAAAGCGGGGAGAAGTGGTGGGTGCCAACACAGGATTGGCTCAAGGAAGTCTCATCATATCTGTCTCTCCTGGGCGATGTGCTCATATGTGTGCATGCACGTGTATGCAAACACACACAAACACATACACATACACACAGTGCTATCTTCACAGCCACACTTTTTTGTTAACACTAAAATGTAACTTTTACTTGCAGGGGAGATGGAAACCATTCTCTCCAGGCAGAGTCCCCACGTCTTTCCCCTTATACTTGTTTATTCAGAGAATGGTGACCCCAGACCAGTCCGGCTTCAGCAAGACAATCTCAGGAGTATGTGAGGCCATATTTCTAATGACCCTAAGTTCCCATTTGTTTCCCATAGTATCAAAGAAAGAACAGAAGCGTTTGTCTCAATTTCAGATTCTCCTATATCATTCTCAAGATAATTGCATTTTCTAGACAGAAATAATCCACCTTTGTAGGTGAAGGTACAAGACTAACTAGCCCACAAGCATCATTACTAGCCTTTTTACCCCTACAAGCCTCCTTGCTTATGGAACAAAAGAACCAAATCAATACAGTCAATATGTCACTTCCAGCAGGGCATGAGTGGCTACCAGCCTTGGGGAGCATGACGTGCTACTAGGCTGAACTAATCACTCCTTGGCATTTCAGGAGCACTTAGGTTAACAGATCACAGCACATGCATAATGAAAGACAATAACTCACCCAGAGGGGAGGGCAGGAGGGAAACACTGAGTTGACCCCCATAGAGGGACAGTTAGTATTTACATAAGTCAACCTGAAGCCATATTGGTGATTCCTTAAAAGGGCCAAAAATTTTAGAAAGAAGAAAAGCCCAGGAAGATCCTGGGGGAGAGGAGATTGGATTGCATCCTTAATTTCAGCAAAGATTTAATCAGGGGGATGGTCTTTCTACCAAGAGTCTCACACTTGAAGAATTTAACAGGTATAACAGCAGGAGACAAAGGGTGAGATTAAATACCTTAATTTTATAAATTTCAAATGTATGAAATTTAGGAATATTTAAGATATCAGCAAATGGTTGCCAAGGTACATGATTCTTTTAACTCTTAGAAATGCATTTTTATATCTTCAAGGGATTTTCTCAGATAGAATACCTGCTACCAATTTTATGTAAAATAAACTTGATTTCCATTTTCAAAATAAAATAAATGTATACAGACTCTCTAAGGAGTCTCAACTTTTTGGGAGGTAATTTGCTAATTCAGTGTACACATGAATCACTCAGAAACATTGTTAAAATATAAATTTCCTGGGCCTCCGCTTGAGATTCTCATTCAGCAGTTTTTCAAGGAAGAAGCAAAAATACGCATTTTTAACCAGCTTCTCAGGGAATTCATTAAAAAGAAAAAAACCCTTAGAGAAATGCTGCCCGGACTTCTACAACAAATCAGAACCTCTCCACTTTCTGGGCACCTCAGGCTGTGCAGGGAAGGTAGAAGGAACTCAATGATCTTTAAGAGCTGGGACTACCCTGGCCCTCATTTGGTTCTAGGTCTAACCCTCCCAAACCACTTCCTTGTCAGATGTCTGCATTCAGAGATGGCATCAAAACCCCCTGCAACAAATAATCCAGGAATTTTGAACACTAAGGAGGGAAGTCCAAGGCAGGGACTGAAACCCAGGAAAGCAGCTTGCTGATTTTCTTGAAACTGGTCATGCTGACCACAGTCTCTCTATCTGGCCACCCTCATCAAACAGCTGCATGAGGGAAAGACGATAAGCATGATTTCTTTTTCAAGTGGTCCTAATGCTGCAGGATGAATCAGAGATAAGCATGCATATTTGCATTTGAAGCAGGGTGGGAGTGGGGAGAATCGTTGAACATCTAGCTCCCTAAGGAGGAGCAAGGATTGGCCTAAAAGGTTTGTAGCCTGGTCAAAATACAGAAAGGCTTGGATCTGCAGAAGGATCTGGAGTGGGATCCACAAAGTGCCTTGCACCTCACTCCCTCACCCCCTCACCCAACCTCAAGAGCCACCGAAAAAAAAGTAGTGGGGTGTCAGGTGGGGCAACAGTGACTTGCTCAGACAGCTTCCTTGTGGCTGAGAGCAAGCGCCTGTCCCCACGGAGCTGCACTGCTGTGACTTGTGTCCATGGTGAAGCCTGTTATGTAGACGCACACGCACCCTCTTACCTCTGCTCTTCAAGAGGAAGCACTCAAGGGCTGCCCGCCTCAGACAGGGATAGGGAAGCGCTCTGTCTGGTGCTTAGAGGTGTCTCTTGTCTCCGCATACCACCCTAGAGGGGCTCTCGGTCCATCATAGAGCCGGGCCGAGAGCCGGGCGGTCACCCTCCGCTACTGCCGCCACCGTCGCCTGCACTGCCGGGTAGAAACGGGTCTGGCACCCAAGCCTCCCTCCCCGACTAGGTGTCAACCCAAGAGAAGGCGAAGGAGAACGAAAGTTCAGGACCAAGGACAGCGGCAACCGTGGGAGCGGGAGAATCCAGCCAGAATCTGCCTCTCCCCCATCCTTAGCTTCTGCCTTAGAAACTGAAAAGGGTCAGGTCGCACCAACACAGAGTTGCCAAAAACAGCCCTTCTTCCTCCGGAAGAAGTCGGAAACTCTGGCCGCGAGCCCCGGGTCTCGCGCTTGGGTGCTGGGGGAAGTGCCCTCCCGAGATTGTGGGGAGCGGCCTCCCTCCCGCCCTCCGATGCCGCGGCTCCGCCGTGCTGCCCTGGGCGCCCCGCGGGGAGGCTGCCCCAGCTGCGCCCGCTCGTGCTCGGGGAGAGGATTCCCTTCTAAGTGGCGAGGAGGCTACTGAGAAGGAGGGAGAGGGGATAGCAGCCGCGGGCTCCAGACGCCCTCTGCCCCCGCCCGACGGGGAGCCCATGCAGAGCCGGATCCCAGGCGGGCGCTCCCGAGCAGGCGGCCAGGAGTGGCCGCACAAACTTCTGGTCCTGGCCTCGCTCCCCTTGGAGGTCCCTCCTCCTCTCCCCGTGACACTGAGTCGCCCGCCGCTCCATCCGGCCGGTGCTTACCTTCAAGCCATAGGGCGCCCGGGGGCAGAGACGGCGCCGGCTGCTTGAGGCTTCCAGCTCCCGCCGCATCCACGCGCGGCCGCCCCTCCGGCAGCCGTCCGGGGCCGCCACTCTCCTCGGCCGGTCCCTGGCTCCCGGCCCCGCCGCGCCGTTCAGAGCCCCGGCGGGCAGCAGCTCGGCCGGCTCTGGCCCGCGGGGAGCAGTGGACGGGCCGCGGCGGGGCGGGGCGGGGCGGGGCCGGGCGCGGGGCGGGCGGGCAGGAGGGAGCGCGGGGACGGGGCGGAGGCGGCGCGGTGCGCGCGTGAGGCTGCCGGTTCGGCACTGAAGCTGGACAGCTCTGCGGCGCCCGAGCGCGGGGAGCGCGGGAGGGAGGTGCCCCGGTCCCCGCCCCTGAGACAGGCCCCGCCCCCGCCCCCCACCAAAGGAGCTGTACCTCCTCGGCGATCCCCGGCCTGAACGGGTAGGAGGGGTTGGGGGATTCCGCCATCCCTTGTTTTGAGGCGGGAACGCAACCCTCGACCGCCCACTGCGCTCCCACCCACACCCAGAGTAATAAGCTGTGATTGCAGGCTGGGTCCTCACCGTCTGCTCGCCAGTCTTCTCCTTTGAGGACTCAGAAGCCAAGGGTTGCGGGAGGCACCACCCATCCAGCAAGTCAGGCAAGGAGAGGAGGTGTTGGAAGAGGTCCGCATCCGTTTTCTGACTTCAGGTCTTGGAATCTATGTAGTCAGTTCTATTGCTGGACTCATCCAAAGGAAAAAGCCTGTTTGGAGTTGACCTGACATGGAAATGCAAAAGGAGGCCTCAGGGGTTCCAGCTCACCCTTGACTCCAAACTGAGGTGTGTGAGGCAGGGAGTGGGGAGAGGGAGAAAGAGATAGAGTGGTGAAGGGTGTTCCGCTGCTACCCTGCCCACTGTCATTTGGGCTGCAGAGGAACCTCGTTCTTCTCCCCTTTTCTTCCTCTCTCCTTTTCTTTCTTTTCTTTTCTTTTCTTTCTTTCTTTCTTTCTTTCTTTCTTTCTTTCTTTCTTTCTTTCTTTCTTTCTCTTTCTTTCTTTCCTTTCTTTCTTTCTTTCTTCCTTCCTTTCTTTTTCTTTCTTTCTCTTTCTTTTCTTTCTTCTGCAGCAATTAGTTACCAACTGTCCTCAGTTTGCCAGATTCTGTGTCAGATTCAGAAGTCACACACAGAAAGAAAACCAGGCCCCTGATCCCGCACCCTGGCAATCCAGAGAGGGGACCCCCAGGGAAATAACTGAGGCTTAAACAGGTGCTGTGAAGCACAAAAAAGCGAGACTTTACAGGAACCGGGCATTGAAGGAGCAACACCAGTTCCCAAGGGGAGAAGGTGGCACAACACTCCAGGGAGAGGGAAGAGCAGGGGCAGAGGACTGACTCTGCAGAGCAGGGAGTCGGCCCTGCATGGCTGGAATCCAGCCTCTCTGGGCCACAAGGATTAACTTCATCTCAGCATTTCCTCCAATGACACACACAATTATAGAAAGTGAGGGCTGGAAAGGACCTTAACATTCATCCAATTCCGCCTCACCTCAGAAGGGAGAACTGAGTCCCAGAGAGATGGAGTGTCCTTGCAAATCCCACAGAGTCCAGCACTGAACCGTCCCCCTCTCCAGAGGCACAAAACAGCACCTCTCTCAAATGCAGCCATCTCTGGAGGCACGGGAGCAGAGGAAGCTGTGGGCTCCCCACCTCACCCCACCATGACTCTTCCCAGCTCCTGCCCCTGGATCTTGCTGATCTGGACTGGCCTCCATTTGCCTGCAGGCTCTATAGGGAGATATTACACCAATAGGAGTCCTAGAATGTTGCCATAATTGCCTTTAAGGGATCAGCCATTACAGATATGGTTGACATCCCAGTGTTTCCCTTGTATACCCTTGGACCATTCTTTCCTAGGTTTAATCCACATAAGGAGATATTTGGTACCTCCCAACTCAGCACCTCTACATAGGTTCAGGGATGGGTCAGACTAGCCAGAGCACCTGGATTGGTGTCCCGCCTTGGTCACCTACCTGTTGTGTGGGCTTGCCTAAATTGCTTGATCTCGCGAAGTCTCAGTTTCTCCATTTTTAAGTGGGGACTAAAAATAACGATCTCTGAGCTTTACTGAGAAAAATAGATGAGGACATGTTAGACAATGGTAATATGGGCCATCTCTGGCTGCTCTGGGGTGGGGAGGGGAGCCCTGTTCATCAGGAGGCAGAAGCAGGAAGAAGATGAGCTCCATAAGGTGCACCCACCCAAGGACACTGTAGCTCTGCGCTGCCTTTTTTACCCCAATCTTACATGGCTGAGTGGATTTCATGCTGGCTGTGAGTGAGACGGATGGATCTTTTAGTTTTCAATTAGCAAACGCCTCACTCTTTAAACAAGCGGCACAGCAAACAGATGCACTGTGTGATTGATGACAGGGAACATCTGCGGCCAAGCAGCGGCTGCACCAGAGGCTCCCAGCTTCCTGGGCTAGCAGGGCCCTCTGGAGGTCGTTTGGTGCCTCCCCCTGCCTCTAGGCAGGAGTGTGCCCAGTCCAAGTGGGCGGGGTGGGGGCAGGGTGTCCCTTTGCCTTATAGCTTTCCTGAAAAAGGATCTACAACAGCCTCTTTGAATTCTTTACCTCCTTGGAGTCAGGAAGTTCCACCTGATGTACCTCCTAAATCTTTCATTTATTTCTACCCTTTTCATTGTTGAAAGTTGTAAGGAAATAAGTAGTAGTGGGTATTAGGGGTTGTCTTAGTCCATCTGGGATGCTATTAATATAACAAAATACTGTAAACTGTGTGGTTTACAAACAGAATTTATTTCTCACAGTTCTGGAGGCTGGGAAGTCCAATATTAAGGTGCTGGCAGAGTTGGCGTCTGGTGAGAGCCAGCTTTCTGTTTCATAGATGGTACTTTCTCACTGTGTTCACACATGGTGGAAGGGGTGGATGAGTGCTCTTGGGCCTCTTTTACAAGGGGACTCATCCATCCTATTTATGAGGGCTGTGTCTTCTTCTGTCCTCATGACCTCCTCACTGCCCAAAGGCCTCACTTTCCCTTTGTTTTGTTTTGTGTTTTGTTTTGTTTTGTTTTGTTTTTACAGAGTTTTGCTCTTGTTGCCTAGGCTAGAGTGCAGTGGTGCTATCTTGGCTCACCGCAACCTCCGCCTCCCGGGTTCAAGTGATTCTTCTGCCTCAGCCTCCCGAGTAGCTGGGATTACAAGTATGCGCCACCATACCCAGCTAATTTTGTATTTTCAGTAGAGATGGGGTTTCTCCATTTTGCTCAGGCTGGTCTCGAACTCCTGACCTCAGGTGATCCGCCTGCCTTGGCCTCTCAAAGTGCTGGGATTACAGGCTCACTTTCTAATTTTATAATCCTGGGGCTTAGGATTTCAACATATGAATTGGGGGGAGCAAAGACATTCAGGCAGGGCTAGGAAATGAGTTAGGGACAGATGGGGGTTTTGTTGGCCCATTGTAAGAGAAACAAAGGAGAAAGCCAACAGAGAATAAGGGAGAGCTAGAACTTCCTCCCGAGCTCCAAGAACTGCTCGCTGCAGCTTAGAAAGAGGGGGGACCCTTGCTGATCTCCTTCAAACTCTGATGTACCCCCAGAGAGAACAGACTGTCACAGTCCCCTTCTAAAAATCATCTCACAGAAAACAAGGGAAATGCTCTCATCTGAAAGGTGGGGAAGGCAGAGCGGGGTCATGTCAGTAGCAACACTGGAGTCACACAGAAGTTTGTTCCCATCTAAACTCCACAACCTTGGGAAATTCTGAATGGCTCCGGGGCTCAGTTTTCTGGATTGTGAAATGGGGATGGAGAGCCACATTGCAGTGCTATCATGAAGAATAAGTGGGAACGACAGCCCACACATATTGATATTCCATGGGTCTTCCCCCCTTACAGAAAACTTCAACTGGAGAAGTGACGCAGGAAATATAGACATCTTCTATATGGTGTTACAGTTCTCCATTTCTTAACCCACTTTGTAGATAAAAACTGAGCCCCCATTTCCAAGCTCTTGGAATTTCTCTTTTCTCATCCTCTTCTTTTGTCTTAGTTCTTGTGCCATTTGCAAATGACTTGGGGAGCAGTAGAACATCAATCTATCTGGGTCAAAGGAAGTATGGGGCAAAAAAAAATCATCTCTTTTGTACTTTATTACATCCCTCAAATGCAGAAAACCTTAGAGAGGTGTGGAATTCTTGGATATTGTTGTTATTGAGGGATCTACAGCCCCATGTAGGATAATCTAGGGAAGGGACTGAAGGTAGTCGAGATGGTAGACCCCAGAGAAGGGTGGGCAAGGGGAGAATCTTCTGAGAAGGACAGAAGTTCAGGGCACTGTCCAACCAAGGCAGGAGAGCAGAGAGTTACCTGAGGGTTTTGACATCTGCGTGTGTAATCACCCTTAGAAAATGATTTCCTCACTGGTAGACTCTAATGGGCCTTTCCACCTGGGTGTGAAATGGACATTTGTTCTTTGCTGCCTCCTATTTTGAAAGAGTAAAGAGAATACAGGGATGACTCACTTTAAGAAATTCTGTTACACAGTTCTTCAGAGTTACAGAACAGATAACTCAGAGTGCAATTATTCATATTAGAAATTTAATTGCTTGATGGGAAGAGGTCATAAAAATATACACCTCATTTCCACACCTATGTTCATAGCAGCACTATGCACAATAGCCAAAAGGTGGAAACAAGCCATGTGTCCATCAACATGGATAAACAAGATGTGGTATTTACATGCAAAGGAATATTATTAGGTCTTAACAAAGGAGAGAAATTCTCACACCTGCTACCTCATGGAATCTCGAAGACATTGTGCCAAGTGAAATAAGCCAGTTACAAAAGGACATATACTGTACAATGCCACTTATATGAGGTATCTAGAGTCAATCTACAGAGACAGAGAGTGAATTGGTGGTGGCCAGAGGCTGGAGGCAGGGACAAATGGGGACATATTTGATGGGTATGGGGTTTCGGTATGAGAACATGAAGAATGTTCTAAAGTGGAGTGGTGGTGATGCTTACACAACAATATGAATGTACTTAATGCTACTGAACTATGCACTTAAAATGCGTGGTGGTTCACGCCTGTAATCCCGGTACTTTGGAAGATCGAGGCTGGCTCTAAAGTGGAGCGGTAGTGATGCTTACACAACATGAATGTACTTAATCCTACTGAACTATGCACTTAAAATGCGCAGTGGCTCATACTTGTAATCCCAGCACTTTGGAAGGCCGAGGTGGGTGGATCACCTGAGGTCAGGAGTTCGAGACCAGCCTGGCCAACATGGTGAAACCCCATCTCCACTAAAAATAAATTAGCCGGGCATGGTGGTGGGCTCCTGTAATCCCAGCTAGTTGGGAGGCTGAGGCAGGAGGATCACTTGAACCGGGAAGTGGAGGTTGCAGTGAGCCGAGACTGTGCCATTGCACTTCAGCCTGGGCAACAAGAGTGAAATTCTGTCACAAAAAAAAAAAAAAAAAAAAAAAAAAAATCTTGTGTTTCAGTGGTTACTGCAGTTGCCAATCTATGTGAAAACAAAGTAAAACATCTCGTAAACTACCAAGTAAATAGGTGGGAAAGTGATCAAAGTTAGAAAACAATCTACATATAACTTCTGAAGTTGTATTTAGGTAAGTACAATCTACTGCCTTGAAGTTCTTCAGTCCTTTCCATAGATGACAAAGCACTTTCTCATCTGTGATCTTATTTACCTTCCAATAGTCTTGTGATGGCAAGAATGTTGTTAATTTGGGGAGAGCACTTGGAAGATTATGAGGATGAGAGCAGGCAATGAAACTAGGATGTTAGATTTCAGAAAGTCTGCAAATGCAAGGACCATTCAACCATTCAGTTTCTGAATGGAGCTGTGCAGTTCAAAGAAAGCTCTCAATGGAGAAGAAAAACTCAGTCTCGGCTCCTTCTTTATTGAGGGTGAGTGAATAAGGAGCAAAGGCATTTTTAGTCTATAACCAGCAGCACTTGGGGTTCTTCTGCTCACACCTGACCCTCTGGCTGTGTTTCTCATCTCTGAGGACCACACCATCCAACTGTTCATACCCCCTCTTCCTCCAACACAATCAGGGTAGCAGTTGGGAACACGAATGTGAGAAACAAACAATTCTGACAGTTTAAGCAGAAAAGGAATTCATGGAAAATATTGTAGTAGCTCACAGAATCATAGAGATTAGAGAACCAGACTTGTAAAACAGGCAGGGAGAATAAAGCTAGCTACTGTTAGGCTTTCAACCAAAATCAAGCTGGAGCAGCAGTCCAGTGAGAACTTAGCTATCATAGCTAAATACAGGGCACCAGATGGCATCTCCACCTTGGCTGGTACCAGACACTGGCAACCCTCTGGCACCCTGTTATGCTGTTCCTGGAAAACTGAAAGTTGTGGCTACTGGTACTACCTCTAGGATTGATTCTCCAGAGTCCTTGCTTCTCTGAGTCACTAGCTCCTCAGTCAAAATCTGAGGCAGCTGCCACTCATTGGTTGAGCAGGGCTATGAGCTGCACCTTTCAGTGGGGTGAGGGCTCTGCCTGCCACCAAGACCCACACAGGGATTCTACAGTATAGGAAGAGGACAGAGGTGGTGCAGCGAAACAACAAATCACCATATCCCGGATCCAAAGGAAAAAATAAAGCCGAGCTCTGCTTATTCTACTTTCTGAATGCTACACAGATCCACCCACTCACTCCACCCCCACTGCCACCACTCCAGTCCAGCCATCATCTTGTCCCATGCAGATGATTATGAAGCCTTCTGCTGCTGTCCTTACTCCAGCCCATGTTCCACACTGCAAAACAATGCTGCCTCTTAAACATAAATCTGATGATGTCATCCTACTTACTCCCCTTCAAAGCCTTTCCTGTTGCCTTTGAGATAAATTCTAATCATGCTAACACCACATCCATCCTTGCCTCTTTCCAGCCTCATTGCTGGTACTTGCCCCTCCCAGTGAGTGAATCAA
Source organism: Homo sapiens (assembly GCF_000001405.40). NCBI lineage: Eukaryota > Metazoa > Chordata > Mammalia > Primates > Hominidae > Homo > Homo sapiens. Next base: position 113,482,069 of record NC_000011.10, read on the forward strand.
TAAATGAATCAATGAGGTTTGGAAAGGGTGGCAGAGATGACCTACTCCAGAGTTTCCCATATGTCAATCTTTGGATTGGATTTAATAGAAATCCCTGGGAAACTAAAAGAAAAATATAGATATGGGGGCCCAATGCCAGAACCGTTACATTATAATTTAAGGGGTCGGGGTTAGCCTTCTGTATTTCTAAAAAGCCAACCAGTGATACTGAACACCAAGCAGCAGGGGAAGCACTGAAATAATCCCTACCCCTCATTTCGCATATGTGGGAGTTGAAGCCCAGAGAGGTTAAATACTCAATGCACATGAATCGAGTTTGGTGTTGTAATGAAGCAAAACTTTGAGCAAAGTTAATCTGACACATTTAGTGCTATACATAATCATTATTGTGCTATATGGTAATTAGGCATAAATAGTGGGTAAGCTATTCAGAGGGAGGACTATTATTACAGTTATAGAAACCAAGTATTTGTGGGGGTCATACCAGGGGGGAAGGAAAGGAGCCATTGAGAAAGGTTGGGGTGTTGCTCTGAGACCCCATAGAGCCCTCCAGGTCTGTCACCTGCACCTGGTCAGAGCTGATGACGGGTGGGTCTGCCCACAAAGCTGGAGAGTCAGGTGGGAGCTGGGTTGCTAGGAGATGGTTCAAGGCAAGCTCTCAGTCAAGATGGGGGAAAGACAAGACAGCCCCTTTGTCCAGCCCCTTCATCCAGTGAGGGAGGGACTGGGATGTGTGGGAAATCCTGTGAGGATGGAAGAAAAATCATTGCAGACCTTGAGTCCTTCTCCTGCAGGAAAAAAGTGAGGGATGAAATTTAAAGGAACCCCTTTCTCTGCCTTCTTCGAGCAGAAGCATCTTCCTCACACTTTGGGATCACCTGTTGTCTCCTGGGTACTTGTTCCAGGTCCACCTCCAGACACATACTACCATTGTCTGAAATGCCTGAGAGCCCTCTTCCCTGCATCCATACATCCATTTCCTGCTGGTTTTTCAAGGCCCAACTCACATAGTTGAGTTCCATGAGGCCTTTCCTCATTTCCCGCACCCCAGTATTAATAAAGAGCTGTACCTCTTTGTGACATTGATTACACTGTCATTTGTGTTCCTGTCTTGCTTCTCAACTAAAGTGTGAAATCCTACAGCTCACCTGTGTCCCTCCATGCCCCCAGCACAGAACCTGACACAGGGCAGACTCGCAACAAGTGTCTGTTAAAAGAAACCTCCCCAATTACTTAGTCCCAATTAATAATTTGGCTCAGTGAGCAAATGTAAGGGTGGAAATTTAAGGGTGATTTTTCTGTTACACATACCTGAGTGTGAGCTGGTTAACAGAGATTGCTTTCCAGGCACTGGGGGTGTGAAAGTTTTGATGGAGGGAGGGATGGGGAGAAGACATCCTTTTGCTCAGCATCTGGATAGATGGGGGCTGTACAGGTGGGCCTGACTGCAGGGGTTTTTGAAAGTAGATAGATGATGCCAGATATCTTGTGGATATAAGAAAGAAGAAAAGGAGAGAGGAGGTGGGAGGTGGCAGAAGAATGGCAGAAGATGGAGAGAGGGAAGAGACCAAAGCCTTAACTGGCCGTCTTTGTACTTCAACATGCTTGTGCTTTGGGCACCGCCCCTTCTCATTTTCAGAGATAGGTTAGAAAGGGGCCAGCCCACTGGTCACCCCAGCCCTGTCTGCACTCCTGGTCTGTTTGGATTAGAGAGAAGGGGCCCAGAAGTCCCAGAGCAGAAATTTCTTTGTCCATGTTCCCAGCCTTCCCTCAGAGCCAGGGACTGACTCTTCCATTTGATTCACCTTCCCTCAGATCTACTTGTAAAAGTTTTTGTGGTAATTATATGTGATCCTGTCTATGGGAACACCTTGAGAAAGATTGCCTGGGCCCTAGGAAGTACTCTGTAATTGGGGTTTGCTATTTTTAGTGATGTGCCTGACCTCTCAGGCAGGCGAGTTAGTAGGAGCTGTGAGGTAAGCCCATCTGCTTCCATGAGTATGCCCTTCGCCCTTGTGACTGTCACAGAGTGCATGTGAAGCTCTCCACCTAGGGAGACGGCATCCCTCCTCACCCTTCCCCACACTTCCCAGCTCCCAGCAGTATCCAGCAAACCTTCCCAGAGGGGCCGTCTGATCTCTGCCACTCAGGTTGGAAAACTGAGAAGCACCTGGATTTCCCTGAGCCCTTCAGATAATCCTATAATCACCTATAGGCAATTTCATTTGCTTATGTCATGACAGTCTTAAGTATAGTTTAGGGCAAATTGGTGCTCAGCCAGACAGGTGGGGAAAGCCACCCTGCCTCAGGGACATCAGCAGTAATACATTCCCACCATGCCAGCCGAGGAGGGCGGGGGATTTCTGAGCATGGCTGCTCCCTGTTGGGCTCTGCAGGGGCAGCTCCAGCTTTCATTCCTGCCTAGCTCAGGCCTCATCCTCTCCCACTTGGACTATTTAATTACCTCCTCACTGCTCTCTCTGTCTCTAGACTTACCCATTGATCCAGCTTGGGCCTAGCCTCCAGAGGGCCATCCACATACAGACATGATCACATTGGACGTCTCTTAAAACCCTTCAAGGCTTGCCCATTGGCCACACAGTGAAGTGTGCGCCTCTGTCTGCTCCCAGCCTGCCATGGCCTGCCTTCTCCATCCACATCTCCAGTCGCATCTCTCACGATGTTTTACCTCCCACTTCACAGCAATGCCTGACCTTACCATGGGCACTTGCATTCATGTTTTCTTCTACCATTCCCTCTGGCTGGGATGTTATTCCCTCCTTACTTAGCCTGACTCTCACTTAACTTTCTGGAGGGGCCCAGGCCTCCTTCTCCCCAGAAAGTCTCAGATGGGGCCCCCAGAGCCCTTGGGCACACTATCTAATCACACTTCACATTATATTGAAATTACTGGAAAATACTTTGTTATCCATCTTTAGTTTCTCGGTGCCTTACATGGTGCTAGAAGCAGAGAAGATCACTTAATAAATGTTGAGCTGCTGTTGTACATCAACAGCAACCAAGCTGAGAATCAAATCAAGAACTCAATCCCTTTCACAATAGCTGCAAAATAAATAAATAAATAAATACAATACTTAGGAATATACCTAACCAAGGACATGAAAGACTTCTACAAGGAAAACATGGCTACAAAACACAGCTGAAAGAAATCATAGACAACACAAACAAATGGAAATACATCCCGTGCTCACGGATTTGTAGAATCAATATTGTGAAAATGATCATACCGTGGCCGGGCGCAGTGGCTCATGCTTGTAATCCCAGCACTTTGGGAGGCCGAGGAGGGCAGATCATGAGGTCAGGAGATCGAGACCATCCTGGGTGACACAGTGAAACCCCGTCTCTACAAAAAATACAAAAAATTAGCCAAGCGTGGTGGCGGGTGCCTGTAGTCCCAGCTACTTGGGAGGCTGAGGAGGTAGAATGGGGTGAACCCGGGAGGAGGAGCTTGCAGTGAGCCAAGATCATGCCATTGCACTCCAGCCTGGGTGACAGAGCAAGATTCCATCTCAAAAAAAAAAAAAAAAAAGAAAAAAGAACTTACTGCCAAAAGCAATCTACAGATTCAATGCAATTCCCATCAAAATACCACCATCATTTTTCACAGAATTAGAAAAAAATTCTAAAATTCATATGGGACCAAAAAATAGCCCGCATAGCCAAAGCAAGACTAAGCAAAAACAGAAACAAAAACAAAACAAATCTGGAGGAATCACATTACCTGACTTCACACTATACTACTAGGCCATAGTCACCAAAACAGCATGGTACTGATATAAAAATAGGCACATAGACCAATGGAACAGAAGAGAGAATCCAGAAATAAAGCCAAATATTTACAGCCAACTGATCTTTGACAAAGCAAACAAAAACATAAAGTGGGAAAGGACACTCTATACAACAAATGGTGCTGGGATAATTGGCAAGCCACATACAGAAGAATGAAACTAGATCCTCATCTCTCACCTTATGCAAAAATCAGCTCAAGATGGATTAAAGACTTAAATCTAAGGCCTGAAACCATAAAGATGCTAGAAGATAACGTTGGAAAAACCTTTCTAGACATTGGCTTAGGCAAAGAGTTCATGACCAAGAACCTAGAAGCAAATGCAACAAAAACAAAGATAAATAGATGGGACTTAATTCAACTAAAATCTTCTGCACAACAAAAGAAATCAGCAGCAGAGTTAACAGAAAATGCACATAGTAGGAGAAAATCTTCACAATCTGTACATCTGACAAAGAACTAATATCCAGAATCTATAAAGAACTCAAACAAACAAACTAGCAAGAAAAAAAAAAATCCCATCAAAAAGTGGGCCAAGGACATGAATAGACAATTCTCAAATGAAGATATACAAATGACCAACACGCATATGGAAAAATGCTCAACATCACTAATGATCAAAATCATTAATGCAAAATGATGCAAATCAAAACCACAATGTGATACCACCACACTCCTGCAAGAATGGCCATAATCAAAAAATCAAAAAATAACAGATGTTGGCATGGATGTGGTGAAAAGGAAACACTTTTACACTGTTGGTGGGAATGTAAACTAGTACAACCACTATGGAAAATCCAGAGTGGAGATTCCTTAAAGAAAATCCCACTACTAGGAATCTACCCAGATGACAAGAAGGCATTATACAAAAAGGATACTTGCACATGCATGTTTATAGCAGCACAATTTGCAATTGTAAAAATATGGAACCAACCCAAATGCTCATCTATCAATGACTGGATGAAGCAAATATTATATATATATATTATATATATATATATATATAATATATATATATATATATAATATATATATAATATATATATATATTATATATATATTATATATATATAATATATATATGATGTGTATATATAATATATATATACATAATATATATATATATATATACACTCATGATGGAATACTACTCAGCCATGAAAAGAAACAAAATAATGGCATTCGCAGCAACCTGGATGGAATTGGACACTATTATTCTAAGCGAAGTAACTCAGAAATGGAAAACCAAACATCACATGTTCTCATTCATATATGGGAGCTAAGCTATGAGGACTCAAAGGTGTAAGAATTGTACATTGGACTTAGGGGACTTGGGGGAGGTATACGTTAAGCATTTCTTAAAGGGGGTAACATGGGATAAAAGACTACACATTGTGTACAGTGTACACTGTTTGAGTGATGGGCACACCAAAATTTCAGAAATCACCACTAAAGAACTTATTCATGTAACCAAACACCACCTATTCCCAAAAAACCTACTGAAATTAAAAAAAAAAAAGAAAAGAATAAATGTTGAGCTAAATCTATCTGCTGAGGACTCTGAATCCTCCCTGAGAGACCTCATGGCTGTGCCCAACTAACCAGGTGGATGTCCTCTGTCCCTCCAAGTTGGACCTTCTTGTTCCCATGATGGCACCACTGACCTGTTACCTGTTGCCCAGGCTTCCACACATCAACTTCTGCCTTCCAGGCTGTCTCGCCTTCCATGCCTTACACCTTCCATCCCCTGGGGTATGCACCCTCAACATCGTGTGACCCATACTGCTGGCTGCCTTCTCTCCCTGGCTGTCTGCCAGCCATAGAGTATAGATTTGCAAAACTCAAACCAGGAAATGTAGGTACCAGCTGAACAGTGCTCAAATTCTAAATTCAAGACCACTGCCAGGGAGGAAAGCCCTGTGCTGGACATCTCAGTTTTGTCCTTCCAGGTCTCCTTTCTGCCCTTCACCCTGCTCACACTCTGGGAGCTGACCCATGTAGACTGAATCAAGGCCCCCTCACACTCTGCCTTCCTGAGCATTGGGTTGGAATACGGGAAGGAAATCAGAGGGAGAGAGAACGAGGTCAGGATCAGTCTCTAGATCACTCCGGGGGCATGGGGGAGCCTGCAACTCTAGGCCACAGGTCACAGCTTCTGTACGCCTCTCGCTCTCACTCTCCTTCTTCCTCCCTCCTGGTAACTGCTCCTTTCTTGGCCCCTTCAGGTCCTTCAAGTTGTAATGGAGCCCCACTGTCACCAGTCCTAAATCGCCCAGGCTGGAGTGCAATGGTGCAATGGCTGACTGCAACCTCCACCTCCCGGGTTCAAGTGATTCTCCTGCCTCAGCCTCCCAAGTAGTTGGGATTACAGGTGCCCACCACCATGCCCAGCTAATTTTTGTAGTTTTAGTAGAGATGAGGTTTCACCAGGTTGGCCAGGCTGGTCTCGAACTCCTGACCTCAGGTGATCCACCCACCTCGGCCTCCCAAAGTGCTAGGATTAAGGCATGAGCCACCATGCCCAGCCGTGGTCTTTTTTTTTTTTCCCTCTAAACTCTTCTCAATTGATCCTATGATTTGCATATGCCTTGCATATGATTTTCGTATGTCTTGCATATGATTTTCATGTGTCCTGCTAGGACTCTGACTGGTAGAGCGCCAAATAAAAAATCCAGCTATTAGGGTAGAGGCTGCTGAGAGTAAGGTGAGGTAAATGAACCCAGTCATCATTATGGATGAAGATCAAGACCCTACAGAAGTTGGGATGCTCTCAAAAGGAGCATGCAGAGAACTGCTCAGTTCCCAGGCCTTGCCCTATGAGAGCTTCCAATGTGGACGGAGATAGGACACAGACCTGCTGCACAGTTGCACAGTCCCCTGCTGCCTCCAATAAGAAACTTCTTCTCTCATCGTTGACAGCCCAGAGCAGACAATCCATGAGGTGGTCTGACTGAAAAGTTCTTTCTCAATGGAGACAATTATGATTAGCTGGACCATTTAGATTTTATCTGTTAGAAATGTAAACTATGAGATTCTTTAAAGAGAATTATTCGGTTGGCATTGGGAGCAGAAACTGATGCAGAGAGAGGTCAAAAGAAGGCAAGAACCATGAGCAATCATGAGTAAGTGATGTTTATGAGTAAACCAAAATTATAAATAAGCCAAAGATATGAGTAGGGTGAGGGCATTGGTCCATATCCTGTAAAGTAGATAACACAAAGAAGCAGACATGTAGAGCAGAAAACACTTCTGTGAAGATGAAAATTGATCCTAATCCCTAGAGTGACTGGAACTTTGCCCAGTCTTCCAGTTCTGGTCTCCAAAAAATCCACCAGGATATTAGTTTCTTTTCTTCTTGCAAGGCCTGATTACTAAACTCTCCCTGGCACTCTTGACATCTGGCCATGTGGTTGAGGTTTCTAATTACCTTATTTCCATGTTCTTCCTTTCAATACTTCTTCCCTTACTCCAAGCACACACACACATACACACTTACTGAAGATGATCAAGAAAGCCTCTAGTCCTTTGCATCAGAAAGGCCTAACACCACCCTAAACTGAAACCCAGTTCTGAACAGTGGTTTCCTTCCTTCTCCTTAAGACTCAGATCCACCCCTTTTGCCCAGATCTGGTGCTCTGAGCTGAGTTTCCTGACTTGCTCACATTACCCACTAAGAGCTCTTTCTAGATCTCTCTCACCTCCATCAACTCAAAGTCAAGACCCGGAAGGGCTACATGAGATGGCAGGACACTGGAACTCAAGAGGGACATGCAGTGCTCTACTTTACCTGGCAGAAGGAGACTTAAATCAAAGGTAGCAAAAGACATGGAAGTCTACTGACAACTGCTTTCCTGAATACCTCCTCTTCACTCTGCTTGTCCTCTCTTTGGCTTCTCCAGCTCCATGGCTCTTCTCATTGCCCCCAAGGTGGTCAGTGCCCTCAGGACTTGGCATAGGCCACTCTGAACCTTCCCACCTTCCTTCTTTGGTATAGAGAGTTTCCCTTTTCCTCTTAAATCAATAAAGAAGTTAGTATTTTGAAACTTTAGAAAACTAAAGGAAAACCAAACACAGCCTAAATGGAAAATAGTGAAAAGGCCAAGCAAGACACATTCTGTTTGTCTAGCACACATTCTTTATCCCAGGGTTCCTGAAGCCTCAGCTCAGGCCACCTTGCCTGGCTCACATTGGCTGGTATAGATTTGGATTTGTATCCAGGTGGGGCCCAGCCCAAGGATTCTTGGTTTTTGCTGGAAATGGCTTCTTTGCCCCTCTCTTCCATGGGCCTCCCTCCACACCCAGCTGGACTGTTCTCCAGCACATCAGTCACTCTAGCTACTCTCAGTCCTCACCCCTGGACACTCCACCTCTCCATGTATTCCCTGGGATCTAGGCTACTGTGTCACAGCCTTTCCCCACCAGGGAGGTTTCTAAGACTGAGAAACCCATCCTTGGCCCTGACATAAGCCTGAACATACTGACTGCCATTGTAAAAGAAGGAAGCCAGCCCTTCCCAACGACTTACTCTCCTGCAGGCTCTGTGGTTCGCACATCAGCAGATATTACTCCATTGAATCCTCACAACAATACTTCAGATTTCACAGATGGTGCGATAAGCTCTGGGAACTGCTGGAAGAGGAAGAACCAGGATCTAGGGCTGGTTCCTGCAAACTCTGAGCCCGATGCTTTGCCACTCATGTTTTTACAGAGCATCTAAGTTAGGAATGGCAAAGTGGTTTCATCTGACATGTCAGTTCTGATTGACTTAGTGGCTGCCTGCAATGCTGTGGTGAGAAGGAGTATGAGGCCACATCTGTGCTCAGTGGGAGAGATCATGATAAACTAGAAATGTCTAGCAGGGGTAATAGCTGGAGGGACTGACAGGCTGTATATGTGCCATATACTTGCCACTGTTGGGCCAAGCCATTTTTGTGGCAGCCACATGGCTTTAGAGGCAGGCACCATTGTCCCCCAAACCTCTTTGCTTTCTATCAATCTCCCACCACATGGAGGAGCATACCTTGGCTCACCCAGGGTTCTAGTCTCAGCTTCGCTACTTAATAGCTGCATGACCTTAGGTAAGTTACTTAACCTCTTTGAGCCTCAGTTGTTTTGTCAGTAATACACAGCTAAGTATAATACTTACCTCAAAGGGTTTCAGTAAGAATCCATTGACGTAAAGCTTGTAGATCACCTGACATAATGCCATGCACAGTGTAGACATCTGACAAATACCAGTTGTTGTTGTTAGCCACCATTCTATCAAAGCCTGTAGCCCACCCTGTTGCATGCGCCAGCTTCCTGTTTCTATGACCTGCCAAGGCAAAAAAAAAAAAACACCCAATCTTCCCAACTGACCCACACTCTCCTTCCCATGCCATGGGATATATGACAGCCCATATGGGGTCTGTGTTTGCCCTGAAATCCCATGACTCTCCGCTCAACTGTTAAACATTTCAAATCCTCCTCCTCCCTATGGGTTCCTCTCTTGTTAATGTGATTATATGTCTGGATTGTTTCATTAAGCTCTTTTTCATAGAATGGCTGGTAGAACATGGAAGCTAATTATCATCTTAATTGGAGAAGACGAACTGGTAAATAATATGTGTTAATTATCAGGGAAAACCCTATAAAGGTTAATGAGAAATCAAAACTCATAAGCAAAGGTTCTTGGATTTCTGGACAGGTAATTCCCAAGCCTTGACAGCAACAGAGGTCAGGTGGCCACGGCCAGGCACCTACTGGGCCTTCCTTTGCGTGGGCCAGAAGATTAGAGCCACTGCTCTTTCTGATGCAGGAGAAGGTAATTCATAAACCTAGTATTTTCTTTAGACATTTATTTATTTTATAAAGCATTTGTCCCTTTTTTGTTGCAGTTTTCCCTCCAACTTTGTTGAGGTATACTTTAAGCATTTCTTAAAGGCCTTATACTTTTCTGGTGAGTTAGGGCTGTTGTTCTCTCCACATGGTAAGAGTACTGGGCACTAACTAAACCCATCGCCAGTGTGCTCTCCTGGCCTTGGATTTCCTCTTTCGAGAATGACCCAGGACCTCTCTCTTGAACGAACTCAGTCTGCCTTGCCCCTGGGCTTAGCTCTCCTCACCCACTCCCTTGGACTTCCTCCCTCACAACGCAAGAGCCCACAGTCTCCTTTAGAATCAACTCTGTGGTAAACAAATGTTCATGTTCCCCCAGATTCCTCAACCAAGTGGCCTCCTCTCTTCCCAGTTTAACTAAAACTTGGCACTTCCCTACAGATATTGACTCTCCTCCAGGTTTCTCAGTTAGTAAACACTCTTTCTTCCACAACCCAGAAATGTCTCATCAGGAGTTCATGGTCTAGGGGCACACAGACAAGTACCCAAACTTTTACAACCCATGTCATTAGAGCTGCACAGAGGGTAGAAAAGAAAAGGTACAGACAGGTACAGACAGAGGGCCCAAAATCCAAATTTGGACATCAGAGAAGTATCCCAATAGAAAGTGACATCAAACTTGATAACAAAAATGGACAGAACTTAGACAAGCAAAGAAGGGGAGAAAGTTTCAATTACTTGGAAAAAGCATCATATTTTAAAAGCACAAATCCCAACAAATTACTCCCTTGCTTAAAATCTTCAATTGTTCCCCATTTTTTAAATCCACACAGCTGCAGGAGGGAACATTATTATCCACCATTTTATCCCCACTAGGCTCATAATAAGAATTTGATAAATATTTGGCAATACAAAAAATTAACATACAAAATACAAAAAAGACTTAACAAGACATTCATAGGTGAAACATTAAAAGCACAAAACAATGTAATTTGCTAAATTCCCTAGAAAACTATTATTTCTTCTTATAACAAAACCAGCATTTGGGTAATGCCTAGTGCAGTGTCACTTGCCTAGTTGGTACTTAACAAATGTTTGTTGAATACATGTAGCGTTTGGTAATTAAGGCACTTAAATTGTAATATTCTGTAATCCTGTGCCCTGTTATTCAATGTCTCCATGAAACAAACAAACAAACAAACAAAAAAACTGACGTTCTTAAAGGGTAAGTAAATTTCACAAGATCACTCAAGTAGTAAGTAGTAAAGTTACAACTAGATCTTATGACTTCCAGTGGCAACATCTATGCTCTTTTCAAGGAGCACATAGAATCTAGATGCATGAAAATTGTAGCATCAGGGAAGCCTTCACACAGGTGAAACTTGATCTGCGTCATGACGGATCAGTAGCATTGGGATAGACAGAAAGTGCAGCAAAGCAGGATTTCCTAGTGAGAGGACCTGCATGAACACAGGGATGGGAACAGGGAAAACACGTGTCTTTCAAGGGACAGAAAGAATGTTGGTCCACTTTAGGCAGAGGGTCCACATCACTGCAGAAGCTCCTTATTCAAAGATCAATTGAATTCAAAGCACTGAATTCAAATAGCAACTCTTTCTCCGTAATAATTCAATAGCATCAGATTGACTCTGATTACAGGTAACCATGGCAAAAAGGAAACATGTTAAGTTTCAGAAAGGAGGAAGTTCACCAGCTTCTCTTTTTCTACTCCAAGGCTCTGCAAGATGGTGATGCACATTTATCATGCTGGGTGTGTGTGCTGAGGTCCTAAAGTGAGCCACATACTAGTAGGACCAGAAGAAGATGTCTATTTCCCCAAAGTTGTGTAAACCCACTGGAATTTATTGATACCCAGAAGGCCTTGAACAGACCTTAGCGTAGTGTTATAAGCTTATCTGCTTGCAGATCCTAATAGGTTAAGAAGCTTCTGAAATAAAACTAGAGAACCAAGAAGGTGGTAGAACAAGAATTAAAGATTTCCATGAGAAGCTGGCGCTGCCTGGGGCTCAGCAACTGGTGCATGTGGCTGGAAATGGTAGCCCGTTGGGGAGGGGAGTGGACACCTTCTGAATAAGCATGCAGAGTTCGTTGGAGCTCATAAATGTCTAAATTGATATTCCATGTCAGTTGCATTTACACTAGCTTCTTCTCAATTTTGAATAATTTCTTCATGCTTGATAGGGAAACCAAGACTTTCCTGGCACTAAATTGTTTAAGCTTACATTTCAGAGATTTTATATTTTATAACTTTCACTTCCTTATTATCCAGGCCATACTTGCACACAGATGAAATATGGTATAAACTACAGTAGAGCAAAAAGGAAAGAATGAAATTCGTCTGCAACCCCAGCACCGAGAGACAAGTACAGTTAACTGGGTATGTATTTTTCCAGAATCTTTGCATAATTTTTAAAATAAAAATAAGATCAAACTGTGCATACAATTTTATTTTATTTTACTAATGTATGTATATATTTTAGAGACAATGTCTCCCTCTGTCGCCCAGGCTGGAGTATACTGCCCTGATCATAGCTCACTGCAGCCTCGAACTCCTGGGCTCAAGCAATCTTCCTGCTTCAGTCTCCTGAGTAGCTGGGACTATAAGCACATTAGCTAGCTGCCATGCTTAGCTAGTGTTCTTGGCTTTCGTGGAGACGGGGTCTCACTATGTTGCCCAGGCCAGCCTCAAACTCCTGGTCTCAAGGCTTCCAAAGTGCCGGGATTACAGCCATGAGCCACTGTGTCCAGCGTGTACATTTTATATTATATATGCTGATTTTTTTTGCAAGGCTCTCCAATATGCTGGTTTTTAATTTGACAATATAACATTCAGCATCTCTTCACATCAATAAATAGTCATCCACAGCATTGTTTTTATAGTCATACAGTGTTCTATTGTGTTGGTGCCACTGGTGATCCATTGTTTGACATCTAAGTTGTCTCCAATCATCAGATATTATAACCATAAATGATGCTTTGGTGAGTCTTTGCATGCATCCTGAATTATTCCCTCAGGGCTCCTTGTCCCTTTCCAGCTTCTTCCTGCTTAAAGCACCTTCACTGTTGCTCCTCTTTCTGGCCAAACTGAACGTCTTCAGGTTTTTTGAACTTGTCACGCTGTTTGCCTCTGTGCTTTTGTACATCCTCATTCCACTGCCTAGCACACTCTCCACTGCCTGAGCACCCTTATCCATTCATCTTTTAGCTCTCAACAGAGACATCACTTCCTCAGATGAGTCTCCTCTGACACCCACCTCCACCACAGACCTCTGCACCTCTCATGTCACCACCGTCACCCACTCTTCATTCTCTTACGGCAGGAATCAGCCTGTGTTGTAGCATCCTGTTGCCCTGTCTTTTTCCTTCACTGAGCTGTAATGTCCACAAGGCTAGAAACCATGTCTGCAGTGGTCAATGTACCTAGAACAGTGCCCAACACATAATAGGTACTCCATGAACATCTGTTTAATGATCAATAAGTACCTTCCTCACTGTAAAACTGCTGCATCAAAGGCATGCCCTTGTTAAGTCTTGTGACACACACCGCTCCCTGGAAAAGCCTTGCCTTTACAGTTTACCTCTACTCCCACAGTGTGCGAGGGTGCACATTTCCCCACATCTTGGATAGTCTTGCAAAAAAATCTGAGAAGACTTTCTTTCCATGGGGCTTTATTTAAAGGGCATCGATTGGAATGATGTGCAGTGGGTTATTCAGGAGTCTCAACGCAGTGGGGTATAAACATGAAAATTAATTTTTTCTAGTCACTGCTTTCTGCTGTGTTCTGTCAAATCCCTTTCTCCCATCCCTTGATATTTTGGGCAGAAAGTGAATAAATATTCCTGTCACTTTCAGTTACTAAAAACTCAGTCCAGTCCATTTAAAACTCCAAATTCATATCTGGTTCAAAGCTCTTCCTTTTGTCAATGTCCCAAACCCCAGGAAGACTGTGGCTTTAGGGACTTGGAGGTGGGGGAGCAGCATGGTCTCCTCCTTCACTTCTCCTCCTCCTCTTCCTCCCTTCTCTGGATCTAGCGGTTCTAGACTTGGGGGCAGGAAGGAAGGATGGGGAGGCAGGAGGCATCTCAGTGTGGCCGAGAGTGATGGTGGTGAGGAGGCATCTCTGATCTCAGCCTGGCTCACCCTGGCTCTGTGGGAGGTTAGTGGACCCCGCTGAGTGGCAGTCTCCACATGGAGGGTGGGGTCTTTTTTTGGAGCAATATTCAGCTCAACCCGGGTCTCCTCTCCTAGAAGGAACCACTTGAAAAGGAGGTGGTAATGCCCCCCTTCAACCTGCACTGTGCCCCCCTCTCTCTGAGTGGTGCCTTCCCGACTTATTCTGGCAACCAGCTGGGCAGCCCGCAGTTCCTGCCCTTCCATTCCATGCCCCTTGTGTGGAACCATAGGCAATACTGTGGACTTCCACTGTGTCCTCCAAGGGCTGCTGAGACCCAGGATGGGGTAACCCCAGTGCTTCTTTCCCAGGCCCTCTGCAGCCCCTTCTCCCTCCACTGGCATGGGCCATCTCCACAGGTCTTAGAGAGTCTCTAGAGCAGAGTGCCAGTGCAGTGGTCTCTGTGATCATGTGTCTTCCCATGGGGAGATAAGGGAATTGCCCCCACCACCAACACTGTAAGGTTGCAGCTCTGGTGCCATCTCCCCATACCATTCCCCAGTCCTCTCTTGGTATCTGCAAGAGTGAGGAGCAGAAGGCAGGACGGAGAGTGGCTTGAAGGGGGAAGGTCAGTTCTGCAACCAGTTTGCAAACCTGTGGTTTACAAACCACATTGCCAGGACATGTTAGCCCTGCTCCCAGGCAGCTCTGTTTAGAATGCAGGCTTCCTCAGTGCCTCTTCTCCTCTGCTTTGGTTTGGGCCTTAGCCACAATTCTGGGGCACCAGAAAAATCCCCCTCATTATTTTGCTGCAGATATAACAGTCATGATCCTCAACAGTATGGTTATGATAATTGCAGAAATAGACTGCACATGGCTATTTCTTGTAGCAGCACTGGATAAAAGCTAAGGGTAAGACTAGGCAATTTGGATTAAAAGGAAAATAGTCACATAAAGCAAGAGAGACAGAGCCTAGAGCCCTGCAGTGTGGGAGTGAGGGAGGGTGAAGAGGGGACAACGAGTTGAGTAGGGGTTCATGTGCCTCTGGGGCCCAGAGGGTCAAGAGACCTCTCTGTCCGCTTTTGTCCACTGTCTGGGGCAATTGGATATCTCTTGCGAAGCAGGGAGGGAGAAAGGGACCCCAGTGAAACCCTCTCACCCTGCCTCAGTCCTCCAAATGTCACATCTATTTGAGCTGATGCTCTGACCAAAGCTCCTCCCTCCTCACTGTCACTGGCCAGAACAATCCATATATTCATTTCCCAGAGCCTGAGCTATTACAGGTGATTGAATAGGTGCAGAAGTGCCCATGGATTGGGAGAGGGATGGCCAGGGATTGTTTCCAGCACCCAGCATCCATGAGAAAAAGCACCTTGGATAGGATCTCAATAAATCAATCACAGTGTGAGGCCCTCCCAGCTCTCTGGCATGGTCTGTTGAAATAAGATCCTCACTATTGCAATTATAGTCAGAGTGTGGGGAGCCTTGGGATTCATTAGTTTTGACTTCAGCAGCACTGATTTCTTGTTTAGTAATTAGCTCACCAGAGCCCCTGATGGCATAATCTTTTCATTTACATAATTAAGACATAAATCTTGAGCCTGGATAGTAGCCAGGGCACTGGGGACTGGACACCAAGGGCAGCAGGTGGTTGACAGCTTGTATTCCCAGTACCACTTTCTCACCAGCTGATCTCATTGACCTCCGTGACTTCAATGGGCTCAGAACTTCTTAGATACATATTTTTGAAAGCTCACGCTAAGGAAATCAATCCATTTAAACTAGGTTTAGAGAAAGGCTGTGATGGTTTTAAAACACGCTCATAATTCCTTTGACACATCTTCCTTCATCAGGTGTAATCTAATTCCCCTTCCTTTCAATGTGGGCCAGATGTAATACTATGCTTCTAATGAGCAGAATATGGCAGAAGTGATGGCGTATGATTTCAGAGTTCAAAAGGCATCACTGCTACTATATCTCTCTCTCTCTCTCTCATCACTTGTTCTAGGGAAGCTGACTACCATGTTGCAATGATACTCAGCCTGTGGAGAGCCCACATTGGGAAAACAGAGGCCTCCTATTGAGGGCCAGCACCAACTTGCCAGCCACAAGAGTGAACCCCCTTCAAAGCAGATCCTCCAGCTCCAGCCAAGCATTCAGATGACTGCAGACCTGGCTGACTTCTTGATTACCACCTCAAGAGAGACCCCACATCAGAAATACCCAGCTAAGCCACTCTCAAATTCCCAACCCACAGAAACTGTGAGGATAATACATGTTTATTGTTGTTTTAAGCCACCAAGTTTTAAGGTAATTTGTTACACACAATCAATAACTAATCCAGAGGGTATTTCTCATCCCAATGCTGCTTCCTCAAGGAAGAAATGGTCCGATATCAAGACCAAGACAACTAAAACTGTCATATTCTTGACCAAGCAACTTCTGTTATAAGAATCTATCTTATACAAATATATTTAAAATGTAAACACACACACAAATGTGCAAAATGCTTGTATAAATGTGTTCATTACAGCATCCTCTGTAATAGTAAAAACAGAAAGCAATTAACGTTTTCATTAATAGAGCTCAATTATATAAACTATGGAGAAAATGGAATAATTCTATGTAAGCGCTAAAAATTGAATTAATAATAAAAAATAAAATTCTATGTAAGCATTAAAAAAATTGAAATAATAATGAAAAAATAAAATTCCTGCTCTCCAAGTCCAGATGGTTTAACCAGTGGGTTTACCAGCGATTTATGAAAGAAATACTCAAATATTTATACCAACAGTCAGGAGGAATTTTAAAAGTGAAAGAACACTTCCAAGCAATAACTTTGACTCCAAAACCTGATAGAAATATTGGAAAAAAAGAGAAAGTATAAGCAAATTTGATCTACAAACATAGGTGCAAAAATTTTCCAAAAAAATTTTAGAAACTAATGTAACCATAAATAAATTGAGTTTAATGCAGAAATGCAAGGCTGATTCAGCCTTAGAAAAAAATCAAAGTGATTTGCCTTACTACTAGGATAAGGAAAAAATTATATGATTATCACAATACATGTAGAAAAATCATTTCATAAAATGCAACATTCATTTATAATTTTAAGGAGTAATCTCCTAGCTGAATAGAAATAGAGAGGGTGCTTTCTTAATGTACTGAAGAATATCTATAAAAATAAATACAAGGCCGGGCACGGTGGCTCACGCCTGTAATACCAGCACTTTGGGAGGCCGAGGCGGGAGGATCACGAGGTCAGGAGATCCAGACCATCCTGGCTAACACAGTGAAACCCTGTCGCTACTAAAAATACAAAAAATTAGCCGGGCGTAGTGGCAGGCGCCTGTAGTCCCAGCTACTCAGGAGGCTGAGGCAGGAGAATGGCGTGAACCCAGGAGGCGGAGCTTGCAGTGAGCCGAGATTGTGCCACTGCACTCCAGCCTGGGTGACAAAGCGAGACTCCGCCTCAAAAAATAAATAAATAAATAAATAAATAAATAAATAAATAAATAAATAAATACAAGACAGAGACATCTGATCTAACAACAGCAGTCCAACATTGTGCTAGAGATCATCTCCAGTGCACTAAGGCAATAAAAATAAATAAAAAGTACAAAGATTGTAAATGAAAAAGTAAAACTATCGCTATTGACTGACAACATTATTGTGCACCTAGGAAATCAAAAAGAATTTTTAATTCAACTATTAGCATTAATAAGAGACTTCATTAAGCTAGATATTAAAGGGTTTTGCAAAAATGTAAAACAATGTCAGCACTCTCTGTGTGATGAATCTTTAAATCATCATTGGGAGAATTAACATCTTTACAATATTGAGTCTTCTAATCTATAAGCAGGATATATAGCTCCAGTTATTAAATCTTTTTAATGTCCTTCAATGAAGTTACAGAGCTTTCCTTGTAGAAGACTTATCCTTCTTAGATATTTTCTTGATATTTTTTGATGCTACATGGAATATTTTTAAAAAGTACTCTAGTCAAGATTCAATATAATTGATAACTTTTCCTGCTTATTAAAGAACATTCTTTTTTTTTTTTTCCTAGACGGAGTCTTGCTCTGTTGCCCAGGCTGGAGTGCAGTGGCACAATCTTGGCTCACTGCAACCTCTGCCTCCCAGATTCAAGTGATTCTTCTGCCTCAACCTCCCAAGTAGCTGGGACTACAGGCATGTGCCACCACGCCCGGCTCATTTTTGTGTTTTTAGTAGAGACAGGGTTTCACCATATTGGCCAGGCTGGTCTCAAACTCCTGACCTCGTGATCCGCCTGCCTTGGCCTCCCAAAGTGCGGGGATTACAGGCATAAGCCATCGCATCCAGCATTAAAGAACATTCTTAAGTGAAACTGGAATTTTTTAAACTGTGGCACATTGTGGTGAATAATATGATGACTACTAGTACAGTCTGGTACCACTAACTTGATTCATGCTAAGGCATCAGCAGTTTTGCCACCACTGTTTTTGCACCATCGGTGCAACTGTCAACTTGGTGAAAAGAGTAAACAATGTCTTATAAAAATTTTCATCTCATGAATGTCTTAGGGATCCCTAGAGGTAGCACACATACTTTGAAAACCACTGCTGAGGAAAAATGAATGCCAATGGGTACCAGGAAACATCCATAAGAATGTTTGCAGAGCATTGCTTAAAGTAGTCGTGAATTGGAAATAACCTGAAAGTTCTTCGGCTATAGAACTGATAAATGAACTATTCTTACCAATAAGAATTAACAAATAAGCCGTACTCACCAATGGAATAATATATAGCAATAAAAATTAAATTGCTGACCAGATATGGTGACTCATGCCAGTAATCCCAGTGCTTTGGAGGGCCAAGGTGGAAGAGTCGCCTGAGCACAGGAGTTCAAGACCATGCTGGGCAACATAGCAAGATCTTGTCTCTACAAAAAAAAAAATTTTTTTTAATTAGTTGGGCATAGTGGAGTGTACCTGTAGTCACAGCTATTCAGGAGGCTGAGATGGGAGGCTGGCTTGAGCCCAGGAATTCGAGGTCTCATTAAGCTATGATTGCATCAATGCACTCCAGCCTGGGTAACAGACTGAGACCCCAACTTAAAAGAAAAAATGGTAATTGCTAACCGTTATATGAAACAATATGCAGTAATACCACAAGCAAGACGTCCCTGCTGGTGGCACCTGGAGGGCACATCTGAGGCCTCAGGTGCTCCTAGGGATTATGAAGACAGAGAACAGGCTTTATTCTCCTTAGATCCAGGCAAGAGTAAAGTTTCCAGCAACAGAGGACCAGATTTTTATTTCCTTGAGCCTGGAGAAAAGACAAAGACTTTTTATACTTTTCAGAGAGGTAAGGTGAGCTTAGCCAGCAGAAGATGGTGAATCTGCTTGGAGAGGGACTGTAGTTGCCTGTGTTATTTGGTTCTAAAAAGGAGAATTTGTCCAATCCTACTGTTTCTGATGGTCCAGGAGGAAAAGTGCACTGGTGGAATTTCTCCAAGGACTTTCTATTAGTAGACTGAGGTGCAAGAAAATATCCCCTCGACCTTTAACAGAAGATAATGAATTATCCGTTCAATCATCTCTGGTTCAAATAGGCAGAAATCATTGCGTGTTCCACTATTTGTCAATTTAACACCATCAGTAGAAACCTCACCAACCTGCCCTCTGTGAGGATGAAGGAATCGCAAACCATGAGAAGGTAAAATAATATTACAAATCTTTTAAGGGCACTCTGGAAGGGCTGATGGATGAGACATATGAGAATATTAATTTTAAAAAGTGGTGAGGGCAGTCAAGGAGATACAATGTGAGCACAAAGAGATGTTCAGAAGCTAACAACAAGACAAGAAAACCCTAAATATTTAATAGATAAAGTAAACTGAGGAGCAGGGTAGTCACTACTGAGCATCACATTAAAGATCTAGGAAATCAAGGGAAATGCTTTAAGGAACAGAGCCAAGACACAAAAACAAATTAATAAAAGAAAAAGATCATCAGCTTGGAAAAAAATCTGGGGACCTAATAAGCAAAGAATAGAAGATTCAGAAGAAGAGAGGAACGAATGAAGAAGACAATTTCTCCTGAGCTTCAGATAGACTTGAATTCGCAGATTGAAAGGATGCAGAAAATTCAACTCAGGACTTATGAAAATAGATTCACACCTATAAATAACCTAGTGAAATTCCTAAAATATAATATTGAAACTTCTTATAGGGTGAAAAAACATTAACAGTTTCCAAATTGGGTAGGTAGGGAGTAGGAAACATGCATGAAAGAGAATCAGACTAGCATAAGATTTCTCATTTGCAACACTGCAATTAGAAGGCAGCAGAAATTAGCTGGCCATGGTGGCACACACCTGTAGTCCTAGTTACTCAGGAGGCTGCTTGAGCCTGGGAAGTTGAGGTTGCAGTGAGCCATGATTGCACCACTGCATTCTAGCCTGGGAGACAGAGTGAGACCTTGTCTCAAAAAACAAAAAAAAAGAAAAAACGAAAAAAAAAAAAAGAGGAAGGCAGCAGAGTGACAACTGTTCTAGAAACCAAGGTTCATCTTGAGAGAGATAGATATGTGGAAGTATGCAAATAATGGAAAAATGATTTTAATGTCATAGTAGAAGTTATCAGTGTAATTATGACTGTTAGGAATGGGAACATAATCAACAACAAAATCAGAAAGCATAATAAAACATCACAATTAACAGGAATAAGAGAATAAGCAGAAATTCAACTAAGCCAAATATATGAATATTTCCTGTGTTTGCCTTCCCAATATTCATTTCTCCCTTCTTCTGCTAACATTACCCAGATGTTCTTTTCACTCAATAAACACTAATGCAGCACTTGCTATTGGTGCCATGTGCTTTTCTAAGTTTTTCACAAATTTTAACTTTTTTAATCCTCCTAGTAGTTCATTTTACTGAAGAGGGACAAAAAGAAGGTAGAAATAGGCACTTGACCCAAGATGAACAAACTGTGAGCACTTTATTGAATGTTCTGCTAGAATTATTGTTAAAAAGATACTTTCTTGGCTGGGCGTGGTGGCTCACGCCTGTAATACCAGCACGTTGGGAGGCCAAGGCGGGTGGATCACTAGGGCAAGAGATCGAGACCATCCTGGCTAACACAGTGAAACCCCGTCTCTATTAAAAATACAAAAAATTAGCTGGGCATGGTGGTGGGCTCCTGTGGTCCCAGCTACTTGGGAGGCTGAGGCAGGAGAATGGCGTGAAACTGGGAGGTGGAGCTTGCAGCGAGCCGAGATCGCACCACTGGACTCCAGCCTGGGCGACAGAGCGAGACTCCGTCTCAAAAAAAAAAAACAAAAAAAATGTTGGCAGGAAAAGAAAGCATTACCAAATGTTCTCTTAGAACAAAGAAAAGTCAACTCTTAAAAACTGTTCCTCCATTTCCAGAAGTTCCATGATTCTACCATTCCACAGAAGAAATCAAATACCTTCACATGAGCAACCAGCACAGTAACAATGGCATTTAACACACATGGATGCACCCCTACATGTTGACTCAGAAATTACACTTTGGAGACTCTTTTATAAAAATAAAAATACCGGCCAGGCACGGTGGCTCACACCTGTAATCCCAGCACTTTGAGAGGCTGAGGCGGGTGGATCACCTGAGGTTAGGAGTTCAAGACCAGCCTGCCCAACATGGTGAAACTCCATCTCTACTAAAAATACAAAAATTAGCCAAGTGTGGTGGCAAGTGCTTGTAATCCCAGGTACTTGGGAGGCTGAAGCAGGAGAATCACTTGAACCCAGGAGATGGAGGTTGCAGTGAGCCAATACTGTGCCATTGCACTCCACCCTGGGCAACAAGAGTGAAACTCTGCCTCAATATATATATATATATATCTCAGTACCTAAGTGTATATTTGCTTATTTCACTATTGCCTGTAATGACCAAAGGACACAGAAAAAAACTGGAAACCAAGTGACTATCCATTAGTAGAAGATTGGTTGACTAAATGGTGGTTCATTTGTGAAATACTATCTTGCTGTGGTTTGAAGGAGTTAAACCTACTGTATATTGTTTGATCCACACTCTTAGCCACCACCCAATACTGTGTCCCAACAAAATCTATATTAGAAAGAGTATTTCACTTTTATAATGAAGGACGAATACAGATATAGTTTTAAAAGATGAAACAAACAGGTCATCTCTCTGCTGAGACTCTTGCTGTAATCTAGTGGCCTTACTCTCCAGGCACATTCCTGCACCCCAGCCATTTGGAAGAGGGAGGCTGGGCACCCACGACTAGCCAGAACTGCCTTCCCCAAATTCAGACAGCAGAAGCAAGGGAGGACCCTGGAGTCAGGCCGGGAAGGCAAGCAGAGGGGATAAAATGTCATCAGTTCCTCCTGACAGGTGAGCAGTGGTGGGAAAAAAAAAAATGGAGCTGGGATTTGGGTCTGATGAAGAAACTAGGATTTGCTCATTGAAAACTCAGGTCATATGGGGCCAGCAGAACAAGGAACAGCAGTGGGTTAAGTGAGTAGGAAGACTTCGGAGCCAGAATAACCTGGGTTTGGAAATTCTGGTTGTTCCACAACCAGTGAGGCTAGGCAGCTGCCTCACCCTATTTTGTCTTTTGTCAAATGGGAATAATGACATTTACCTCCTAGGTGTGATGAGAAGAGTAAATGCAGTGATGAATGTAAAATAGACACTGCAGATGCTCAACAATAACTGCCATCATTATTTGCATCTGGGTATGTATCCATTCATAGCAGATGCTCAGCAATGGCCACCAGCATCAGCATCATCACAGTGCTTTCCTAGGCTTCCCTGGAGACAAAAAGAGAGGGAGAAGGTTTTCTCTGCCCTCCTTGCTCCCTGCTCCATAACCCCAGAACCTCCTTGTGTTTCCTCTTTTATTATCTGCACGCAGCTGAGGAACGCAGCCTTTAAACAGCCTAAATGGCAGGAAGCCAAGGAAGGCACCATCACAAGAGTGTCCTGGTAATAACTGGCCTTGATTCATTAATGCAAATGGTTTGAGTGTGCACTGTGCCGATGAAGACACCAGGATTTGAGAACCAAGTTTAGTTATCTCTTCCAGGGCTAAGTTTTGATTGGTGTATGTGAGAGAAAGAGAGACGGGGAAACAGAGACAGACAGAAACACACACACAGAAACAGAGACAAAGGCAGAGCCAGAGACAGAAGGAGGGAGAGAATACTGGCTTGCTTTACCCAAGAGTAGAGCAAAGAGGGAGATAGTATCATGAAGTTCAAATGTCATTCACGAAAACCAGAAAGTTATTACCCTCATGTTCATGCAGATCGATCCTGTAGGTATTTAGATAGAAAATGCTCTGCTCTTGATAAGCTGTTTGGCTCAGTCATCCAACTCTATTGTGTCATCTGAATCTGGTTGGATAGCTAGGCAGCAGGGGTGGTACCAGTGGACTGGTAAATGTACAGGACCTGAAGATCAGAGGGTTCTTTGTTCATTCCCTCCCAGACAGGGTGAGCCACAGCTACCTCCCAGACAGAAGGAAAGCCTCTTTTTAAAAGATCCTTGAAGCCCCTCTGATACTGCTTGTCACTCGGACTCTTTCCAAAGAAAAGAAGTCTCCCAACTTTCTTGCTTATGTGCTCACTGCTCTCAGGATCAAGAAACTCTTCCCCTGAATTTCCACGGTGATTTTACTGTGTGTTAAACACTCCCTCCTTGATAGAAGCAGAAAACAGCGACGTCCCTCTTCTCTGAATAAACTGTCCCTCACAGAACTGCAGGACATCTTTCTGTCTTCCATGAAAAAGGTCCCAATCCCAGACTTCACAACTCTGCCCTAATCATAAACACACCTCTCTGTCCTGTCCCTGTCTCTTTCACCACACTTCAGGCCCACTAACACGGCAGAGATGACAGAAGAGGCGAAAATAGACAGCTTGCATGCAGGATTAGAGTTGGGGGTGATGTCTTCTGTTAACTGATGCTGAGTGCTGACTCTCCTGGTATCCACGTGGGCCTTGGTCTTTGAGACTAACCCGATTCTTTTATCTCACCTGGCGTCCTGAACACCCTATTGTCTGCCTGTCATGTCTCTTTTCTTTATAGCCCTCACCTATTTCCTCACCTATCTATCACCTTTATTCCCTCACCTGTCTATCACCTTCAAGTCTCTGTTAGCAGCCACAGTGGCCCTGGTGTGTAGTCACTGAAAATATCCCTCTCCTAGTAGGCTGGCCAGCCTCTTTCAGCTTCACCACTTCCCTCTCATCACTTCACACTAGGAAGCTGAAGTTAGTTTGATTTTATCTCCCTTGGCAAAATCGTAGCTCCGTGACTCCATAATTCAAGGCAGCTGCCCTGGGTTGGCCTTCTCATTCTGTCTATTGCATAACAAGCTCCTTTGTTCCTGCCTGAGTGTCGACGTTGCTTAAATGTGACAATGCTCCCTTTGTTCTTCTCCTCCCAGTGCATCCACGTCAGCGGTTCCACACCACTCCACCATGAAAACCAAATCAGCAGAGGCCCCCTGGAAACTGATGAGTGATGCCTCAGAAACTCACCCCAGATGCTAAGGAAATGCCCATTATTGGCCCCTTCTTTGTTGTCTCAGAATTGCTTTAGGGCCTTGTCACTTTGTCAGTCACACAAGTAATGAGCTGTTAGGTCTCACCTACCTCAGCCAATTTCATGGTCATTTCTGGACTCACTTAAGTTTCCCTAGCATTATAGATTCCCAAGCAAGACAGTGACCTGAAGAGGTCATCGGATCCATCTCCAGCTTCCAGCCTAACCAACTGCCTGTCCATGGTCTAAGGCTACTGTTCCCTTCAACCTTCGTAAAGATCCCGGATGAAGGAGGTATTCTATTCCCATTTCACAGATGAAAAGAATGAGGCTGGGTGAGGACACGAGGCTAGGAAGAGGTGGCACTGGCCAGAAACCCAGATGAGGGGCTCATTTCCCTACCTTAGAATGGCCCTACAGAATTAGGAAAAACAGTTCAAGACCATTTTCTCCTCTGCTTCTCGGCTACCCCTGACGAGGAGTAATAGGGCTTGAAAGAGGGCCTATGGTCCAAGAAGTAACTGAGTCCCATGATTTAATTCTGTGAAGCAGGGTTCCTTGGGGAATGAGGGCAGAAGGTAAGCATAACTATTGTGTTGACAACAAAACCCCAAGATGTTGCAGATAGCACAGTCCCTGGAAGCCAGGGCTTTCCTCTCAATGTCCCCTAGTATGGGGGAAAGAGAATAGAAGCACTGGTGAAATACAAACTCACAAGTCTCCAGCCCAAGCCACAGCTCCCCATTGAGGTCTTCTAGACAGGGAATCAGTCCAGCAGAGGAGCCTGGAAATGTAGGTGATGATTCCAAGTCTCTCTTGCTAAAGTTGCTGGCTTCCTGCATATTTGGATCCTACAGCTTAGCTGCCTCGCTCTGTGAGATGAGACTCCCTGAGTTTGGTTGGGAGCAGGTCCCCCTCCCTAAGCTAAAGAATTGGTGGGGGTGCTGATATACTTTGGATGTTTGTCTCTCCCTACCCTGCACCCCCACAATCTCATGTTGAAATATAATCCCCAGTGTTGGAGGTGGGGCCTGGTCTGAAGTGTTTGGATCATGGGAACAGACCCCTCATGAATGGCTTGGGCCATCCCCTTGGTGATAAGTGAGCTCTCACTCTGAGTTCACATGAGAACTGGTCTTTTTAACATGTGTGGCACCTCCCCATTATACACACTCACTCTCTCTCACTCCCATTTTTGCCAGATGAGGTGACTGCTTTTGCTTCACCTTCTGCCATGAGTAAGTTTCCTGAGACCTCCCCAGAAGCAGATGCCAGCACCATGTTTCTTGCACAGCTTACAGCACCAGGAGCCAATTAAACCTCTTTTCTTATAAATTACCCAGTCTGATATTTCCTTATAGCAACACAAGAACAGCCTAATACAGGGGGTTACCTCCCCCATTTTGACCTCCAGCTCCCTAACATGACTGTTAATGTCTTGATGGAACATGCAGGTTTGGGGGCTAGTTAGGCTGGCAGGTTTTTTTCTTTCCTTTTTTGTTTTCCATTAGCAACAAGAGCTGCTCCCATAGCCAGGCTCTCTCTCTCTCTCTCTCTCTCTCTCTCTCTCTCTCTCTCTCTCTCAGCACTTGGAGAAATGCATGGAAACAGGGTCACCAGCCCTTCAGCCACCCCTAACCCTCCCACCCACCAAAGCACTGCCTATTCTCCTGCTTGGCAAGAGCATAAAACCAGGCTGACTGGGGCTTGCAAGCTTTCATAAGAGAAGGTGGAGTGGGGAGGGAGGTGGAGACCTGGGTGGGGTGGGGGGTGGACAGGAGAGAGAAAGAAGGGGAGAAAGGAGGGTTGAGGAGAGAGTGGGGGAGGGAAGAAGGAAAACGGAAAAGAAAGAAGGGGGATGCTGACTGATAAAGCAAGGAAGGAGTAAGATGGGAGAAAAGGACAGATAATAACAAGTGCTCTCTGTGGCAGTGCCATTTGTTTCAGAGCCGGGTTGTGCATGTTTCTGGCTCCATGCTCATGCAGGATTGGCTGAAGCTGACAATGGTTTTCCTGGGGGTGACCCAGGCTGAGCAGCAGAAAATAGAAACTGTTCTAATAGTAATGATAACATTAATAAATAAAAGAAACTAATGTCGAGGGTAATTGGGTTGCAAGAAAAGCTTGCTGCAGTGAGAGAGAAGCCATTTCACTGCCCATTTGACTTCACTTGGTGTCTAGTGAGGGCATTTTAAATGCCTTAGAAATGTAGTATTTTTAAGCTAGGAGAAACCTCGGGCATCTTAGGGGTTGTTCAACCCCCTCATTTTACAGAGAAGTCTCAGAGAAACTAAATTATGTTCTCAACACCACTCAGCAAGTTAACAGCAGACTCTGACCCGGGGAAATCCTGACTTCCAATTGGAGAAGCAGCTTTATAGAGCTGAGAGTCTGAGGTCTTTGGAGTTAGCTCTGAGTTCTAATCCAGTTCGGCCCCTCTGGCCCAGCAGGAGAGACTTGCTCCTTTAGAGTTTCCTGTAAGGGAAGGGTTTTGAGAAATATTGCAATAGAAGAATGAATGTTTCTCTTTTTTCATCATGAGCCTTGGTCAAAAAGTGCAATCCCTTGAGTATAGCAGGCACCATAATCTCTCCTCATGGTGTTGAAGGCATCACAAGGACAACTCTCTAGATTAGCCCAAGATCCCAAAAAGCCACAGGTCAGAGGGCATTCTGGATCTTTCAATGAGAAGAACATATTATAAAGTATTCCACCCCACAGCTGGGACTGGACACTTTTGCCCAAGTTACATGATGCTTTACCAAGGTTTTCCTTTTCCTTTCCTCATCCCAGGTCTATTTTCATCCCTCCCCATCCGTCCACCTCACAGTGTAGGGCTGCACTGTCCAATATGGTAGACACTCACTAACGTGGCTATTTAAATTTAAATTCATTAAAATTAAATAAAATTTAAAATTCAGTTCCCTGTAGTTGAAGAGTGACGTGTAACCAGTGACTACCATATTGGACAACACAGTACAGAACATTTCTATTACTGCAGAAAATAATAATGAATATTAATGGTATAGGCCCACTTCTGTGGTTTGGTTGTTATGTTTGTCTTAACAGTTTCCACTAAAAATTGCTGCAAGCCCAGGCATTGGCTGGTTTGCAGATCCCTGAACTTGAGGACAGCATTGCTTCACATTCCTTCCTGACTGCTCGCTGACTGTTTGTTGAGGGCACTGCAGGTGCATGCCCCTGCGAGCGGGTCCTGTGCCTCCTTCTGGAGTAGCAGATGAGTAGGAAGGGGTAGCTCCTTGCTGCCTGTAGTGTACTGACCTGCTGGTCTCTTTCTTTCTTCATCTTCATCCCTGACTTTCTCTGTTACTTCCCCATGTCCCCAGTGACTGCAGGTTAAATGGCTTAACCAATTCTTCAAGCTCCAAGGACCTGCTGGGTTGAGCTCATCATGGGGTTGGGGGGATGGGATTGATCACCAAATTCCTAATTGACTCATCCCTCCTCCCCACTTTCCTAGTTTCCCTCTCCTCACCAAGACTTCAATTTCCAGTCCAATATATGTGCTAACAATGAGAGATCAGCCACAGCTACCTGCAAATATGAATCCCAAGAGAAAAGCCCAGGCTCATGTTTCCAGGCAATTACTGGTTTCTCCTAGAAAGAAAGGAAAGGAGAGATAGGGAAGAGGAAAGAGCTTCCTCAAGTGCCGTTTATTTTGCCAACTGAGCGAATGGAAACAAGACTAGTGGAAGATCATAACCACCAATTTCCTCAACCATACAGAATGCTCATCTGTCTTGGCTTCTTTAGTTCTTGTTCCCAGCTAAAACTCCTTCTATTCGCTCAGATGTCTTATTTGTTCACTCATTCATTCACCTACTCATTTTCCCAACCAAAGATTCTGATTTCTGCCTATCAGAAACACCTGGGGAGTCTTTTTCAAAGCACACAAGCCCAAACAATAGCCCAGACAAACTGAATCTGAGTTCATGAATGATGGGATGGGGGTAGGGAGGGAGGGGCACAGAGAGTGGAAGGGGAATAGGGCCTGGGCTTGTTTGTTTTGCCAAACATTCCTGAGTTATTCTGTTGCTGGCTCTTGGGTAGGAAGCCCTTCATTCATTCATTCCTTTCTTCATCACTCATTCAGCAAACTTCCCTTGAATGCAAAGGATACATTAGCTGATGGGTAGACAATGGAGCTGATGCTCAAATGCACAGGTTCTCAGGCTTGGCTACACAACAGAAATACCTTGAGAACTTTGAGTATCCTGATGCCCAGGTCATGCTCCAGAACGATTCATCAGAATCTCTTGAGGGAGGGACTCAGGCATCAGCATTCTTTAAAGTATTTCATGTGACTCCAATATTGCAGCGTCGGGATGGAAGAAGTCTATGAAATCATCATGGGGAGGTTGTCACTTAGCCTTTTTGAGGAGATCAACAAAGCTTCCCTATGGATGGACACAGTCACAGTGAGCATCCTAGCCAGCTACACATCTTTAGTATCCTTCACTGAGCAGGAATTAGGGTCAACAAGATGGAGAGGACTGACCCAAAGCACAGTTGAAAAGGGCATAGGTGTGAGTGCCATCCAGAGAAGGAAGAAGTCTACTTCAACCCCTCAAGTTGTTCAGAGCATAAACTTGAAGTAGCCTCGCCTTATTAACAACATGAAACCTGTTTCAAAACAAGATGCTTCTAGGGTCACAGAGATGCCACCATTTCCAGGGGAGTGGCCATTGGATGGGGGCAGGGGTGTCCATCTCTCACCTCACTCCACTATTTTTACTTTTTTGTCAATATCTTTGTCCATGCTTTTATCAACATTTTTTGAGCACCTACCCTCAGTCAGGCACCTTGCCAGACGTTGGAGACCTAGAAATGAAAAAGATTTGATTCCAGGCTGGGCACGGTGGCTCTTGCCTATAATCCCAGCACTTTGGGAGGCTGAGGTGCGTAGATCACTTGAGGTCAGGAGTTCAAGACCAGCCTGGCCAACATGGTGAAACCCTGTCTCTACTAAAAATACAAAAATTATCTGGTTGTGGTGGCAGGCACCTGTAATCCCAGCTGCTTGGGAGGCTGAGGCAGGAGAATCACTTGAACCCGGGAGGCAGAGGTTGCCGTGTCATCGCACTCCAGACTGGGCGACAGAGCAAGACTCCGTCTCGGAAAAAAAAAATAAAAAAATAATAAACACACACATACACACACACACACACACACACACACACACACACACACACACGATACTTGGTTCCAACCCTCAGTGAGCTCATGATCTTGGGTAGGATATAAGACCTGGGCATCTGGTCTCAGTTTCTTTTACCACACATTGAGGGCATAATGAAGGAAAATCTCTGAGGTTCTAAAAGGCCCTAATGTCACACACTTCTGTGACACTCTGATGGGGGTTAAAATGGGGAGATGTCTTTTGCCTCTTAAGCTGACTTTTCTAGGCGGCTAGTGAATCAAGAATTTACTTTTTTGGTGTTTTGAGGCTGGTCCAGCTCTCCACTTCTAGAAATCGAAGTAAATGTAAATCACATGTCTATAACCAAAAATGTGGCTCTGATGAGAGACATGCATTCTGCTGAGCCTGGAGTAGATGTGTGGCAAGACCCAGCCCATTCCCTTTCACTCTTCAGGGATCCCCGTCTCCTGTCTGTCCCAACCCAGGAACAGCACCATGTGAGAACTTCTACCTGTTGAGGCATTGCCCTGTGCATTTCTACTTACAGAGTAGTTCGTTTGTCTATGTTGTCATGTTGCAAGCCCAAAGTCTGATCAGTTTGCTTCTGCCCAGCAGCTCTTAGAGATGACCCCTCCTCAGGAAGTCCTCACAGGCCATTAAGGGTTTCTCAATGCAGGGTAAGAGCCTTCCAAATTTGAAGGAAAAGTTAGCGGAGTTCACATTCTGTTCTGCATGGCACCAATTCCCTTCTCTTTTATCATACAATTTCCAAAAACCGCAAAAGGAAGGCTATGCTATAGTTAGGGCGGGGGTATGGGGGGGCGCAAGAATGTTAGAATGGAGCAAGGACTGGGTTCAAATCCTAGCTTCTTTACTTATAATTAGGCTGAGCCAATATGAAGTTGATGATATTTTTCCATTTTCCACTCACAAAAGCAGTAATTCCATATGTGTCAACTCAAAATAACTAGATTAATTTACACTCTCTTTGTCTCAGTTTGTTTATCTGTAAAATATAGGTAAAGTTATGTATCTACCTGGATTAAGAAGCTCAAAAGAGATGAGTAGTAATGTGCCCAGACAGTACCTGAACATACCCCCTTTCATATAAAAATCGAATAGTCCAGATCTACTAAATGCCAGGCCAATGGTTCAAAAATGGCAGCCAGCATTATTATAATAGGTTCTTTGACAGCATTTTTTGACAGAATCCTGGTCATCCCTCCTTGTCCTAAGCTCAGGCTGCTCCAAAACCCATGTCACATCCACAGCGGAGAAGGCTCTGATGTGGCAAAGGACCTGGGTGGCCCAGACACAGGGTCCTTCTGAGCTTTACTCTTCCCCATGTGTGGAGCTGGAGCAAGCCACGCCCTGTAAGACCCTCGGCTCTCCCCCTGCTGCAAAGGTGATGGTCAACTCTTACCCCAGAGCTGATTTTGAGAATTAAAGGATTACATATATAAAGTGCCTGGTACAGAACAGAGTAGGTTGTTTATCAATGGCCTAAGGTCACAAGGGATGTGGGGTAGAGACTCTGATAGAAGCAGAGGAGGGGCTCAGGGAGGACAGGGAGGTGGAGGAAGCTGAAAGCCAAGAGAAGCTTCCTTACACACACACAAGGACACCACCTTGGGGAGAGGTTTCTGACTTTCGAGACCCTGAGGGAAGGGTCTCCTCCCACTAGAAACTGTACTGGAAAGTGAGAGAGAAAAAGTGAGCAACACGATTACTGTACCCACCAGCAACCAGATGCCGGATGCAGTGAAGCCTAGGAGCCTTAATTGGGGATTAGAGGCAGAACTTTATCCACGCACTGCTTTGGTGGCCTCATTAAAAGCTGGAAAATTCTCCATGCAGGTGCAGTGACATTTTGTGAAGTGACCTGGAGGCTGGCTAAGCCCTAGGGAGCATCCTGCCCAGGTCGGACACTGTGATAGCCTGCCCTTTCTCCTGCCCAGTGTGACAGGAGTTTACCCTTCCCATCTTCACCTCCTGCAGCACCTGCCATGAGTGACAGAGTGAAGACAGACTCACAAAAAGACTTGTGCCCATTTGGGGCCAGGTGATGATGCCAGGCAATCCTGGTGTCCCCATATCTCTTGTCTGCCCAGGGGCCACTTGGGCTGAATTTCCATCCTAAGTTTAGTAAAACCTCTTTAAAACTCAAAACCTAAAGGTTTATCTTGAAAATGCAAGGGATAATGACCCCTCAAGCTCTATTTCTCATGATGCAGGTGGTAAAATCCATCACCTTCTTTGATTGTCATACTGATCCTTAAGTGAGGCAAGACAGGAGATATTGTTCAGATTTTGCAGAGGTAGAAATTGAAGCTTGAAGATGGGGAAGTTCCAGGGTTGAGACCTGAGACCAGGTCTTCTGATGCTCTTATTCTGAAGCCTTTCAAGGAAGGACAACTGGTCCTCATCTGTTGGCTGGAGCTGGAAGGAGTGACCTTTGGCAGGTCCTGTTGACCAGGTGTCCAATGGCCTTTACCTCTGGACAGGGCAGCATCTCCTCCAGTCCTCCTGGTCCTAGGAGATTAACCGATCAGCAAATAATCATGGATTGAAACATAATTTGCTGAAGGTATCATGGAAGTTACAAAGAAGGATGATTCCTGCTCTGACTTACGGAGCTCATGGCCTAAATGGGGAGCCAAGACCGACAGACATTTATGATGAGTAGCGATAGTATCACATTCAGTTTATCTGAGAGTTTGTCCAATGTCAAAGCACGTTATTACTTGGGATTATAATCTCCTCTGTATCTGTCTGTATGTAAAGTATTTGGCTTGATATGCCCTGGAAAGCAAAAATGTGAAGCTTTTATTATTATTATTACTTAGATTATTTTTCACTGGACTGCACACTACTTGAGGGTGAAGCTATGTTTTCTTCATCATTGTGGCCTCTGCACATCATTTTGCGTGTTTTGAAGGAAATACAGAATTAATGTTTGCAAATGTTGAATGAATGAAGGTCATTTAAACTTCACAAGAAGTCTGTGGAGTGATTTTTTTTCCTGTAAAGACAAGGAATCTGAGACACAAGTAGGGAAAGTGATACGCAGTTAGTGACAGAGCTCCTGGGGCAAGAAGACATCCTATGCCAAGTGTAAAAGGAAGACATGGGAATTCTGCACTGGGAAGGTCAGGGAAGACTTCATGGAGGAGGTGTCACTTTTATAGGCTCTTTCATGAGTGAGTTTCAGAAAGGCATAAAAGAAAGAGGTATCAATGAGGGGGAACTGCATGAACAAACTCCTGAAGAGGCAGGAATGCACCGCACAGAGAAGGTTCAGTGACAAAGGGTCCAACCAGGTAGACAGGGACCAGGTCTGGGAGGGCCTTGAACATCAAGCTGAAGGTTGAGGCTAGGACTGGGGCACTACCTGGACCACTGTCCACCTGAGGACACCAACTTTGGGCCTACATCCATCCAATGTGGGGGCTCTGTGTCAGTGCTAGTGAGTGTCAGATCCGGGAAGCATGGGAGCACTTTCACCCAGGACAGGACAGGGCCGTGTGCTGGGCAAGGTGAGTCATTCATCATCACCAGGAAAAGGTGAGCAATCTGCCCAGGCTCTAATGAGAAAGATTGGAGCCCACAAGCACATGTTTATTACTGAAGGTGCCACATTAATTATGGACTCTGAAAGGGGAGGGAGAAGTCATGGGCTCACACTGGGAAGCAGAGGACTGCCATCCATCTGGAAGAAGTGGCCAGAGTGATGTGCATGCTACTCTGAGCCTGGCCCAGATATTGCTCAGTGCCCTGAGAAATATCCACACAGCTCGCATTCATTCATTTGCTCAGCAAATATTCCTTAAACACCAACTGGTCACAAGGCACCTGTGTAAAGGCCTGGGCTCGGTGCCCTGGAGGACCTCAGAATCCAGTGACTGTTGGAGACAGATGCACAATCAGATATTTGGGATAAAGTCTGCTGGGATGGAGTCGAAGTGTGGGCACATCACCTGGCCTGGAGGTGACCAGGATGGGTAGGAGTTAGCTACAGCACCCTTGTAAGGCACTTAAGGGGCTGATTCTTCAGCCTGTCAGCAATGAGAGCCACTGAAAGAATGGAGAGGGATGTCACATGGTCAGATATGCTCTATTGCACTGCACATCACCCCTGGCCACCCCTGCCTCCTGATGGGGCCTTCTCTCTTCTCTCCTTCCACCTTGCCTGTCCTGGACTCCATCTCTTCAGGGACAAGGGGTGCCAGAGTGCTATGCTATGGGGCTTCTGGAATTGGTTTGTCCACACCTGGGCATATGTTTGAGGGCAGGACGACCACAGGTGGGATTCATACCACATGGACTAAGTGCTCATTTTGTTGCCTCCATCCAGCCCCAAAGGGCTACGGAGGCTCCCCTTGGCCTAAGGTATAAGGCAGCTATAACAGACCAAGAGCCATCATGGGACCTTAGGATCAGAATGAGGGGGCTGGAGCCTCCTAGAGACCACCTGGTGAGAAATAGTGCAACAGCACTGAGCAGGACTCTGAAAGACCCCAGGTCCCCAGCACAGGAGCTCTGTCATCCTGATTCACCTCTCAGGCCTTAGCAAGCTCTCTTCTCTCTACCTGGTCCTCTTCTCCACTCTGCCCTCCCTCCTGCTCTCTCTTCTCATTTC
Source organism: Homo sapiens (assembly GCF_000001405.40). Lineage (NCBI taxonomy): Eukaryota > Metazoa > Chordata > Mammalia > Primates > Hominidae > Homo > Homo sapiens. The sequence goes on from NC_000011.10 coordinate 113,516,169, forward strand.
CACTGCCCATTCACCTGGGCAAGGTAATCATTCCTCTTCCCCAAATCCTTGGAAACCAGAGCCCTGATCCTAGTGAGAGGTGGGAGCAGGATTAGGGAAAGAAGGATCCCAGACCAGAATTCAGAAAGCATGTGTCCAAGGTTCAGTTCAGTATTGAGTGCACAGCCTGGTGGAACTGTGAATGCATAGATGAGCTCTGGATCTCAGCACAGTCACTTTCTAGCTCTGACTTTGGAAGGGTCACTTTACCATCTAGGCTCTTCTGATTCTTCCACATCTGTGAAATACTGAGTAAAAAGTGTCCTGCATAGAATTGCTGAGATGATCTGTTGTGGTAGCTATGAGTCTAGCATAACACCCGACACTCAGGAAATACCAGGAGACTCTTAAGAAAATACAACTCTGAGATGTGTAAGTTCTTGTGGAAGGATCATATCCAAAGTGGGAAATTAAATCTCTTTGAGGGGGAAAGATCCTTTTCACAGCTGTGGACTTTCAGGATGGTCATTTTTGAGACACTTGCTTCCACTGAAATTGAGATTTAAAAAGGCTTAGCGATTTGGCCAAGGTCACACCACTGGTTCTCAACCTTGGTCTTCTCTCATTCCATTATTCAAAGACATTCAGCAAACATTCATTACATCCTCACCAGATGCCAGGCACACCCAGGATTCTCTCCATTATACCCTACCTGGGTACAGGGTGGAGGCTCCCCAAATGCCCGTCATGAGAGACCATCTTATTCACCCTCCTCGTCCCATAGGTGAGGAATAGAGCACTGGCAGGACACATCTACCAATCACTGGGCTTGGAAGTGTAGAAGCAATTCTCAGGGACCTGCCTCCTGATTCCTGGCCTGGGATCCTTCCTTCCCTAATATCTCTCCCTCCTCTTGCTAAGATTAGGGCTCTGTTTCCCAAGGATTTGAGAACAGCAATGCCTACATGGATGGGTAGTGGCAACAAGAAGAGAGGGAGGGAGGGCAGAGTAGACAAGAGGCCCAGACAGAAGAAAGAGAGCTTGTTAAGGACATATTATCCCCAAGACAGGAGAAGTGTTCAGCAGCGCCCTCCAGGAATATTCCAGGTGGTCCAGGTAAGGCTTAAGAAACTCCAGGTATGGAATGGTGGCAAAGCTCCTCCAGAGGGGTCTCCCAAGGTCAGCTCCAGGGTCCTCTGTCTGCTCTTGGTATTTGGATGTAGAGTTCCTACTTGCACTCCTGTCCATCCTTGGCTCCTCAGGGACTGTGTGGATAGGTATAAGGCAGAGAAATGGATATAGGGGAGGGAGGGAGGGAAGGAGAGACAACTATGCCTCCCGTCCAAATCCCATTCAAACTACTACCTCAGGGCAAACTAGTGTGTGTGTATGTGTGTGCGCATGCACGTGTGAGCGCATATGCGTGCACGTGTGTGTGTATGAGTCATGGTTCTTCAGAGAAACAGAACCAGTAGGATATGAATGTGTAAAGATTTATTATAAGGAATTGACTCACATGATCATGGAGTTTGGTAAATTCAAAATCTTCAGGGTGGGCCAGCAGGCTGGAGACCCAAGAGAGCTGATGTTCCAGTTCAAGTCCAAAAGCTATCTGCCATAGACCAGAAAGACCTGATGTTGTAGATGAAATCTGAGGATAGCCTGCTGGAGAATTCTGTTTTGCTTAGAGAAAGCTGGTCTTTCTGTTCTGTCTAGGACTTCAACTGGTTGGACAAGGCCCACCTGCATTATGAAGGGCAATCTCTTGACTTGAAGTCTACCAATTGATATGCAAGTCTTATCAAAAACACTGTCACAGAAACACCTAGAATAATGTTTAACAAAATATCTGGCACCCCATGGCCTAGTCAAGTTGACACATTAACCATCACTGTGTGTGGGGGTGGGGCGTTGGGGTATGGTGTTTGGTGGAGGAGTTGAAGGCCTAGTGTCTCTCATACCCAAGCCAGGAAAGGTTCCTGCCATGGAATTTAGTCATGAGAAACCAAATCTCATTGAAATGTCCTCTCAGCAAGTCTGAGGAGGTTATGCTTAGACCTGAGTGTGAGCATGTACCCATACCAGTGTAGACTGACTGTGTCATCTAGTGGGGGTCCTGTATGTTGGAGTTTTGTGCCATTCTCTGTCCAGGTCTCAGTGTCAGGGGGTGGATGTCGCCAGATAAGGGTCACAAGGAGCCCGGGGCTCTGTGCATCCTGGCCAAGGAATTGACTCCCTGTTCCTCACATCTGCACTGACTGCCACTTCCCCAGAGCTAATGACATGTCACTGTCCAGAAAAGCTCTCAATGTCCCGTTCAGGGCTCTCTTTGTGAGATCACACAAGCACTAAGTGGAAAGTGCCATGTCAAAATACTCGGTGTCAGGCTGATACATTAATTAGGGAGGCAGCTGCACCACCTAGCCCAAGATGCAAGTGATATATGTTTATCAAGCAAAAGAAAATGTCACCCAGGACACAGAGCAAATCCTGGTATTCTCAAAACAGGAGCTAGCTCCCAATTATCTAATGAGAAATGCCACTGTTTGCCTCACTCATCTGGTCTTGCACCTGACACTCTTTTACCTAAACTGCACTTCTCCTGTTGGAATTCAATCCCATTTCCTTTTTTTTAGTGTCTATTATAGAAATAAGGAATAGCCAGCTGCCCTCCATTCTCCAAGGCCTCTCTTTTCTCCCTAACTAGTGCTGCCACCTCTACCACACTCACGTTCCTATCTCTGCACTGTCTTATCTTCCCCGTGATCTATTTCCCATTCCTGTGCAGCGCCATGCTGGTTTCATTTCTACAGCTTTGAACTCATTTTCACATATGGCCAAATGAAGTTCCCTTCTTAGTTCTTCTTTCTGAAAATTGTTTTAGCTATTCGTGCCCTTTATTCTGCCATGTGACTTTTGGAATTATTTTGTTGACTTTCTGAAATATGCTTCTGGGTTTCTGATTAGAACTGCATCAAATGTAAAGATTAATTGGAAAGAAATGGTAGCTTCGCACTGCAGTCTCCACATTCATAAATATATTACATCTCTCCACTTGTTTGTTTTCATATAATTTTCTCCAGCAAGGTCTTGTACTTTTGTGGTTAGGTTTATTGGTTTGGGTTCCCCAAGAAGCAGCCTCTGAGTCAATAGTTCAAGCACAGTTTATTGAGAGGTACAAGAAATGTGGGGAGAGGTGATACAGGGGAGGAAGGCAGGCAATAAAGGTTGCATTAATAAATCAGCTTCCCAATGGGTGACTGGAGCTTAATCCTGCAGGAACATTCTGGGAAACAATACAGTATACATGCTGCAGAATTATTTCAGCCAGGGGCAAGGGAGCTGGGATATTTATACCCCAACCTCCATCACTCCTTGGTTAAGGGTTGCCCTTGGGAAGATGTTAACTCCCAGGTGCTTCTGTCTGGGGCATGCAGGCAAATAAGTTCCCACCTCCCTGCCCTGAAGATGAAGGAGCTGGTGTCACAAAGAAAAGGTGAAGACAACCAAAGTGGTATCAGCACAGGATCCACAGCATCTGCCTTAGGCAGCTTACAGGAGAGATTATCTTTTTCTAGGAGGAAAACTAAGGCAATGGGTGAAGACAACAGGCAGCTCTACAGAGGTAATAGCTTCCTATATAGTCAAGCTGCTGTAGGAGGTTGTAAAGGCAGCCCTGCTAGCAGTTTTTGAGCAGAAGCTGGTGGATAGGTCAAGGATGTGTAGAAGGGATTCCATCCTTAACAAGTTTGGACAAGAGCAGCGATTCACAGCCTTTTTCTACAGAGGTCTCCTTGACAATGCTACTAACCTTAGACCCATACAAGCATAATTTCCAGCTCTTTCACCCAAGAAGGGTATCAGAATGCAAGTTACAAACTATAACTTTAGATCCACTGTAATTTATGAGGGTTTTTTGATGCAATGAATCATTTGCAACTTTTATTACTTGGTTGTTTGCCCCCAGCTGTGTGCAGCACTCACTCTGACTCCTAACAACACACCAGCTGTCCCAACCACCCACTGATTGGGAACGTCAGGGCCAGACGCTTTCTGAGGGTCTGACTCATGTCACTATTACTGAAGGTGCCACATTAATTATGGACTCTGAAAGGGGAGGGAGAAGTCATGGGCTCATGCTGGGAAGCAGAGGACTGCCATCCATCTGGAAGAAGTGGCCAGAGTGAGGTGCATGCTACTTCAACCACCCCCCACCCTGATCGGGAACTTCAGGGCCAGATACTTTCTGAGGATCTGACCCATGTCACTGACTTGAGTAGGCGGACAGGCCAGGGTGCTTTGTATGGGACCTGGCTCCCTGGTCCTCTGAGCTCCTCTTCCTCTCTTAGAAAATTGCTGGGCATGCTGAGCAACTTCATATCCATCCATCTGGAGTAAACATCACAATTAATTATTTGAGCCTGAACAATCCAGGTTTTGGGCACAGCAGGCTCCTAGAGGGGCTCACAGCTGGATAGCACCAGATGGATCCTCTGCATAGCAAAACTTTTAGAATAAGCTTTCAGAGGGGTGATTTCTCTTTGGGAAGCTGAGACTGAGTGAATGGGCCAGGAGAGAAATCAAACAATTTCTTGTAAGGGGCAGAAAAAACAAGGCACTCTTGATCCCAATGGACATTCCATCAGCTGTCTTCATTCTGTCAATAAACTCCTGGAGCTGCCACCAGTACTCAACGTGTCTCTTTCTTGATCCCTTCAGTAAATGTGAGTGCTTTGGGGTCCATGGAGTAATCAGTCAGAGAAGGGCCTAATGGGTAGAGCCACCCCCACACACTTATGGGCAGAGAGGTAGAGGCAGACCTTAGCTAGTTCTCCTAGATACTCTTCCGTTCCTTGGTCAACTTGAATCTATTGTTGATAAAAAAGATTCCCATATCACAACTGACGCCTTTGCAAATACAATATGCCTGGGGGTCAGAGCAGGTAGGTAAGTTGTGTTAGAACAGATGTTCCCCTATCCCTCAAGGTTTCTTCAGCTAAACTTCTTCACTCTGAGATTCATTTTGGGGCAGAGGTGCCATATTTAACTCAATTCAATAAATATTGAGCCTCTGCTCCATGCACAGAGCTAGCCATTATCCAAGGCACTGGGATGAACCACCCTGAAAGAAGTGACAGTTTAAATGGAGAAATAGACAAGTAAAACATAAATGCTAGTTCAGTGCATTATGTGAGTACAGTGATCCTTTTCCTCCCTTCTTCCTTCCTTCCTTTTTTCCTTCCCTCACTCTTTCCTCCTTTCCTTCCTGTCTTTCCTCTCTTCTTCTTTCATTCCCTGCTTTCTCCTTTCTTCCTTCTTTACTAATATTTCTGTAGTCTATTAGGTACCATCACATTTCTACTTGCTGGGAATGCAGTGATAGATAAAACAGATTCTTTGCTCATCTGAATCTTGGATTCTAGTGAGGAAGCGAGGAAATTAACAAACTAACATCAATAAAATAACTTACTGTGAAAGAAAGTAAATCAGTTAGAGGGTAAGGGGGTACTATTTTATATATTGTGGTCAGAGATAGCTTCTCTGAGCAGATGATTTTTGAGCAGAGACCTAAGTAAAGTGAGGGAAGAAACTACAGGAAAATGCAGGGAGGGTTCTAAGCCTAGGGAAGAGTACAGGCAAACGAACTGGCACAGCAGTTTTCAAAATAATGGGATGAGTAAGAGACACAAGGGAAGCTCGAGGTCAGGCTGTTTAATTTAAAAAGTGCAGAGGGAAGCAGCAAAGGGTTAAGAAGAGCTGCCCTCTGAGGCATGCCCAAGATGACTGTGCCTGGCTAGGGTTGGAAAGGGAGCTGATGGAAGGAGGAGCCCAAATGCAGGAAGCAGCAGTGCCCAGGCCCAGAGGCTGACCATGCAGGGCTCCTTCAAGGCACTGCAAGCACTCTCTTCCTAGGAGCTTGTGCTTGATCCCCCCAGGACTCCTAGGGTGGTCTGTGAAGCACAAGATTCATGAGGGGAGAGAGAGAGCATGACTGGGAATCAGGAGGCTGACTTTCTGAGACATTCCTTTCCCTTCTTACTCTTGTTTTCCCCATCCAGAAATGCAAGATGAGCACTCTTGCCCTCTCTGAGCACTGAACAGGCTGAAGGTCATAGAGTCCTTGCCATGTACAGTAGGAACTCTGGTTCTGAGCAGGCAGAGCCACACCTGCCTTCTCAGCTCCCCACTGTAGGTGGTCATCAGGACCTGAGGGCCCACTTGCAAGTCGGGCCATTCTCATCCTCACCTGGTCTCTGATCTCCCTTAAGGCTCAGACCCTGCTAACTCCTGGCAGGGCTTCCTAGGAACCATTCCTTTGTCTCTAAGCAGGGACACTCTTTACTGGGACCCAGGGCCTGACAACACAGTTGTAATGATAACTATATCAGCTAGAACTGTCAACTTCCAGTCTGACTAGAGCAATGTAAAGCTGGCATTTCTTCCTCCTCCTCTTGGAAATCACCTGAGAGCCAAGAGGCAAATGAGAGCCAGGAACACAAGACTCATCCTCACAAAGTAGGAGAGACCTGAAACCTGGAACCACAAGATAAATGGAGGGCCACCAAAATAGTGAAGGTGACATTGGAAGAAGAGCAGAGAGGATGCCCTAGCAGTGGAGCTCGGAGAGAACTTTCAAAATATGTTTATAGAAGGTGAGAAGCCCTCCTTGAGATATAAAACCTATACTCCCTAATTTCAAAACCAAGAACGGAGTAAGTCCATGAGGGTGGTGACAGGAAATATGCTAAATCTAATTCCATTAACAGAGAACACAGGTCAAGATAAAGTGTCACACAGTCAAGCCATATTTGCAAGAAACAGTACCCTAGTGACAGTGGGGCAGAGAGAGTCTTTGTCTTGTGAATAGCCACACAATTGCTCATGTTTACCAGCTTGAGACAAAACCCTAAGCTGCTCATCAATAAAATCAGGAGTCTTGACAAGAAATTCTGGTACCCTAGAAGGAAGCCCAGGCTGCCCCCAACACAAACCAACTACAAATAGCTGCTTCAGAATGAAACTCCCCTCCTTCAAAAGTGAGTATTTGAAAAACAGCCAGCACAGAATCTAAACAAAGACAAGGGAAAAAGAAGAAAGGAAAGGAGGGAAAAAAAATAGAAGATGAAGAGTTAATAGAAAAATATTTTCACTGAGACAGAATAAGCTGTGACTAAATATTTCACCATGATATTAAAAAAAGAAAGTAATGAGGCAATTACTTCAGTGAAGCAAAAGCGCTGAACAAAGATGAGAGAAATTACTACCTATTATCTAAAGAAGTAGGGGATTATATAGAGAATTAGCCGATATTGTCTAAAGAGATAGGGGTCACTTGAACCCGGGAGGCAGAGGTTGCAGTGAGCCGAGATCACACCACTGCATTCCAGTCTGGGCGATAGAGCAAGACTCCCTCTCAAATTAAAAAAAAAAAAAAAGTAAACTCTCAATAAGTATTTTCTGAATTGAATTGAAAATGGTTCCTCTCCCTCTCCCTCTCCCTCTCCCTCTCCCTCTCGCTCTCCCTCTCACTTTCCGTCTCCCTCTTTCTACGGTCTCCCTCTCTTGCAGAGCCTGGACTGTACCACCATGATCTCAGCTCGCTGCAACCTCCCTGCCTCGGGCTCCGGTGATTCTCCTGCCTCGGCCTGCCGAGTGCCTGGGATTCCAGGCACGCGCCGCCACTCCTGACTGGTTTTTGTATTTTTGGTGGAGACGGGGTTTCGCCCGTGTTGACCGGGCTGGTCTCCAGCTCCTGCCCGCCTTGGCCTCCCGAGGTGCTGGGATTGCAGACGGAGTCTCGCTCACTCAATGCTCAATGTTGCCCAGGCTGGAGTGCAGTGGCATGATCTCCGCTCGCTACAACCTCCACCTCCCAGCCGCCTGCCTTGGCCTCCCAAAGTGCTCAGATTACAGCCTCTGCCCGCCCGCCATCCCATCTAGGAAGTGAGCAGCGTCTGCCTGGCCGCCCACCGTCTGGGAAGTGAGGTGCACCTCTGCCTGGCCGCCCCATCTGGGAAGTGAGGAGCGCCTCTGCCCAGCCGCTCCGTCTGGGAAGTGAGGAGCGCCTCTGCCCGGCCGCTCCGTCTGGGAAGTGAGGAGCGCCTCTGCCAGGCCGCCCCATCTGGGAAGTGTACCCAACAGCTCCGAAGAGACAGCGACCATCGAGAACGGGCCATGATGATGATGGCGGTTTTGTCGAAAAGAAAAGGGGGAAATGTGGGGGAAAGAATGAGAGATCAGATTGTTACTGTGTCTGTGTAGAAAGAAGTAGACATAGGAGACTCCATTTTGTTCTGTACTAAGAAAAATTCTTCTGCCTTGGGATGCTGTTAATCTATAACCTTACCCCCAACCCCGTGCTCTCTGAAACATGTGCTGTGTCAACTCAGGGTTAAATGGATTAAGGGCGGTGCAAGATGTGCTTTGTTAAACAGATGCTTGAAGACAGCATGCTCGTTAAGAGTCATCACCACTGCCTAATCTCAAGTGCCCAGGGACACAAACAGGGCCGAAGGCCGAAGGCCGCAGGGACCTCTGCCTAGGAAAACCAGAGACCTTTGTTCTCGTGTTTATCTGCTGACCTTCTCTCCACTATTATCCTATGACCCTGCCACATCTCCCTCTGAGAAACACCCAAGAATGATCAATAAATACTAAAAAAAAAAAAAAAAAAAAAAAAAAAAAAAAAAAAAAAAGAGAGATAGGGGTTTAAGAGTATTATATAAAGTTATAAAGGAAAGTGCCAGAAAAATATAAATCTGCCAAATTACACACACAAGGGAAAGGGGAAAATAGTCCACATAAAGTTTTCTAAAGTGTTAAACAGCGTAGCATAAAACAATGACAGAACTAAAACCAAATATATGTCATCTGAACACAAATTAATAAACTAAAATCGCTTATTAAAAGAAAAAGACCTCAGATTGCATCACAAAGTAAAACCAACTCTGCTGCGTATAAAAGCACACCTAAAAGAAAGTGATTTAGAAAGGTTACGAATAAAGGAATAGACAATGGTATAGCAAATACATGCACAGAAAAATGAAACAGGTCATGATCTAAGTATCAGAAAGGCTGGATTTGGATGTAAAGCATTAACTGAGACAAAGAATGAACACTTTGTAATGCTAAAAGATACTATATTGCATGATCTCACTTCTCAGTGGAAACTAAAAGGTTGAGAGTACAATAGTGGTTACCAGAGGATGGCAAGGAGGGGAAGGAGGAGGAGAAGGTGAGAGATTGGAGAGGAAGGAGGAGAAGGTGAGAGATTGGAGAAGGAGGAGGAGATGGTGAGAGATTGGAGAGGAAGGAGGAGATGGTGAGAGATTGGTCGATAGGTACAAGGCTAGATGGAATAGGACGAATAAGTTCCATTAGTCTACTGCATAGTAGGATGATTAGAGTATAATACTAGAGTATAATAATATATTGTATAGTAATATAATATATTAGAGTATAATAATATATTGTATATAATATATAATATTAGAGTATAATAATATATTTTATCAAAATAGCTGGAAGAGAGGCTTTTGAATGTTCTCTTCACAAAGGAATGATAACTGTTTAAGGTGATGGATATGTTAAATTCCCTGATTTCATCATTATACAATTTATATATATATATGAAAACATCATGTTGTATGCCACAAATATGAACAATTGTTATGCGTCCATTACAGTTTTAAAAAAGATACACTGCAGAATGAAACTTTAAAAGTCATGACTACTTATGCACAAAATAGCCTAATATCAATATTTATAAAGCAAAATTAACAGAAGATACAAGGAGAAATAGGCAAAAACATATCAGGAGTAAAAGGCTTTCATTCAACTCTCTATAATCAAAGATCAAATGGATAAAAGTTAAGTTTACAGAAGACCAAAACAACATAACTTAAGTACATGTAATTTATATATTTCTAACTCTGAACCCTCAAAACAGAGAAAAACATCTTTATTTGAGATGCAGCCAAAATAAAAAAGTATAAAATTCATTCTCTGATTCTATTGCACTAAAACTAGAAATGAATAATTAAGGCAAAAATTAAAAATCTTCACTACTGTTTGCAGAAAAATATTTAGTGTCTTTTTAAAACAACTCTCTTAGGTCTAAAATGCAAATAAATATGGCAGAATAGCTAGAGCATGCTAATTAAGACAATATATATAAATCAGCTAAAGTAATTTCAAGAGGGAAATTTGTTTTACTAAGTACTACTAATAATAAAGAGTATATAAAATAAATGAGATAAGCATCCAATTCTAGATGTTATAAAAATAGAAGAACCCTTAGAAAAGCAGAAGTATTTAATAACTTAGAGCAGAAATTAACAACAGATTTTAAAAGGAAAATATTAGAATAAATCCAAGAGCTGACTTTGAGAAAAATAAATAATCTAATTAATAAAAGAGAGAGAAAACAAAATCCACAAAATAAGATGTATGGAGCAGGGAGAAACCACAGGTATAGTGGAAATTAAAACATTACTTTATTCAACTCCATATAAATACATTTGAAAATCTGAAAGGGATGAATCATTGTATAAGTCATACAATTTACTAAACCGGCTCTACAATAGAGAAAATCTAAACAGATCAATTACAAAAGAATAAACAGAAAAAGTTGGCTAATTTCCTTTCATAAAACTACCAGGCCAGAAATTATTACAAAGGTTACTTTCTAAGCTTATTTTTAAGAGAAGAAAAAGAAAATTTTAAGCAATTTCTTAATCTTTATTTTCTAGAGCACAGAAAGAAGGAATTCTACTACATCCTATTGAATGAAACAAGCCTAACACTGATTCCAAAACCCAGCTGTAGACCAGCAACCTTACCAATATCTGACTTGGTCAGTTCACGCTGCTATAACAAAAATGCCATGGATTGAGGGGCTTGAACAACAAACATTTATTCCTCACAATTCTGAAAGCTGGGAAGTCCAAGATCAAAGTGCTGGCAGATTAGAAGACTGGTGAATGGCTGATTCCTGGCTTATAGACAGCCCCTTTCTCGTATCCACGCATGGTCCAGAGATCAGATCTCAGGTATTCTTTTAATAAGGGCATTAATCTCAACTTGAGGACCCACTCTCATGACCTAATCTAACCCTAATTCTCTCTCAAAGGCTCCATCATGCCAGAAGAAAACATTTTTCTTCTCATCTCCAAGTATCAATGGCCTAAGTACCATGTAAACCTCAAAAGCCATAAAAGAAAAACTGAAAATCTCACTAACATGAATGTTTTTAAAGCTCTGCATGGCAAAAACTTTCATGAGTAAGATAAAAAGACAAATTAAAAACTGAGAAAATATTTGCAAATCATAACACAATTTCTTTAATATATAAAGATTTCATAAATCAATAAGAAAAGTAAAACGTAACAGCACAATAGAAAAAAATGAACAAAGTGATATGGAACCATTTACTGAGAAAGAAGGTGAACGTGTTTTAAGCTTAGGGAAAATTGCTGAATTCTACTTACAATAGGAGAATTGCAAAATAAAACTATACTGAAATACAATTTGTCACCGATTAGATTTGCAAATATGAAAATGTTTGATGACACGTTTTTAGATATTGCTAAATTACTCTCCATAAAGGTTATACCAAGTTCTCCAACAATGTACGATAATGTGTTTCCCTACATGATCACCATCGTTGGTGCGAATGTAAATTGGTATAGCCTCTATGGAACTTAACAGTAAAGAACAACATTTAAAATGCATGTACTCTTTTGATCCAGAAATTCTACTTCCAGGAATTCGTCCTTATGTATACTCCAGCATGAGTGAAATGATGTCCTTTGTTTTTAATTGCACCATTGTTTATAATAACAAAAAGCTGGACAATAAGAAACCACTTAAAGAAACTATCTCATTAAAATTATAGCCAAAAAGTGCCATGCAGTGTTATGAAGGGCATCACCACTTCTGTAATAAAAAGTGGGATTATATATGCCTTTTCTTAAGCATATGCAAACTATCTTGAGAAGAAGGCCTAAGAAGCTAGTACTATTTATCACTGCCAGGGAGAAAACCTAGCTTTCTAGAGGACAGTGATAGAAGGAGACGTTTCCCTGTACACATAATTTTGTACTTTCTAAACTTGGAACAATTTGAAAGCCTTACTTATTCCATAAGTAGAAAAAAACCTATTTTAATAAGTATTATAGTTTCCATTTATTGGGTGCTTTCTATGTTCCAGCACCCTTCTCCATCATCCCATGTAAACCTGGCCAAAAAAGCCAATGAAGTATCCTTCATTCCACAGATGAGGAAATTGAGGCACATAGAGTTGAGGTAACTCATCTAAGATCACAGAGCTAGAAGGCACCTGAGCCAGGATTGAATCCCTGTGGTGCTATGCAAGAGCCCCAGCAGTTCCCACTCACATGTACTGCTGTGGACCACATCTATTTGCAGGGTGTCAACAGGGTGGACAGCATATTAATACAGATCAGTCTTGTCCCCTTTTAGAGGTCACTCCTTTCAAAGGTGCGTCCCATAAGGCCCCAAGCGTGCCAAATGCTTCCCTTGGTTGGCTCTGGACTTCCTGTGCCCCCTGGACGCAGGTGCATGGATGGGAGGGCAGAAGAGGATGGCGCTGTCCTTAGATACTCCTCCTCAGCCCTCAGAGTCACCTGGTGGCAAATCTCACATTCATAACCTCCTAAGTGCCTCTCACATGTCTCTCTCTCCCTTCCAATTGCCTCTAACTCAGTTCAGGCTGCCATCAAATCATAACTCAAATTTGGCACAGCCTATTCACTCAGTGGGTGGTGGCCAGAATAATGTTTTCCCATTTGTATTATATTTTATACACGTAGGAAACCATTTAAATGCCATTATGCAGAAAGAAGATGTCTTTCTAATGCTCTCCCTTGGTATCAAAGAGAATAGGGCATGATAGAGGACAAGAACCCTCATGCCCTAGGCTTTCCTGGCTTATCTCCCACACAGTTCCTGCCTTCTGAATGTGTGGAATGAAGAGTGACATGCAATTCTGTGGTTGCTTCAAGGCATTTCTGTTCCCTGGAACTTCACCCACACTCTCTCCTGGGCTTGGAATGCCTGGTGCAAGTCCACCTGGACAGTTTCCTATGTTGCTTCAGGACTCAGCTCAAGTATCCTTCCCTAGGGAAGCCTTCCCTGACCCTCAGTCTGATTTAAATTCCTCTCCTTTTTTACTCTATAGTAGCCAAAGTGAAACTCAGTTCTAAAACAGACCACATATGCTATGGTATTGCTGATTCGTCTCTCTGTGGCTAATAATCTGTGAGCTCCTGGAGAGCAAGGGTGATGTCTTCGTCATCTTGGTACACCCAGGGTCTGGTATAGTGCCTACTACTAGTTTGAACTACTTAGTACTTGTTGAACAACTGATTGAATAAAATATGTTAAAGACATGTGCCCCTCCCAGTACTGCTCTTTCACCTTCCAGACCTGCTCCATCAAGCCCTGTACTACTTTCCTAAGCAGCTAACGGCAGCTTCACTTCCAAGGGCCACATGGAACACTGCTACATTGGTGGTGCCCAGTGTGCACATTTACTGGTAATTATACCCTGAGTAGTCCCCTCCCACAGTGACTCTGAGCTCAGCCACATGACTTTCTCTGGCCAGTGAGACACTGGCAAGCATGCCACAAACAAAGGCTGGGTGGGTAAGTGCTTGAACACTGGGGCTTATCCTCTTGAAACTCTCCCTCCTGGAAGCCAGCTGTCAAGGTGTAAAGAAGCCTTGGGGAAACTAGCACTCTGTGAGAGGCCACATGGAGAGAAGCCTGAAGGAAGAGAGATCATCCTGGACATTCCAGCCTCTATAGACCTCCCAGGTGAATGCATTCTCATGATTGACCTCACCTGTATCTTGTAGAATGCAGAAAAACCACCTAGCTGAGCCCAACCAACCCACTGAATTGCCATTGTTCAATTTAGGCACTATTTGTTATGATCATTTTGAGGATGATTTGTTATGCCGCAATAGACAACAGAAACAGGCCAATATGGAAACTCCCATGTGCCTGATTCCTGGCACAGGAATACAGCTTCCCTGGCAAGCCTAGCTGGTCCCTGCAGCTGCCCAGTGTACCAAGGCCATTTGCTGGGACCAGGGCTGCCAGCAAAAGCCAGACCCAAGTTAGAAAATTAAGCCCCCAAATAAATGCACAACCATAAAATGGAAACACCCAAGAAAAGCCACAGCTGTATACAAATGTGAGTGGCCTTTGTCAGGGAGAAGAAAGGAAGGCCAGGCTGGGCTCTGATGTTGCCTTCCTCTGGACCTCCTTACAAGCACACCTGGCAGCAAAACTGCACGAAGCTCCAGCCTCTTGGGGCTTTTGATCTTGGAACAAAACAAAATAACATTCCACACCAACTCCTACCCAGCCCCATGCAGAAATTCAGGTGGTGTTAGACCCAAGGGGAATCCTGTGCTCTGGCCCCCTTCTGCTGCAGGGTAGAATCCACACTTTTTTCCCTTTGTCCAGCATCCCTATGTGCCTGGCATTGTGCACAGACCCATGATTGCTGCTTAGGAGCAGCAGGAGAAGAACCACCAACCAGGAGAGTAGACAGCACTCCTGGGAGCCACCAAGGGGAATCTTGAAAGTTGAGGAGCCCTAAAACAAGGATGTCTTTCTGTTTATTTATACACAGTATCCTTTTCTTCAAGACTAAGCTAGGTTTCTTTTTTTTTTTTTTTATACTTTGTGGCTCTTGCTTCAATTACAATTAAATCACTTTTGTGAATATAAAATCCTTCTTTTCCAGCAGAAAGGCAGCTCCTTGAGAGCAGAGACTATGCCTACCTGATTCTACATTGCAACTGTGTTGCCCAGCACAGAGCATGGCACATACTGAGTACTCGGCAAGTAGCTGCGGAATGAATAAATGAAATGAATGAATGTGAAGCCCAGTGTCCTGCATGCAGGATTTCTTGTTGATGATGCTGATGATGCTGTCTCACACCTCTGTGCCTTTACATGTGCTGTTCCTTTGCCCAACATCCCTTTCTCTCCTCTGTCCCCCACACAGCCCTCTTACTAGCTCTGGAATGGTGAGCTCATTTCAGACCTCTTTGATCTTCAGTTTGTTCCTCCAGACACGGGGATAACACCTGCCTTAGAAAGAGGGTGTAAGAGTGAACTCTGACCATGCCTATAAATTGCCTGGCTTCAATAATGCTAGCGGGCTTTCTCTGACTTCTAGCAAAGATTCCCATGACCATTTCTTGGTACCGTGTTCTCAGCCCCTGGTGCTGTGTAGCCAGAAGTCATTTTTATCATAAAGTAGTTAGGCAGTGATGGGAAACCATCAGGTGAGCTAGATCCATGTTTCTCAGATTTTATTGTACGTGAGCATTACTTGGGGATCATGTTAAAATACAGATTCTAATTCAGGAAGTCTGCGTAAGGAAGGGTGCTGAGATTTTGCATTTCTAGCAAGCACTCCAAGGACGGGATCCTGCAGCCCTAGGAAGCACTCTTTGAGGAGCAAGAGGATACAACACCAGCCTTAAGACAAGCCAGGAGAGAGGCAGGGGCAGCCATAGGGTGGCCACTGGAATCAGGCATGGGCAGTGGTGGCTGTGGCTCAGGCTGTTTGGGTGACAATACCCCTGGCTAGTAGGTGGTAGAACCCGATGCTAGTAGCTCTAGGGCCCCTGCCTAGAGGCTGCACAGCTGAACTCCAGGGAACGCCTGGAGCAGACGTTTCATTTTCCAGTTGGTGGAAGTAGGAGGAAGCAGGGGAGTTTTCTTCTGGTGAGGTTGCTCTCAGAATTGGTGCCAGAAAGACATATGTTCCCAGTTGCAAGTTTCTGAGCCTCTGCCTCTCACCCCTCCTACTAGAGGGCAGTTGAGAAGAACACTAATCATAAAAGGAGGCCACATGACACGTGTTACTCTGAGGAGCAGGAAGGCCTCCCTGGGCAATGTCCCTGACTGGGAGCTGATACTGCAGGAAAGGAAGGGGGAAACTAGGGCCAGACTTTTCAAGGAGCTTAGTAAGACCTGTCGGGGCCTGCTGGTGGCACATGGCACATTCCTTGTGACCTCCTGGCAGCCCTGGAGGAGAACAAGCAGAGCCCACCCAGGTCAGAAGGGGCCTCTTCTCCTCTGGGCTCAGGAAAGTGGGGAGAGAAGCGCTTTACCTGCATTGTCTCTGTGGTTCCCAACCTTCCTGGGGGTTCCTGGGGGCTTCTGAGGACTCTTGTTTCATGTCTAAGCCATCTGCAGATCCCTTCACAAGAGCAGCCACAGTGCTTAGCGTCTGTTGATTGAAAACAATGCCATGACAAAAGCCAACGGGGCTGTTCACTGATTTCCAGCTTTATTCTAAGAACACTGATGGACGTATGAAAACTGCTGACCATCTATGACCAGTCGGCCTTAATTCAGTGTGCGGGTAACGGACTTAAGGTGTCAGTGGTAACACAGATCTTTTGCAATCATTCTGTATCTCCCCTCCCTTCTTGGTCTTTGTTATCTCATTTAATCCTGAATCCTTTATCTCATGGAGCCTTCACAGCAACCCTTGAAAGTAGGGTATTGCTACCCTCATTTTACAGACCAGCAAGCTGAATCTCTAATAGGTCAAGTGCACTGTCCAAAGCCACTTGTTGAGGAAGAAGCAGAATCAGGTTTGTAGCCCGGGTTTTTCTGACACTGCAGCCGACCTCTTTCCACTGTATTCCTGGGGACTTCCTTAGCCGCGGCTTAGCATGGAATCACTCTGGCGCCCTCTGGAGGTCACTCTTCCATCCTGCCCCTTGGTTCCCAATGAAGTCCAGTTAATCACAAATTAATACCCATTGCTTTCCTTTTCTTTTTTGTAAGGTCTGGCACCCTGAAGAGACTCTTAAGTGAAATATAGCTGATTATTATAAAAATGTGTCTAAGAATGGAGACACGTGCAAGGGCTCTCAGCCCACTCTCACAGCCTAGGGAGAAGAGGAGGTGATGGAGGAGGAGGTGACAGGCCCCCTCCACCCCCACCCCACGCCCACCCCCACGTGGCCCCACAGCTGTCTGTCTGTGTCAAATGTTCTAAGCAGAGGTTGGGGGCTTCACTCCCCACACAAAGAGAGTTCAGAGCTGTCAGCACCTTTCCCACGGTACACTAGGTGCTGAGGAACAGGTGATAATTACAGCCCTGTCACCCTCATCACCTCTGAGCTGGATGAGTTTTTTTCTAAAAACAAATGTTGTGCTGCCTGAAGATCAAAGTTGGAGCTTAGGTTGGGGAAATACACACATGCAGGCTGCTGCTCTTTTCCATGAAGCACAGGGAATTGGCTTGGAAAACACCTTGGAGATGGCTGTCTTGGCCTCCTGCCAGGGGAAAGAGATCGTAGGAGGGAGGAGGAGGCTGCCTGGCCTCCATAGGTGCACCTTCTGCCTCCTGAGAGAGGTGATCCTTCACCAGCCAGCATGGCGGGTCAGAGTTCCATCCCTCTGCCCTTTGGAGAAAAGGAACCTGCGTGGCCCTTCACATCTTAGAAGGAACCTTTCATGTAGCGCCCACCTGTACCTCTGAAGTCAACTCTCTTCTCCAACTTAAATGCTCTCCAACTCTTTGGATTTTTAATTTAAAAGGACTCAAAGCTCCTCAGTCTCCTCAAGGTCTCCCTGTCCTCAGGACTCACCATCATGTATCTGTGAACATCTGTGTTAAAAAGCAGCAATGAGACTAAAATATTCTGGAAATATGTACTCAGATTTTCACATTCAGATTTACACACACTTCTATAAGCCAAAACAATTTCCTATACAAACAAATGTCATTCCACATAATATCTACTGTTAATTGAGTATTTTACTATACACCAAGCATTGTGATAAGCATTTACACATGTTACCCCATTTAGTCTTCATGCAGCCTTATGAGATGGGTATAGAGACTGTGTATATCACCATCACTTTACAGGTAAGGAAACTAAACCCTAAAGATGTTAGGAATTTACCGGAGTCTCAGAGCTAATGAAGTATTGAGAAAGCACTGAACTCCATACCTGTTTGTCTCCAAAACTCCACGCTGTTAACCACTCCTCTATCTCTTCTACCTCATACAAAATCATGTAATGTTGTTTTACATAAAACTGTACATACACTCCAATATAGCTCTACTTAATTGCATTTATAATGACATAAGCATGCTCAGGAAGGGATCCCAGTAAGTCCCTGCAAGTTGTCATAAAATCAAAATTTCTATTTTTAAAAAAAGACCCTATAGAAATAGGGTCCTCTCCCAGTGTAACTTACCTAATCAACTTTACTTACAACTACTTATCATTCTAGAAACTATCATTTAGACAAAAGCAAAGCAATTAATGTATTGAAATACATTCTTGGTTTGCCTCAGCAATTTAATCTCTCAGAAAGCAGAGGTTGTGGGTAGAAGAAGGTATCTATTTGGAATCTAATTCTGCTTTAACAAGCGGCAACTGCTTAGAGAAGGAACAAAGAGAGAAATCCTGAGAAATAGTAGCCAGGTCACCTCAAAGTTCATGCTATTCACGAAGAAAAGAGCTGGGCATGGTCTTACTTGTACCTTAGTTTTTACAAGTCAGATTGCAAAATCTTCAGAGAAAAGATCGGCTGATCCCATGACCTGACACTCTCATGGCAGACAGCTCTGAAGGGATGACTTTCAAGAAAGAAATTCTGACAAGACAATTGCAAATGACTCTGATATAGAAGAAGTGTGATTGCACAGGATGAATACACACGAGTGACACAGACCTTTAAGTATAATGTCAGGAAGGCTGAAGCCCAGAATGAGCCGAAGCCAACACCACAAAAGGTCTTCTTGGGTAGAATAAGAGAAATGAGAACAAAGAAGGGCTAGATCCACCTCTCCAAGGACTAGCTGTATGACCTGGGGTGATTTTCTTAACCTCTCTGAACCTCACTCAGTTTCCTTGTCCATAAAATGGAAATAATAATTATTACACTGCAGGTTTCTTATGAGGATTACATGGAATGATGCATTAGAAAAACAAACAACAGGCTGGGCATGGTGGCTCATGCCTGTAATCCCAGCATTTTGGGAGGCTGAAGAGGGTGGATCACCTGAGATCAGGAGTTCGAGACCAGCCTGGCCAACATAGTGAAACCCCGTCTCTACTAAAAATACAAAAATTAGCTAGGTGTGGTGGTGCATGCCTGTAATCCCAGCTACTTGGGAGGCTGAGGCAGGAGAATTGCTTGAACCTGGGAGGTGGAGGTTGCAGTGAGCCAAGATGATGCCATTGCACTCCAGCCTCTGGGCAACAGAGTGAGACTCTGTCTCAAATCAAAAGAAAACAAACAAACAAAAATCTAGCACAGAAGAAGACATTCAAAAAATATAAGTTGTAAACATACGAAAAAAAGGTCATCATCACTGGTCATTAGAGAAATGCAAAACAAAACCACAATGAGACACCATCTCACACCAGTTAGAGTGACGATCATTAAAAAGTCAGGAAACAACAGATGCTGGAGAGGATGTGGAGAAATAGGAACGCTTTTACACTATTGGTGGGAGTGTAAATTAGTTCAACCATTATGGAAGACAGTGTGGCGATTCCTCAAGGATCTAGAACCAGAAATACCATTTGACCCAGCAATCCCATTACTGGGTGTATACCCAAAGGATTATAAATCATTCTGCTTTAAAGACACATGCACACGTATGTTTATTGCAGCACTATTCACAATAGCAAAGACTTGGAACCAACCCAAATGCCCATCAATAATAGATTGGATAAAGAACATATACACCATGGAATACTATGCAGCCATAAAACAGAATGAGTTCATGTCCTTTGCAGGGACATGGATGAAGCTGGAAACAATCATTCTCAGTGAACTAACACAGGAACAGAAAACCAAACACCGCATGTTCTCACTTATAAGTGGGA